>NC_000007.14:97355263-97658294 GCF_000001405.40 Homo sapiens | reverse complement strand
CATTTATATCTTGGTTTAGTTTTCTAGTGATTCTTATTTATTAAACTTCTATGTAGTTGTTAGTCATAAAAATAATTATGATGGTCACTTTATATTCGATGTATTTTGTTCTCTGGGGCTTGAAATGTACTCAAAACTCTCAACAGTATCCTCATGAAAACACTTACTTCAGCATCTTTATACCATTTGAATTTTTCCCAGGATTTTTTTTTACCTGTGTTTTATTTACATTTGCTTTTTTTTTTCTCAGAATGTTTCCTTTTCATAGACAGACAACATAACTTTAAAAGTGAACACATTTGGGGTCACAGCTGTCTTTGTATAACAAGAGGCAATGAGGAAGTGTTAAAAAATATGCTAAAACCAAATGGAATGACAAAACAAACCACAGACGTGCTTACACTAAATCAGAAGCTGGTAAGTTCATCCACAGCCAATTGGTTAGGATACAGACATGTTTTCAAAATTTAAAACACTATTTTGCAGTTTCAGTAGTAATGGTAGCCATTTATGTAGGCATAAAGAAGGTAATGAATATATCCCTGAAATGGAAGATAACTTGTAATCAAGAAAATTGTTTCTGTATTACTTCATTTATATTTATGTTTACATACCCAAGACTGTGATGAATATTTCAAATGCATAAATACCTGTTGTGCATAGATGAGGATTTAAGGGAATTAGAATGTTCTTTAAAAAGCCCAACCTCTGTAAAACTACTATTATTCATTTTAAAAACTTTTCTTAGGATTAGGTCAAGCTATCAAATGTTCAAGTGATAAGGAAAAAAAGACTATATTTAATATAAAAGTCTTCTTTCTTTCTTTCTTTCTTTTGGAGAGAGAGTCTCACTCTGTTGCCCAGGCTGGAGTGCAGTAGCACAATCTCAGCTCACTGCAACCTCGGCCTCCTGGATTCAAGTGATTCTCCTGCCTCAGCCTCCCAAGTAGCTGGGATTATGGGCAGGTGCCACCAGGCCCGGCTAATTTTTGTATTTTTAGTAGAGATGGGGTTTCACCATGTTGACCCAGCTAGTCTCGAACTCCTGACCTCACTCAGGTGATCCACCCACCTCGGCCTCCCAAAGTGCTGGGATTACAGGCGTGAGTCACCGTGCCCGGCCATAAAAGTCCTCTTTCTAACACATTCTATTGCTGTTGTTTGTTATATCTAGGTTAAAATTGTGTTTGAGAAAACAGCTATGAAGATAACTTGAGCCACTATTTTATTCTCTATTCAAATTTACCCTTGAAATATAATATTAAATGATTTAAAGACCAGTAATTCCTCAGATTCATCACTCATTTGGCACCTTTTGTACACAAGGTACTGTGTTAACCATCTACTGAGTAAATCAGACAGAATGAAAATTATTCACTGCAGTACCAATGGCAGGAAGTTAGACCCCAAGTTAGTACACCCATGAGTGGCGCTAACAACTCTCTCTACAAGCTAAGCCAACAAGCTAAAATGACCCAGAGGCCATGGAAGTACCACCTTTCAGCCAAAAGTCGGTGAAATATTCACTCTGGCTTTCATTTCTGATGTATATCTGGTTGAAGATATTTAGCGGTGCATAATGATCTGTGCAAAGGCAGGGGTCAGTTAAGTTCTGTGTATTTTTTTTCTTTGATAGAATTTGCGCTGACCTGAACTGTGAACCACCAACTGGTGCACTCGAGCCCTGTGGGCCAGCACAATTCCTGATACTAACCTTTTGCTGAAGCATGAGCCAAACTAATACTTATCTCTTCCCAAAGTTTCAGTGATCATCTCCAAGATTTATCTATTTTATATTCATATATTTTATCCTTGATTTATATTTTTACCTTTGCTCTATCTCCTGAGCTACTTACTTATATGCTCAACAAATACGGTAAAAATTTCTTTGGCAAGCTGTATCTTACCTTCTTCAGTATAGAATAATAATAACTGGAGGAAGTATAGGCTCAAAGGCTAAGAGAGTGGTTGGCCACAGGACGAAAAATTTATCTATTGACCTTTCATAACAATTAACTTCATCTATTCTTTAGTCCTCTTCAGATGCTCAGTGAGTAGTTACATATTAGAAGAGGATAAAATGTCTTTGTGATAAATATGGAACAAAGGTATTCCTTTATGAAGAGCAAGCCTATAAATCAGAGATGACACCTACCTCTCTGGCTGTGGTTTGAAGGGTTGCAATCTTCCACCTCACTGAGGGATATGAGAGAAGATGGGAAGTTTCTAAAAGCTTTGATGGGTCAAGATGTTGAACAAGCTGTAAGATCCAGGTGGGCAGATATAGGAGTTGGACCCAATTAAATGTAGAAGAGGAAAAGGGACATCCAAAGAATACATTTGGTTACCTCCTAACTACAGCTAAATCACCACCTGCTCATGCCATAACCAAGGGTGTAAGAAACTTCATTAGGTTAAAGTCTGTTTACTTTGGTTTATAGTCAGTGATGGGACATGTGCCCTTTGTAATCCATTACTGCCTTGTCTCCTTATCTTCTGCTACAGTTGTTTCTTCCAACACCATCACATCTCTGTTCCTGCTCTTCCTCATTTGGTCATTGTTCTTTTGACAAATGTTTGCAATGATAGGCATTATAGTAGGCACTATGGGAGAGAGAGCTATAAAAAGAAGTATAAGGTATGTACTTCTCCCTGAATTATATAACCTAGATTTTAGGTGTTCATTCATTCATTTTTCTCTGTGCTCCCCTCACCCAAGAAGTTTCTTCTACAAATTATAGGAAGACAATATAAAATTTGCAATGTTTACATTACACTTTCAGAAAAAAAGACTTGGATCCACCTTTGGCATTTCTCTTCCCTAAAACTCTCTCTTTGAGAATGCTACCAACTGTGATATAGCAGTGAGAGATTTTCCTTTTGATCCTTTCCATAGGAGAGGTGTGATGAATTTGTCCTGGGAAGGAGTCAAAATTTTGGAGAGAAAGTAGAGATTATCTATGGAATATCAGTAGAAGTATTATAATAAGTATGGTCAATTTTAGAGGTCAATATAAAAGCAAAATACGAACATATTTAAACTATATCATCAGCTGTAGAAAAAATTTATAATAGCAATTGTGCAGTGAGAATTTAGGGTTGGGAAACTACTGAGAATACTATGGCTTAAAGAGGTTAGGTAAGTTATACAAGATCAACCACAGAACTACTAAGTGGTAAAGGTATAATTTAAGGCAGGGTAACAACTGTACAACCCATGCTTTCAACACCTTTGCTATAACTGCTTTGCTTTGAACATGTGGAATATTGTGCAGACAATTATAAATGGCTATTAGCAATTGGAAGAATTTAGGCACATTAGATGTTCCCCCTGTTTTGTTTTTTTTTTTCTCACACTCTTGTGAGGTGCTGTGTGATGTTGTGTGTTTTCACTGCCCACTAAGTAAATGATTAGTGGAACAAGATGGCACCACCATGCAGGGGAGAAGACAGTGGTCCTCTCCACAGTTGTGTTCCCTCTCATAAGTAAAGTTCCAACTTGCATCATGTATGCTTCTCTTAGAGCATACAAGACTTAAACATGCACAGGGACAGTACACTCTTCAGATAACTCTCAACATTTTCAGCCAATGGAACCAAAATGAGGATAAATTATTCCCTCATTGAATGATATTTTAAGTCTGACACCTTGAAAAAAATGTCTTAACCATGAAAAAATTTATCACATGGCTACAACATACTTAGCTGTTTTCATCAACTACCCATGTATAAGTACTTGCAGATGGCTGTATCCTGGAAACCACCAAAAGTTAATTCCAAGTAACTCAGTTTCCCTGGCTTCATAGATAAATTTGCAGGAAATTGGAGCATAAAGCACATTTTAGAACAGGAGTCCTATATGTTGGAAGATCTGAAAAACCAGAAAGTTTAGTATAAATAGTTTTGTTAGTCATATACTGTATGTGGAAACATTCAGACATAATACATTCTATAGCCAAAGACTCTATTTTCTCCTAAGAATTTGAAACAAAGAAGTTAAGAACAGGGAATATACCTAGAGGGAAAAAAGAATGCTACTTTATTGCAGCTGAATTCATGAATCTATTAGAGAAACTCATTTTAATCTTTAGGTTTAATGTGTCCTTATTATTGAGAATAAGGCTTTTCTTTGTGTACACAGTAGAAAAATGATACCAATTTAATTTTGTACATGGCCAATCCCTGCTTGTCACATTTTTCGAATTATCATGGTTGTCCTTCAATTGTATCAAGGCAAAATAGGTAATTGGGCTGTGGGTTGGATCCTGTTAAGGATATATACAGATTTCTTTAAAACATTAATAAGGATATGGATCTCTTATTTTTTTTCCGTAGGATAACGATTCATTTTCTCTCTCTCTCTCTCTCTCTCTCTCTCTCTCTCTCTCTCTCTCTCTCTGTGTGTGTGTGTGTGTGTGTGTGTGTGTATCTTCAACTTTGGCAGAAAATATAAATGATTTTATTGTCATGAAAACCTTTTAGACCACTCTTACTTTCGGAGCTTTCATGATGTTGGAATGAGGCACTGCTCTACCCACAATTTAGTTTGTATTCCTTGAGCTGAGCTAACCATCTGAGGTTAGAGGACTCTATTGATGGCTTTGCCTGTCCAAGTGGGTATTCTGAATTCTGCCTGGAGTAATGGATCCATATAAGCAATTAATTTAAGTTTTAAAAAATTAATATAATCTGAAATTTTAATGGTGCAAGGGAATTTAAAGGTCTCAGTTCCACATATTTATTTTACAAATGAGAAAACAAAGGTGCAGAGAGCTCTTAGAGTTTGGTGAGGGTTGCATAGTCAGTAAATGGCAGAGGTGATATCCAAACAGGGTTTTTGCCTCATAATTCAAAGCTTTCTTTTTAAAATGATAAAGCAGGCCAGGCACGGTGGCTAACGCCTGTAATCCTAGCACTTTGGGAGGCCGAGGCGGGTGGATCACGAGGTCAGGAGATCAAGACCATCCTGGCTAACACAGTGAAACCCTGTCTCCAGTAAAAATACAAAAAATTAGCCGGGCGTGGTGGCGGGCACCTGTAGTCCCAGCTACTCAGGAGGCTGAGGCAGGAGAATGGCGTGAACCCGGGAGGCAGAGCTTGCAGTGAGCCAAGATGGTGCCACTGCACTCCAGCCTGGGTGACAGAGTGAGACTCCGTCTCAAAATAAATAAATAAATAAAATAAATAAAATAAAATAATAAAACATTAAGGCATATGGGAGATGTCCAAAGAATAACATGACTAACAGCTGTGGTATCCACCACTCAGCTTTGTCAAATCTTACCATTTTATTATGCATGCCTCTCTTATTTTTTTTCAGAAATAAAAGATTTAATAAAGTTCTTTGAATAATTTTTACTGATAACACTCTTCACACTGCCTCCAAGTTTGCTACTGTTATGTGAAGATGCAAAACCAGTATCTATCTGTAAATACAGTCATGTCCGAATGACTTAGGGCAGTATATATGTAGAGTCATACTGTATGTATTCTTCTGAAACTTGCTTTTGTTGCTCAATGTTTTTTCCAAGATTTTTTAAAATGTTAGAATGCATAGCTATAGTTTATTCATTTTTACTGCTTTCCATATCGTAAACATATTACAATGTATTTATTTTCCTATTGATGGATAGATTTCTTTAAAAAATTGTTATTACAAATAAGGGTGTAATAAACATTCTTTGTATGTCTTTACCTGTGCACAAGTGCAAGAATTTCCTGGTTATGTACTTAGAAGTTATAATACTTTAACATTACACATTATTGTCAAATTACTCTCCAAAGTGTTGTACAGCAATGTTATATAATGCCGATCGAATGGATAGGAAATGGTTAATCGCCGCGCCTTCATCTGTATTTCCCTCTTTAATAATAAAGTTCATTATCTTTTTATATGTATGTCAGTTAGCTATTTTTGCAATGATATTGGGCAACCAGCTACCCCAAAACTTAGAGGCAATCATTTACTTTTATTGGTCTGGAACCAATTGGTGTGACTCTTCTTCAAGCTGCAAATCTGTGGATCCACATCTGTTCCATATGTTTCTTACATTCCTTGGGCCAGTGGGCCGGCTAGCAATGCTCTTCTCACAACAAAGGCAAGAGAACAAAAGCGCAAGCCCCGTTATTCAAGAATATTTCAAATCCCTATTTTTAACATGTCTGCTTATGGTGCCACTGATCAAAGCAAGGCAAGCTGGGTCCAACATCCATAAGGTGGGGAAATACCCCACCACTATGAGTCTATGGCAAAGACATGAGTGCATGTAACTACTATAGGCAAGAGAAGAATTGTCACCAATATTTTTTTTTTTTGAGACGGAGTCTCGCTCTTTCGCCCAGGCGGGACTGCAGTGGCGCTATCTCGGCTCACTGCAAGCTCCACCTCCCGGGTTCACGCCATTCTCCTGCCTCAGCCTCCCGAGTAGCTGAGACTACAGGCGCCCGCCACCACGCCCGGCTAATTTTTTGTATTTTTAGTAGAGACAGGGTTTCACCATGTTAGCCAGGATGGTCTCGATCTCCTGACCTCGTGATCCACCCATCTCGGCCTCTCAAAGTGCTGGGATTACAGGCGTGAGCCACCGCGCCTGGCCTGTCACCAATATTTTAATCTACCACTACATATTGTTGACTGTTTTGGTTTCATCTTTTGTGAATTGCTGGTTCATAGTCTTTGCTCATTTTGCTTTTGGGTTGCTTATCTTCTGCTTATTGTTTTACAGATACTCTTTATATAATGTAGATTTTCATTTTTCATAATTATAGGATCATAAAAATCTTTTGGTCTGTAGCTTATCTTTTACTTATGATATTTCTTTTCTTTTGAGAAGCTTAAAATTTTACTGCAGTTTAAATACTTATCAATCCTTCCCTTTATAGTGTGTGGTTATTGTGCTTTGTTCTTGAAAATTATCTCTATCCTGAGGTCATTACTATATTTTGCAGTATATTAAAGTTTATTTTACACTTAAATTTATGATTTGTTTGGAATTTTTGTATATGAATGAGGTAGAAATCCTATCCTTTTCCATATTCATAAAAAATCATTCCAATACTCTATTTTGAATAGTGCATTATTTCCTGACTCTTGTACTTCTTTGTCTGATATATATATATCTGTTTTATATATATATATATAGTCTGATATAGATATATCTGTTATATCTGACTATATATATATGTGTATATATATATATATAGATATATAGATATATAGATATATAGATATATATATAGAGAGAGATCATTCTCAGTTCCTTGCCTGCGGGCTTTCCCAACATAGTTGCTTCCTGCATTAAATCAGCAAGAAGGGTCTCTAGACCAAGTCTGCTACCAAGACAGAGGCTTAAGTGGCATGACATAATTCATCACCTTTGCCATATTTATTGATTAGAAACAAGTCAGAAGTCCTGCACACATTCAAGGGTAGAAGATTAAATAAAGGCATGAACACCAGGGGGTTTTAGGGGCCAACATAGAGTCTGTCCACCACTGCAGTTTTTGTTGTCACTATAAATGGGATCCATGACTTGGTTCATTTAACAGCCATTCTTTTGTGAAGATTGGATGTCTCAAAACTTCATCTTCCTAGAAACTCTTGAAGCTAAAATTCCAGATGTGATTTATGGTTAATTTTCATGATTTTTTAAAGTTATGTTCTATTAACTCACCACAAACCAACACTGCCTTAGCCAATACTGAACCACTGCTCCTAGGGGAAATACAGGATTAGGTTCCTGGAGACTGTGGTCACAGTATTTTGTCAATCGATCAATACATAACCTTGTTTTATATGTATTTCTCTTTAAAGACATCTTATTTAATATATATTTGGCTCATTAACATTGAATGCATGGCCTACAGCACTATAACTCATTCTTGAACAAAGCTTATCTAACATGTATTTTTTCCAGAAGGCACATTACAGCCTTCTCACACTTAGGAACATTAGACAGCACTTCAGCACCATGCATGGTCGGGGGTGGGGGTCATTTTAATGAGCAAAATCATCTATAAAAATGGAAAACAAACCATGGCACTAAATAGATCACGAAAAGGATACTTATTTACAGCATCAGAGCTGAAACAAGAAGGCAGGTCATCTTCTTGTTCAACTTCAGCTGGGAATGCAAGCATTGAATAAACTCAATTTTTTTTTGCTTCTCTGCACATGTCTGCAAATGGCCACAAAAGCACTCTGAGTATTGACTTGGGGTTTACAAATAAATATTAGCAAGTAGATGAATTCACAAATACAGAATTATAAATAATGAGGATCAACTGTATCTATCACAAATCAGATAGAGTCACACAAAAGGCTGATGCCAAACAGAGTTAAGTGGGAAGACGGAGAATGCTGGGCATCCATTCTTTTGGCAGACATATTGCAGGTGACAGATCATGTCATAGGTGGCTTGGTTTTGGAACCAGAAAATCTATGATAACTACCTGTTAACTTCAGTGACAGTTTTCCTAGTCAGAGTGAGTCTATAGACTAGGTGTTGTTTCTGAGTTTACAAGCACAAAATATTCTGTATTAAATCTTAGTTTGGCTAGGCCAGCTAAAGTAGATTCTTTTGTTTGCAACCAAACCATGATTGAACATTTCCTTAAAAACTGTGTCAAATGCTATTTCCATTGTATTCACTGGGGGAGATCATGTGTGGATCAGCTTTCACGGGCTGTCACCTAGCCATTAAGTCCTGATGTTACGCAGTCCACATGATTACACCCTTGTGCTGCATCCTTTTCGATAGGACAACGCTGATTATGGACAGACAATGAATTTTCCTCTAAGACCTGGAGACAAACCCTCTGAGAGAAAATTAAACTGTGATTCTGGCTGGGGTCAGAGGGCGGTGGGAGGGGCGGGGAATTTCCACTGTCTCAGGCTGCACCTGTGCTGCAGGTCCTGTGAGAATTTTTGTTTCCCAAGCTTAGGGCCCAGTACCATTTGGGAGCACTAAATCCAGTTTGAAAATGTCGTTTTGGAAGACAAAGACATACTGCCAACAGATATATAATAAGATAACTCATTTTATTGGGGTGATAAAAGTTATTATTACTTGAGAGTAAAAACAACAACAGCAAATGTGTCAAATGTTTTATTTCTTAGATATAGAGATGTAATTTACTCTCACACATTAATCTAATATCTATCATGTTTATTGCATTTTTACTTTTTTTAGCATTTTCTTCTATAAATTCTTAGATGTACTATATAAGCAATTGTATCATTTATGAGTAATAAAGTTGGGACACCTTTTTTCCCAATTCTTAAATCTTTTAGTTCTTATGATAGTAGATAAAAAATGTTGAATAGAAGTTGTGCAGCAAGTATCCCTCTGATTTGAAATGAAATATTTCTAATGTCTTACCATTGTAGGAGATTGATCACAAAAGTAGCAATCAGAACATAAAATTTAAGTTAAAACTCTATATTCAGCTAAAACATTATTATAGAATAAAGGCAAAATAAGGATACTTTCAGACAAAATAAAACAAAACATTTATCAACTGTATGCCTTTAATAAAGGAAAAACTCAAGTATGTATTTTAGAAAGAAAAAATAAAAGTTTCTAAAATAAATATTAAAATGCAAGGGAGAATGTTTAGAAAATAAATTAGTATATCTGTGAGTAAAATAAGCATCAATAGAATAAAACAGCCATAATAAGGATGACTAATTATAGGAATATCAAGCAGGGTAGAATTAAATACTAAACAATAAATAATGACATAATAGTCAAGGGAATGATCTAAGTTAAAGCTCTAAGGTCCTTATATGTTTTTGAATGAGAGTAAATATATTAATAATGTTTAGACTCTAAGGTAACTCTACAAAAAAATTTTAAGAGTAATCACTAAAAACTAAAAATAGAATCTATGATACTACCCACTAACGGGGCAATGGGAAAGGTAAAGACTTGGTTAGTCTGGATAAATTTTGGAAAGGTAAAAAAAGTAAAAACAAATCCATGGTAAACAGAAATCAATAGATTTCTGTAGGAAATTCACATATTGTAAGAACAAAAATCCCAAAATATAAAGACTAAGGTTTTTGTTTGTTGTTTGTTTGCTTTGTTTTGTTTTATAGAATAAGAAAGGATAAATCAGGTACACACTAACCGCAAAAGTTTGATGTAGTTAAATTAACATCTGAAAAATAAAAGCAAAAATGTGAATTTAATAAAGATAATGACAACAAAAGGAAATTAAGAACAATCATAAAGGTCCAAGAATAATGTAGCCAACAACTGGTTCATTAAAAGAATAAATCATCATCAAAACTGGGAAAATTAATGAAGACAAAAGAAGATTAAACCATGCATTATTGGATGTTAAAAAGGTAAATAATCACAGATACACAGATACATTATTATATCATCAAATAATGATATAATAGTATGAAAAACATTAAGCAAATAAACTGGAAAATTTAGACACAATAGACTTTCTGAGCAAAGTATACCATAAAAAATTGACCCTAAGAGAAATAAAACACCACATTAGACCCATAATCATTAAAAAATTAAATTAGTAAAGTATATACTTCAGCCAAACAAAAAAAGCAGTTTAAATGGTCTCATAGGTGGTCTATTTAAATACTCAAAGAACAGACAATTCCTATCTTCTGCAACTACTACAGAGAATAATAAAAGTGGGATAACTCCCCAACTAATTTTATGAGACTAGAACCTTAATGTTGAAACAGAATAACAGAACAAGAAAAGAATATCATAGGTCAATCTCACTTATGAGCATAGTTACAAAATTTGAATACAAATATTAGCACATAGCAACTAGCAATGTAATTTAAAAATGCATCATGATGAAGGAAGACACTGGTGATTCATATTAGACTATCTATGAATACAATTTCCCACACTAACAAATTAAAGTAGAAAAAACATATGGACAACTCAATTGAAGGTAAATATTATTTGATATAATTCAGCATCATTTATGAGCAATTACAAAAATTTTTTTTGAAACTGAATAGACTGTGCTTTATTTGATAAACATACCTACCAACATTGTAGGGGAAACTAGTGAGGGGATTGTTATGTGGGAAGAGTTTTTAAAGTTAAAAATAAAATTTAAAAAATAATAATTTTTACACAAATATATGATTACTAACACTATTTTCATTCATCACTTAATAATGAAAATAAACTTAAAGTTTTTAATTTTTAAGTTCAAAATTTATTCTAGACTGTAACCATACATGCCTGTACTCTCTTAACATGTAGAAAGTCATGATAAACATCAACACCTTTTATGTGAATATTGAATGATTTCAGTATGGTTATAAATGTGTCTTCTAAGAGTTTTTTCTGAAGTGTGTTCACTAGATGTGGAAGATGCTATTAGAACCCAGCATGTCCTTTCAGCAATCACCATTCCTGGGCATGCTGACCCTTTGGCTGCTGAGAGTAAGCATGAACAACTCTGGCTTGAAGCTTTCTCTCAGCTTTGAACCCTTCCCAACCCAGTAGAAACCTTCATCTTTGGGGAAGACCAGAGGTCCCCAGTGACTGGGGGATGAGGAGGAACAAGTAAAAGATTTCACCCAGGAGAACTCTTCGACAAGTACTACTGGAAATTTGTTAATAAATAACCTCAGTTTCTATCTCCTTAATTGGAATAACTCTGGGGTGTGTTCTACACCAGGGGTCCCAACTCCCTGAGCCACCAAGTATCATCTGTATTTACAGCCAGTCCCCACCATTCACATTACTGTCTGAGCTCTGCCTCCTGTTAGATCAGCCGCTGCATCAGATTCTCACAGAAGCATTGTATTAGTCCCTTTTCACACAGCTAATAAAGACAAACCCAAGACTGGTCAATTTACAAAATAAAGAGGTTTAATTGGACTTAAAATTCCACATGGCTGGGGAAGCCTCACAATCATGGTGGAAAGCAAGGAGGAGCAAGTCACATCTTACATGGATGGCAGCTGGTAAAGAGAGAACTTGTGCAAGGGAACTCCTCTTTTTAAAACCATTGGATCTCATGAAACCTATTCACTATCATGAGAACAGCAAGGGAAAGACTTGCCCCATGATTCAATTACCTCCCACTGGGTCCCTCCCACAACACATGGGAATTCATGATGAGATTTGGGTGGGGACACAGCCAAACCATATTATTTCACCCCTTGCCCCTCCCAAATCTCATGTCCTTACATTTCAAAACCATGCCTTCCCAAATCTCATGTCCTCACATTTCAAAATCATGCCTTCCCAACAGTCCCCCAAAGTCTTAACTCATTCCAGCATTAACTCAAAAGTCCACAGTTCAAAGTCTCATCTGAGACAAGGAAAGCCTCTTCCACTATGAGCATGTAAAATCAAAAGCAGGTTAGTTACTTCCTAGATACAATGTGGGTACAGGCATTAGGTAAACACAGCCATTCCAAATGAGAGAAATTGGCCAAAACAAAAGGGCTACAGGCTGCATGCAAGTCCAAAATCCAGCAGGGTAGTCAAATCTTAAAGTTCCAAAATGATCTCCTTTGACTCCATGTCTCACATTCAGGTTATGCTGATGCAAGAGGTGGGTTCCCATGGTCTTGGACAGCTCAGCCCCTGTGGCTTTGCAGAGTACATCCTCCCTCCCAGCTGCTTTCATGGACTGGAGTTGAGTGTCTGCAGCTTTCCCAGGTGCACAGTGCAAGCTGTCGGTGGATCTACCATTCTGGGGTCTGGAGGACAGTGGTCCTCTTCTCACAGCTCCACTAGGTGGTGCCTCAGTAGGGACTCTGTGTGGGGGCTCCAACCCCATATTTCCCTTCCACACTGCCCTAGCAGAGGTTCTCCATGAGAGCACCACCCCTGCAGCAAACTTCTGCCTGGACATCCAGGCATTTCCATACATCTTCTGAAATCCAGGTGGAGGTTCCTGAACCCCAATTCTTGACTTCTGTGTACTGCCTTAACTCCAAGTGGAAGCTCTCAAAGCTTGAGGCTTGCACCGTCTGAAGTCATGGCCCAAGCTCTACTTTGGCTTGCTTCAGCCATGGCTGGAGTGGCTGGGATGCAGGGCACCAAGTCCCCAGGCTGCATACAGCATGGGGACCCTGGGCCCAGCCCACGAAACCACTTTTTCCTCTTTGGCCTGCAGGCCTGTGATGGGAGGGGCTGCCATGAAGACCTCTGATATGCCCTGGAGACATTTTCCCCATTTGCTTTGGGATTAACATTGGGCTCCTCATTACTTATGCAAATTTCTGCAGCCTGCTTGAATTTCTTCTCAGAAAATGGGATTTTCTTTTCTATCACATTGTTAGGTTGCAAATTTTCTGACCTTTTATCCTCTGCTTCCCTTATAAAACTGAATGCCTTTAACAGCACCCAAGTCACTTCTTGAATGCTTTGCTGCTTTGAAATTTCTTCCACCAGATACCCAAAATCATCTCTCTCAAATTCAAAGTTCCGCAAATCTCTGGGGAAGGCACAAAATGCCACGTCTCTTTGCTACAACATAACAAGAGTCACTTTTGCTCCAGCTCCCAACAAGTTTCTCATCTCCATCTGAGACCACCTCAGCCTGGACCTTATCGTTCATATCACTATCAGCATTTTTGTCAAAGTCGTTTAACAAGTCTCTAGGAAGCCCCAAACTTTCCCACATTTTCCTGTCTTCTTTTGAGCCCTCCAAACTGTTCCAACCTCTGCCTGTTACCCAGTTCCAAAGTTGATTCCACATTTTTGTGTATCTTTTCAGCAGCACCCCAGTCTACTGGTACCAATTTAATGTCTTAGTCCATTTTCATGCTACTGATAAAGGTATTCCTGAGACTGGGCAATTTACAAAAGAAGGATGTTTAATTGGACTTAAAGTTCCAGGAGGCTGGTGAGGCCTCACAATCATGGTGAAAGGCAAGGAGGAGCAAGTCACATCTTACTTGGATGGCAGCTGGCAAAGAGAGAGAACTTGTGCAGGGGAACTCCTCTTTTGAAAACCATCGGATCTCATGAGATTTATTTACTATCATGAGAATAGCACAGGAAAGGCTTGCCCCCATGATTCAATTACTTCCCTCTGGGCGCCTCCCACGACACATGGGAATTCAAGATGAGATTTGGATGAGGACACAGCCAAACCATATCAAGCGTGTACCATATTGTGAACTGCACATGCAAGAGATCTAGGTTGCATGCTCCTTATGAGAATCTAATGCTTGATGATCTGTCACTGTTTCCCATGACCACCAGATTGGACCATCTAGTTGCAGGAAAACAAGTTCAAGGCTCCCACTGATTCTACATCATGGTGAGTTGTATAACTATTTCATTATACATTACAATGTAATAATAATAGAAATACAGTGCACAATAAATTTAATGCACTTGAATCCTCACAAAACCTTCCCCCCTCCATGCCCATTGGTCCACAGAACCAAAAATTGTCTTCCATGAAACTGGTCCCTAGTGCCAAAAAGGTTGGGGACCACTGTTCTACACAGTTTCCTAGAGTTCACCAGCAGTTTCCTAGAGCTCACCAGCAAAATTAAGGTCTAACTTCCCAGATAAGTAACTTGTTTTGTGATTTACTTTTTGTTGATCCCTTTCCCATCTCTATCCCACTCTAATCTACTGGTGCATTCTGGGATCATCTCTCAAATAAGCATCTTAAGTTTGTCTTAGGGCCTTCTTCTGGGGTAAGCCAAGCAAAGACAGTGTACTATTTTTGCCCAATAATTACTCCCTGAGAGGAAAAAAAATCCCATCATCGAATAAATTTGAGAAATTCAGTATTTGCTTTTTGCCCTCTTACAAATCTAGAGATGTAAAAAAATGGAGTGGGGGGGAAAACTTGACTTTTTTTCTAACCCAGAATTATACAAATTATGTGATTACTATTTTCGCTCAACACAATATCTCTTTAAACGAATGTTCTACAGTATCATTTTGTGAAATTGAAAAGAGAAGTGACAAGAAGCTAGCAAATTGTTCATTTGTCATTTATTGAATACCTACTCTAAGACAGGTAGTAGTGATAATTAAGATAGTCTTTACCCTTGCAATCTGGTGGAATTTAATATATTTTTTTCATAACGGATCTTGAAACAAAATCTTTACATTTCAGGCAGTGTTTGTAACAAAATCAAACAGCTTATATGCATGGATGGTTAACAATATTCTGTCTTATTTCTCATATGTATATTGATTTGTAATCAATAATTTAGCTAATGGAAAGCAAACAGTACCTTATATTTGAATTCTCTACCATTTACTAGAACAATTCCCAGCCCTGAGAGAATACATTGCTTTATTACAAGATGGGCTAATATTTATTCTGCATTTCTAAAAGGCAATTCTTCAAAAACACTGTCTCCTTAAGCAAGTGCATGAAATTAGGAGAGTTATAATAGCAAGTAAGCAGATCAGAAATTACATTTTTCAAGATCCTTCAAATTTTATAACAAGATTTTACTCAAATAGTGTTTATATTACTTTGTATTAACAGAAAATTTTTCTTTGTAGATAAATAATCTGATTGCTATTGTTTATATGGAAAAATTAAAAATAACTATAAATAGTTTCATAATTAGCACCACATATCAAACAACTTGGAATGTTTTAAAAGGATGCGTAAGGAGTAATCTTCACTGTTTCTACCCACACTTAACAGGTTAACTTTTTAACTCTAAAATCCATCTCATCTTACTTCTTTCTGGTAATAGCAGAAAGGAACACAGTGGAATCACAGACTCTAATGTTATGGTTGTGGTCAGACTGGCCTGGAGTCTTCCATGAATATGAATATATTCTTTCTACATTAATACATAGGAAAAATACTGGAATGAAAGGGAGATGTTGGGAACAAAAGAAATAAAATTTAGATAAAGATGTCAGATCTCTTAGTCTCCTTGCCTGTCTCTACTCCTTAGATAATTCAAATTTCAATCAAACTGAAATAATCCTCCTCCTTCATAAAATTACACATAACTATTATAAATCCATTATTTCTCCTTCTAATATAATTTTTAAATACTTTTATATAAAACTTTATGCAGAATTCTTATAGAAGCATGTGTGTATATAACAGCCTCACTAGATTGCAATATTGTTGAGGGAAGAAAGCATCAATTTTTTTTATTTATTTTTTGTCCCTAAAGTGCTTGATAACATTTGGGTACTTACTTTTCCCTTCATTCTTCTGAAATTCCTATTAGAGTATATTAAAGCCTTTTATTCTATCTTTCTTTCCTCTAAGCTACTATGTCATCATGTATTTTATTTTGAATGACTTTTTTAGTATCACTTAGCAATTCATCAGTTCTTTTGAGGTATTTTGAGAATTTTTGTTTTCGAATTTGGGGTTTCAGGCTAATTTTCCACAGTACAATAGTTTGCTTGTTTTCTTTTTCTCTTCCATTCAAACTCATATATGTTTTTATCTTTTTCCATTAAGAACATGACAAGCCTGTAACTGAATTTATATTAATCCAGATTCCAAAATTTGGTGTCCATGTGTTCATGTGAATGAATGCGGACAGGAAAAGCAAATTCTTAGAACAGCTAATGTGCTTACCACAAAATTCAGTAGTGTTCTCTGAAGACAGTTTTTGTTTTTTGTTTTTTTCTTAGCTACTTTGCTTGGAATGTTCTTGAGCTAGAGAAGTTGGCATCTTTCTCTGTAATGAGCCAGATAGTAAATATCTTAGGATTAAAGGACCAGAAGGTCTCTGTTTCTACTATTCAACACTTCCTTTGGGGTGCAAAAACAGTCATTGACAATATGTAAATGAATGAGGTTATCTGTGTTCCAATAAAACTTTACAAAAAGAAGCTGGATTTAGCCTTTGATCCATAGTTTGCTGAATGCTAATCTAGTATATCCCTGAGATAACAGGAACATTTGTCTAGGATACAAGCTGGAGCACAATGAATATTCACTAAATAATATTTTTAATTAAAATTATAATTACAATGTATTATATGTGCCCCAACTGAAGATTTAATTTATAATTGGTCTTGCAATTCTAATGATAGAGATGGTCAGAGAACTTTTGGAAGTATGAATCACCTCCAAGACATAAATAGATTTTTTTTTCTTATGAAGGTCTGAGCCCTCTTGAGATTCTTTTTTTTTTTTTTTTTTTTTTTTTTTTGAGACGGAGTCTCTCTCTGTCTCCCAGGCTGGAGTGCAGTGGCGCGAACTCGGCTCACTGCAAGCTCTGCCTCCCGGGTTCATGCCATTCTCCTGCCTCAGCCTCCAGAGTAGCTGGGACTACAGGTGCCCACCACCAAGCCCGGCTAATGTTTTTGTATTTTTAGTAGATACAGGGTTTCACCATGTTAGCCAGGATGGTCTCGATCTCCTGACCTCGTGATCCGCCTGCCTTGGCCTCCCAAAGTGCTGGGATTACAGGCATAAGCCACCGCACCTGGCCGAGATTCTTTATTGGCTGAGGTCAGTAATCGGTCTCTGCCATTAAGAGTAAGAAATGGGAAAACTTCTAGTAGTTATGGGGCCAATGACAGTCCAAGTAGCTATAATAAGTCAGTGTGCGTAGAAATCTCCATTGCCTAAATGGGGAGGGGAGTAAATCCTGTTATCTAGAGGACTGAAAAAGGAAAGAAACAACCTCTGAATGGATTCTTAGGGCTGGAAACAGTGATAGTTCTTGTGGCTTGAAAATGGCACATCTGAAGTCATCTGGATCCAGAAACTTCAGGGTAATAGGAGTCTTGGGGAGGAATGGTTGTATGGGAAAGTATGAAAAATTAGGTGGGGCATACTGTTTGAATGTGGCCCTGAGGGAATAGAGTTATCTGCATGTTATTCCCCCCTTAAAAGATTGTGTTTGCTTGTGCTGAAGGCTAAGCCATCAAGGCATTGGGTGGCATGGGCCTACAGATTTAGACAGCAATTGGCAATGAGACGCCAAGCAAATGCAATCAGAGGGAAACATATGAGATATCAGTACTCTATCTTCTTAGATTTGGAAGACAATCCTAGACAAACCAGGTCCTATAAAGAACCAAGGAAGTCAGGAGCCCCAAAACAGAGATACTGTACTTTCTGCTCATCTGATAATGGGAATTTGAGTGAGTTTTTTTTTTTTTTTAAATTATACTTTAAGTTTTAGGGTACATGTGCACATTGTGCAGGTTAGTTACATATGTATACATGTGCCATGCTGGTGCGCTGCACGCACTAACTCGTCATCTAGCCTTAGGTATATCTCCCAATGCTATCCCTCCCCCCTCCCCCCACCCCACCACAGTCCCCAGAGTGTGATATTCCCCTTCCTGTGTCCATGTGATCTCATTGTTCAATTCCCACCTATGAGTGAGAATATGCGGTGTTTGGTTTTTTGTTCTTGCGATAGTTTACTGAGAATGATGATTTCCAATTTCATCCATGTCCCTACAAAGGACATGAACTCATCATTTTTTATGGCTGCATAGTATTCCATGGTGAGTTTTAACTTATTGTCGAGACAGCTAGGTGGGTCGGGGGTCCCTGGAAAAACTCCAACCAGACTGCACACTAGGGTGGAGCCACAGAAGTTCCTGCCATTTGCAGCAGGGAGGAGCCTGGCCCCTTCTCTTCCTGTGTGGAAACTGGGATTGGAACAGCTGGGCAGGAAGCACTCTAGCAGGGACTCTGGCCTTGCAAGAGTCCCTGTTTCCCCCACTTTTTTTTGTTTTCACCCAATAAAACCCTGTCTTACTCACCATTCAAATTGTCTTCAAGCCCCAAATTTTTGTGGCTGTGGGACAAAGAACCCTCTCCTTGTGGAACTAAGGAAAAGTCCTGAAACACTACGAAGAAAAAAAGTTCCTGTGTTAGAATCCTGAGTATTTATAGGGCAATTCATTCTTAGTTACAGTGCAAAAATTTGGTCTTCTCCTTCTCTGTCCTTTTGTTACAATTATATACTGTTGCATAACAAATATCTCAAAACTGGATATCATAAACAACCATTTATTAGGCTTGTGGGTTCTGTGGGTTAGGAATTTAGACAGACAACAGCAGGGACTAATTGTCTTTGCTCTCCAGAGCCTGCAGTCTCAGCTGGAAGATTCAAAGGAGGCTGAGGATGACTCATCAGCTGGGGCTAGGATCATCTGAAGGCTTGTTCACACTCACATGTGTGGTGCTTGATTCTGGCTGTTGGTTAGGATTTTAGCAAGGACACTTACATGTGGCTTCTCCTTGTAGCCTGGGCTTCCTCAGAACATAGTAGTAGCTAGTTTCTAAGGGTGAACATCTCAAGAGAGAAAGCCAGGCAAAAGCTATACACATCACCTTTTCTCACCTAGCCTTAGAAGTCACACCATTCAGCCGGGTGCGGTGGCTCACGCCTGTAATCCCAGCACTTTGGGAGGCCAAGGCAGGCGGATCACGAGGTCAGGAGATCAAGACCATCCTGGCTAACATGGTGAAACCCCATCTCTACTAAAAATACAAAAAATTAGCCAGGTATGGTGGTGGGCACCTGTAGCCCCAGCTACTCTGGAGGCTGAGGCAGGAGAATGGCATGAACCCAGGAGGCAGAGCTTGCAGTGAGCCAAGATCATGCCACTGCACTCCAGCCTGGGCGACAGAGCGAGACTCTGTCTCAAAAAAAAAAATTTTTTTTAATAAAAATAAATAAATAAAAAGAAGTCACACCATTCAAATTTCTAAGGAAATCACAAAGACTCATCACAGGTTCACGGTGATGAGAAATAGGCTCCACCTCTTAATGAAAAAGTAGCATGGTTGGATAAAAAATATTATTGCAGCCATTTTTAGAAATTATAATTTGTGATATCCTTCTTCAACCCCGCCCCAAATCAGGCTTCTTAACTAAAAGTGAACTTCTTTTAATGACCTATAGTGAAGTAAATCACATGCTGAAATACATTAATAACAAAAAGTGCAGTTTGACATATTCTGCTATTCTGTTCATCAGCTGCAGCATCTAACTTTGGAAATCAATATTTCTGGATAGAATATTTGGTGGCATAAAATAACAGATAACAGATAAATCAATGCAATGGTTACTTTTTTGAATGCACAAATATTTAAGATAAAATATCACTAATTCAGTAACTTCTACAGTCAATAAAAAGCTAGGATACAACAAAATACAAAATTACAACCATTAATATAATTGTTTTTCTATTTTATCATTTGATGTGGGAGAAGTTGATTTTCTTCCTTCACTTTCATATAAATGGAAATGTAAAAGTCAATTCTCTTCTGTGTAATGTAACAATACTTACGTTATATTAATTTTAAAATTCAGACAATATATTTCCCTTGAGTTATAAATTGCAAGATTGCTTGAGATTTCCAAAAAGAATCACAGCATGAGTACACCCCTATCTGACCAAAAAGAATGAGAGAAAGCACTTGCAGGGCAGAAAGTGCATCAGTGCTGACACTCTGAGGAAAAGTCCCAATGCAAACATGGAATTTGAAGAACACGCGTCAGACACAGCCCGGTTCAGCCAAATACGAAGACATAAAGAGTCTGCCCATAAACATGGCGAGAGAAGTAGAAACATTGCTGTTAACTCCAACTCCTGCATAGACAAGCTGGGTGTTTTATTTTTTAATTTTTCTTAACTTTGTCTCTTTAGCTGATGAAATCTGGGGACACTGTTATAATTAGATTCTGTCCACCCACTGTGTAGATATTAGATATTAGTGAGTCTACTGGTGGTGTGATTAACTTCCCCTTCTTCCTCACACTCCTATTCTTTCTCAAATTAGTGCATACAAGTAGACTTCGTCTAAATTTAGTTTGTCTCTAATGACAGGATTCATTCTGCCTTTCATGGTACCTAGAGAATGTGTAGCCTTGTTTTCTGTTACAGTAAAACCTTGATTTGCCTGAACCGAAAGAATAGAAAACAAAAGTCAGAATAAGCAAACTCTTCTAGTGAAATAATTAATAAATTCAATTGTCAGAAGGAACTTATTTTAATATTTCTTTACAAATTCTATGAGATGTGATGGCAAATCACTCCAGCCTCTCCTCACAACTCTCTTGTACTTACGGAAACTGTGCTGCATCATGAAAACAGACGTTCCCAATAAAACATTTTTGGTCATCAAAGGTTGTTATCTCCAGTCAGGTCTGTTTATTGTGGTATGAAAATGCTTAGTACATTATATAAATTTAAGTAAATTAACCAGAACAAACCACTTCATGAGTTTTGTCTTTAACAACTTCCTTTTTGCTTATTAGGATATAATCATTCAGAACTGAAATGACTAAACCCTCACTAATATATATCTATATATAGATATCTATATACAGATTAGTCATTTCTCTCTATATATCTGTATATATAGAGAGAAATTGTCTCCATATAGAAAAATAGAGATATATTATGATGTATCTATATGATAGTATAATATCTATGGACATATAATATATCTATATTATTATATAGATATATAATCCCCCTGGCACATTCCACAAGTATTTTGGGCAGTTTACAATAAGTGACAGATTTCACATCTTAAGACAGAGTAAAGTGACAAAGAGCATTTTGCTGAATAATAATAACAACAGCTCATTTATTCAAATATCCTATGTAGCAATTTTCACTATCCAGAAAAAGTTAAAAATGAAGAAAAAAGTCCTGACAAGACAAAATCTATGTCACAAAGTTCTGATGACCACAGAAAGTTTACACTCCTAAGCTCATACCGCTTATTCCCAGGTGATTCCCTCAATTCCCACAACTATTTCTATTCATTTATACAGAATTAGAACCAATTTGGTTATAAGACTTTTCCACCCAGCACAAATTAGAGGCTATAAGATATATGTTGAGTGGAAAATGGGTACATCTTTAAAAGGAAAGCTCTGATAGGCATAAGATGGCATGATTGATAGTCCGATAGTAGGGCAGGCGACAGGGACTCTTTAAAGAACCTGACTCAAGGCCGCAAAAACATACAACCTGCTTGCTTTTCCAGGCTCTTGGGGCATTACAGGATTAGAGCTCAAAATAGATTTTATATATATAAAGGCAGGTTTTAGTGCTTAAAGATAAATGCCAGCTATCTGGAAAATTAACTTACTCCACAACAATGTTGGGTAAAACACTATTACTGTTCTTTATTTAACCAAGACTGTACCTGTGGATATTTCAAAAGACCTTACTTTATTCTTCTGCTGCTATATTATAAGGCTTTGAAAGTCAATGATTTTGTTACACTGGATATTTCCTAGAAGGAAATAAAACAAATGGATTTTAATTTAGATTAATTTAGCCAAGTCTCTTTTAATTACAGAAAATAGATCTACACAAAAGAAGTTTTGTTGGTTGGTATTGTTTTTTTTAAAGTGTAGCAGAGTGAGCTGAAAATCCCTAAGCTTTTCAGACACCCACCAATGTAAGAGGAGAAACCCAGCAGTTAGAGAAAAGTTATTCGACAACATGGATTGAAAGCAAAACGGAAAGTTGTTTTATATGATTCAAGACAGGAAAGGTGACTACTCAGCACAAAAAGAGCTAGGTTTTACTTTGCAAGAACTAGAGCAAGATGTATTAATAGGAAGAAGATACATTTCTCATGTGCACCATCTGGATATATTGGGGAGATAATTCATCCTCATAATGGTAAAGTCATGGGTTTTTAAAATGCTCCTTTAGTATAAAGCTAGCCAGTCTAGAGTGGACCGTCCTCCGCTCCCCTTCATTATATCCATGAGGCTGTCCTTTCTGCCTCCCAAGGAGAGCCAGGAGGCACTGAGATAGAGCAGTAGTGACCAGGCAGAAGAGAAAGGCCAACGACACAGAGGGCTCCTGAGGGTGTGAAATCTTCAAGCCTTAAGGTAACTCTGACACAGAGACAATTCAACAGGAAAAGGGAATGTTAGAGCACATAAAGTACACAGGGAGTTAATTAAAGGAAAGGACCAAGGGAGAGAGTTTTGGGAAATAAAGAACAAAAAATCAAGGAATAAAGGAGAAAAGTAGTTAAATTCTCCATCCTTCTCCCCCAACCCCCACCAGAAACCCCATATATCCAGTATGACTGGAACAGTTACCCAGATTTCTTCAGCAAAGTCAGGCAAGGTGATATCCAAGCAGGTAAGATTGTCCCTCCTTTCCATGGACAATGGACACTGGCCTCACCTCACTGATGGTCTTGGACCATCTACTCATAGATGATCCAGGTAGGGAAAAAATATGGTGAACCATCTTTCACCCCAACCCTTCTCTTCTCAAAGAGTATAGAACTACCTTGGAGGATAGTTCTCTTTGCAGCTGAAATAGACTGCTACACAGGGGTATATTAAGGTATATATATTCTCCAGAATAACTGCAATATGTGTGCAATTGGTGAGCCTTGAATTTTTATTTCTTTCACCTCTAACCTGAGTCAGGAGTTAGGAGGATAATGGAAGAATTTTTCTTGTTGATTTTTTTTTTTTTTACAATGGGGATTTTTCAGTTAGCAGTTTGAAGCTAATTCAACATGCACAGATTACCTTTTGAATATGAATGCACAAATAGAGTTATGGAACTCCAGGCAAAGAAGAAAGTTCCAGCACTTTGCGTTTTTAAAACTTTCCCAAAAGAAAAAGAAATTATCTAAGAGATATCTGGCTTTCCCAATTAGCTACAAGTGAACCAGTTAGCTGCTCAAAGCTCACAATTTTCTCTCCTCCCCTCTCACCTTTCCTTTCTTCCCCCTCCCCTTTCTCCTCCCCATATAATTTTGATATGGTTATCAAAATGATGCCTTTTAAAATCATTATAACCATATCACTAGCTGACCTTATTCTGACTTCTTGTATCCCAAACACCTTTCTCATGACAGGGCTTTCTGCTTAGCTTACTTTCAGGAAAGAATGTATGCCAGTCAGGCAATGTGGACATTCACTCTTCCCAGCAGTTATAATTGTTATTGCAAATTTATAAATTCCCACTTTAGTTTATATTCTTTAGACTTTTGAGAGTTGGCGAATGTGAGCCATTGTCTCTGAATCTGATCAATCTGATGCTCTGAATCTGGTGCCTTGATACAATCAAATTCTGGAGTTGAAAGAGCGAGGGGTTGACCTTAGATTGTTGTGAATTAATCATAGTAAATACTATTTTCCAAGGGAGGCCTCAATCCAGTTTTTTGTTTGTTTGTTTGTTTGTTTGTTTGAGGCAGGGTCTTGCTCTGTCACCCAGGCTGGAGTGAAATGAAATGGTGCAATCATAGCTCGTTGTAACCTCAAACTCCTGGATTCAAGCAATCCTCCTCCATCAGCCTCCAGAGCAGCTGAAACTACAGGTGCATGCCACCATGCCTATCTAATTTTCTTTTCTTTTCTTTTCTTTTTTTTTTTTTGTAAAGATAGGATCTTGCTTTGTTGCCTAGGCTGGTCTCCTGCCTCAGCCTCCCAAAGCAGTGGGATTACAAGCATGAACCATTGTGTCTGGCCCCAGTCCACTTCTTTAACTCAGCTCCAGAGCAGGCTGTTCACGCTCCTGATAAGCACTTATTTGATGTTATCTTGCATTAGAATCAATTGCTTATATGCCTATCTTCCTTCCCTGTTAGACTGTAAACTCTCTGAAGGCAGGGACTGTATATTTGTCTCTGTATTTGCAATAGTACATGTACTACATCTGCTACTCAGAAGGCATGCAATAAACAAATGTTTGCTGTGTTTGGCAGGTGGTGCCTGATTGTTTTTAAAGGTTTATTTTTTAAATGAAGCATGATTTTTTTTCTTCAAATATTGTTTAGGGTATTCTATCATAGTATCACTAGAATAGCATCTGGCAGCAACTTTTGGATAAAAGTCTTTCAGAGGCAAAATTACTCTTACAGGGTTTTCCTGAAACTGTCGGCAAGCTTTCAAAATTTAACAGATGTCTTTGATTTGCTTCCAATAGGTTTAATAATTTAAATGTGGAAATTGGAAACAGAGACTATTTCCATGTATTTAATTTTGTTTTCAAAACTCTTTTTATAAAATATTGAGTAAATAGAAAATAATCTTTATAAATGAAGATTAATAATACAGTGAACATCTGTGTACCCAGTACCGAGTTTAAAAAATAGCATATTATCATTAGCTTTAAGATCCTGTGTGTCTCTTCACAATTTTATCCCCTTCTTTTTCCTGCAAAGGAGCCAGTATACTGAATCACATTATTTGTCTAATTTAAAAGCAAAAATAGAGACAAAATCCAAACATTCTTGATGCTTATGAATGTTCTTGGCCAACCTTAGAAGTTGAAATTGATTTATGATCAGTTTTATGACTATTGTGCATTTTGAGAGAAACAATTAGAAATCACAATTTCATGGGATTTTTTTTAGGATTCATCCCAAAACATGGTGACTAAAAGAGACTCTGGAATCTCTACAGGTGACTTGTTATCTTATGCAGGAGGCAGTATGTGAACTAAATAAAGGAAGGCTAGGCATAGGCTTAAGAAACCCAGATTCTGGGATTTATTAGATTTACATCAAGTAAAGTAATTCATGGGATCAAAGGGGGGGAATAACTATCAGGACACAAGTTAGGGATGTATTTTCCCTGAACTGGTATTATATATGTAACTCTTTTTGTTGCTGTTGTTGTTTGAGACAGAGTCTCATTCTGTGGCCCAGGCTGGGGTGCAGTGACATGATCTCGATTCACTGCAACCTCTGCCTCCCAGGTTCAAGTGATTCTTGTGCCTCAGCCTCCTGAGTAGCTGAGATTATAGGTGTATGCCACCACACTCGGCTAAATTTTTTTTTTTTTTTTCTTGAGACAGAGTCTCACTCTGTTGCCCAGACCGGAGTGCAGTGGCGCAGTCTCGGCTTACTGCAACCTCTGCCTCCCAGGTTCAAGCAATTCTCCTGCCTCAGCCTCCCGAGTAGCTGGGATTACAGGCGCCTGCCACCATGCCAGGCTAATTTTTGTACTTTTGGTAGAAACGGGGGTTTCGCCATGTTGGCCAGGCTGGTCTTGAACTCCTGAACTCAAGTGATCCACCCACGTTGGCCTCCCAAAGTGCTGGGTTTACAGGCAGGAGCCACCGCGCCCGGCCTAAATTTTATATTTTTAGTAGAGACAGGATTTTGCCATGTTGGCCAGGCTGGTCTTGAACTCCTGAACTCAAGTGATCTGCCTGCCTAGGCCTCCCAAAGTGCTGGTATTACAGGCATGAGCCACTGCACGCAGCCTATATATGTAACTCTTATTAGCAGATTCTTCTGAGTATCCTGTTAGGTGAAAAACATCAGCAAACAATGGCTCTAGTTCTGGATGGGTTTTTGGATACCCCTGTTGTAGGAAATAGAAAAACACTTGTAAAACGTAATATATGCCAATTGGTTATATTATTTATTGCAAAATACAAAATGTTTTCAGTTTTTTGAAAAAATAAATTAATGCTTTTCCTTTAAAAATGAACATTAATTCATTAACATCATTATTTTTAATGGATTATTTGGGTGTGCATGCAATAATCTTAAATCCTGGCCCAAGGGATAGCAATCCACACCAGTAGGTTGGTAGGGAAAAGCACATTGCAGTAATGGATTTCAGTAACCTTCAAAAGTGAGCTTTTTAATGGTTCTGTGGCCCATTATAGTGTTATTTTGAAAATACAGTAATGGAAATACATGAAGCTGAAGACTGTGGTTAGATACATTAGGCTTCCTGAAAAAGGCCACTAGTCAGTAAAAAAGTACCTCAATCTGAGTTTGCTACCTTCTATGTTATGCCCCAGAAATTAAATAAAATTGGTTTAAGACTTTGAAGCAGCAAAATCTGTTGTACTTCAAACAACACTTTGGGGGGGATTGATGGCTTGTTACTAATGCATTTACACAACACCTAGAAAAATTTAAAGAATAGTTAAACATATATTTGGAGAGAAAAGGTCTCAGAATCACATGCCAGGTGAAGTGGTGCCTGGGATCAGAATATGCTCTCTAGAGCTGCTCTTATTAGCTCAGAAACTAGAGATGATGAATTGGTGACATTTTAAGCAAATTGAATTTCATAACTTATGGATTCATGGACTTGCAGCAGGGGTTTTATCTGTGTTATTCCTTTTATTTGTAATACCTCTGGACTATAATTGTCCTTTACCCTGCATATTACTCATTATTAAAAATGATTTGTGCCTGTAGCAATAAAAGGGACTGTACAATGGGAAGTGACATTTATGAAATCATACTCGGATTAAATTTAACTTCCTGAAGTCCAGAAGCATCTTATCTATGGAAAGTGGCATCTGCCTGATGTTTTCTTTGACATAGGTGTGGGAAGTACTGATTTATACACTTTAACTTACTGTCAACTTATTTTCACTTGTCACATGAGAAGTAGCAGGAATGAAAAGATTAATGCCTATAGTTGTAAAACTGTAACTGAAATTTGACTCTTTTGAGTCGATGTTCCAAGACAGCACTATTTTTTCTCTTGTAAAATAAAGTAAGAACTCTTCACTTTTCAAATTTTTAGAGCTCTAAGAAAATAACTTCCAGTTTCTGGCCCCTGTAGGCCCCACTCCAGTTTGTATAACCCATTTTTTATCTCTCAAATAAGTTCCCAGGAAACAAATACCTTGATTGGTTTTTTATTTAGCAGGAAGACTATATCAGTAATTTTTTAAAGGCAGACTTGTTCATCTCATTTCCTGTTTAACTCCCTTCAATGACTTCCTATTGGCCTTAGGATAAGATGCAGAATCCTTAATGTGTCCTCTATGACTGGACAGTGTCTGGCACTTGCCAGTCTCTCTAGTCTCATTGCTTGCTAAACATTGACCCTTATGGATCCTGGAGACCAAATTCTCTTGCCTTGGGGCTTTCACATATGTTATCTGTTGAGAAGCATAGACCCGAAGGTAGTCTATCACACTGTAAGAAGGAAATGTAGGCAATTTTCACTGAATTCAAGAAACATACTAGAAGGAAAAATTAAAATGAGGAATAGAAAACTACAGAATATGAATGTTTTGGCAACTACCAGAGTGAGATGAGCCAGGCCAACAGCTGGTGCTCTGCCAAATGGAGCAGAATCAGTTTAGACTGAACAGCTGAGATACCACTTCTGCTTGCCCTGGGATATAGGCCCCCTCCTTCTCCAAGTGATATTTACATTGGAAAAGTCACATGGAAATGAGGAAACCAGAAATTGAACAACAAACTTGTGAACCTGAAACACACTTCAAAACTGCAGGATCTCTTATTGATGTGGTGGTAACTGACGAATAAACCAGTCACTTGGGTGTCCATGTTGCCTGACTGGTTCCAATGGTGGTGCTGCTGGTAGGTGGGAACATCAGGACTGGAAGATAGTACAACTTGCTAATATAATAATGTAACTTTTAATTAGATTGGATTTTTAGCCCTGTGACAAGTTTGTTGCTCTGATTAAGGGGTTAGGGTAGGTAGGAGAAGGGAAAACCCATCTTCAGCTTGTGTGTACTTTCTCCACACTTCACCTGGCCAACCCAAGCTCCTTCTCCAGACTAATGCACCCCTTTCTTCTTAATCAAATTCTTTCTCAGCCACCTGTTTTTCTTAGTAATAGACCTAGAGTCTTCACTTTCCTGGAACTTATCACAATTTTACTGGAGTGTTTATTTTTGTACTGTCTGTCTCCTTTACTGTAGGAAGTAAGTCCATGAGAGCCAGAATCAAATGAATCATTTGCCACAGAATCTACAGCATTTAGTATATGCCAGTCATACAGTAAATGTTCAATAATGAATACATGGATTCTGATTATATCAGTTAAAATGTTTTATTTACAAATGATGGAAAAACCCAACTCAAACTGTTTTAAGCAAAAAGGGAATTCATTGGCTTACATAAATAAAAACTCAGAGGTAATGCTGGCTTTGGGCACATTTGACCAGAGGTTCAGATGACATCACCAAGAGCCTAGTTTATCTGTGTCTCTCTGCTCTACTTTTTTTTTTTTATTATTATACTTTAAGTTTTAGGGTACATGTGCACAACGTGCAGGTTTGTTACATATGTATACATGTGCCATGTTGGTGTGCTGCACCCATTAACTCTTCATTTAACATTAGGTATGTCTCCTAATGCTATCCCTCCCCCCTCCCCCCCACCCCACAACAGGCCCTGGTGTGTGATGTTCCCCTTCCTGTGTCCATGTGTTCTCATTGTTCAATTCCCACCTATGAGTGAGAACATGCGGTGTTTGGTTTTTTGTCCTTGCGATAGTTTGCTGACAATGATGGTTTCCAGCTTCATCCACGTCCCTACAAAGGACATGAACTCATCATTTTTTATGGCTGCATAGTATTCCATGGTGTATATGTGCCACATTTTCTTAATCCAGTCTATCACTGTTGGACATTTGGGTCTGCAGTCTTGCTTTCATCCACCAAGTGATCACTGCCTGCTCTTCCAGGCTATCACTGTTCTATTGGTTTATATGTATGATTTTATGTCAGTACCATGCTGTTTTGATCACAGCTTCGTAGCAGATTTTGAGATCAGATAGCATGATGCCTCCAGTTTTGTTCCTTTTGCTCAAGATTTCTTTGGATATTTGAGGCTTTTATGTGGTTCCATATAAATGTTAGAATTATTTTTAAGCCTTTGAAAAATTTCATTGAAATTTGATAGGAATTGCATTGAATCTGTAGCTTGCTTTAAATAGTATGGACATTTTTACAATGTTATTTCTTCTATTCCATGAACACAGCTATCTTTCCATTTATTTGTGTCTTTATCAATTTTTTCTCATCAGTGTTTTATAGTTTTTGGTCTATAAATCTTTTCATCTCGTTGGTTAAATTTACCCCTTTTTGTACTGATGCTATTGTAAATGGAATTGCTTTCTTGACTTCTTCTTTGGGCAGTTCATTGTTAGTGTATAGACATGCTGCTAAGTGGTGTATGTTGAGTGCTGAGCCATTTGTCTAGTAACCTATAAAATGCTCTGATCCTTCTAGAACTGGGTCTTCCCTTGCTCTTGTACGTGCCCTTAAAAGCTGAATGCTCGCTACTAACTGATACAGAAATAAGGATTTTAAGCCTAAATCTGAGGTTCGAGCTTGGATAAGCAAACAAACAATTATGTGTCACAGTGATATTTGATGAGAGATCTTTGGAAGAAAAGAATTTGATTACTAGTTTTACAATGATAAGCAACAGAGAGGTCTGACATTTGTAAGTCTCGTTGCCCTCTGGAGCATATCAACAAACAGCACCTTAGGAGAATGGCCGGCAAAAGTCTTATTTAGAACTCTTCATGTTTCATTTCTTGTTATCATGAGTTATTTCTTCTCTTTAATGTTGAATGATTAGTGTTTAATCCTGTAGGAATGTAACCTTTAGCTGGGAGGCTTGCAATGAACAAAAGTTTTGCAAAGATATTTGTTATTATAAATTGCATTTACTTGCAAAATATGTAGACTATGCTTATTATAGGTAAATAAATTTGTTTACATAAGCTGAAAATAAACCACCTGTGTTAATTAATCCCCAACTCTGTCAAAGAACTCACTTGTTTTCTGTAAGCTGATTAACCCAGTACTCTATAAAGCTCATGTATCTACCTGCTAGGAGGACGTTTTTAAACACTTGTGGTGTGGCCTTCTTGAGGACTGCTTGAGATAAAGGGCCTGCAGCAGATTCTATTGTAAATATAACATGACTGCTGATTCCCTACCTATTTGTCTATCTCTATCTCTAAATAGTTCCTGTTTGCTATTTCCTATCACTATGCTTTACTACCTGTTGGAACCATAGTTGTTTCTTATAACTTCCTGTTGCTTTACGCATTATCCTTTTCTGAAGGACTCTCTATCCTGCCTGCCGAGCTGCCCTTTCTCCCTGCTCTGCCACTGAGTCTCTTCCTCTGGGTGCACATCCAGCCCCATGTCTCAGCCTCTCCCAGTCTTATGTTTCACCACTGTAACATGTGAAGTGAAAAATGTTATATTTCTCTTTCTAAAAAATTCAAATTTTAAAGTAAATTAAGCTGCCTTTCATAGCTGTGTGATAACCTAAATTAAGCTGCCTTTTGTAGTTGTGTGGTTCTTAACAGATTTTCTTTTGATAGGTCAAAAGAAATTGAATTGAGAGGCTGCTCAGTTGAAACAAACATTTTTATACGCCCTTCTGCAGGGACTGACAACCTCTAGACCAATTGTTCTCAAATTTCTGAGGGCACAAGTTTATCTGAGGATTTACTAAAATCCTCGGCTCTCTCCACAGACGGAAGTAGGTCTTATGTAGAATGTGAGAGCTTTCCTGTATATAAACTTTCCTTGTTATTTTGTTGCAAGTGGTCTGGGGTCTGCCCTTTGAGACGTAGTACTATGATGAAATAGAGAAATCCACAAAGGCTCTTTCTAATGCTTAAGGCAGAAAAATATGTGATTTGAACTTTCTCCCTTTTTGATTGATTGAAAGACTGATCAAAGGTGTGAAAAGCATATTCTCAGAGAGATACCAGGCATTATTTTGGTGTTTGGTATGGACTGGTGTACCATGCAGGTGTTTTGTTATTGAGTAAGGAAAACTCTCAGTTGGTTTATCACCTGATCGGATTGTCCTGAGATCAGATGATACAGTCTCATTGTCCTTATTGGGAAACAAAGATTTTAATTCCCTGTTCACATCATTATTTTCTGGTAGAACTTGGCTTGGTACTCAATAAAAAATGTCTTAAAAAGAAAACTTTAGCTCGAATTTCAAATCATTCTTTGAGGTTTCTTGAATATATTCCAACTTGCTGACTACAAAAATGATAGCTGGGAACATACCATTGTCCATCCTTCCTTCCTTCCATCCATCCATCCATCCCTCCATCCATCCATCCATTCATCTATTCATCAATCCATACATACATCCATCATTCACATACTTATTAAACATCTATTTTGTGCCAAACCCTGTACTAGATAGACATGGAGAAATAGCCATGAACAAAAATGGCAATGTAATTTTGATGAACACAAGGAAGAGAAAACAGAAAGTATTCCAAAAGCAGGATCTAACTGAAAAGGTGGGTGTGGAGTGGGGGCATGAAAATTGGGGAATACTTTTGAAGTATCCCCTGATGAAATGATATTTAAGCTCTGATCTTGAGGATGAATAGGAGTTAGGCTAACAAAAAGGGGGAAATCTCCTGTGTGCATGATGTGGGAAAAAGCCAGGCCTGTTCAAGGACCAGAGTGAAGAAAGTCACTGAAGGAATTAGGAGTGAGTCAAGAGATGAGCCAGAAGTGGCACACAGAGACAGCTCACCAGAAACACGTGCACTATGGCATCACTCGTGTGCAGTGAAATACCACTGAGTGGCTCAAGGTGAGTAATGAGGATGGTGTTTTCTTTCAAAAAGGACAGATAAGCTGCTGTATGGAGAATGGATTGGCAGAAAAAAAAGAAGCAGAAATAAATGGTGGAGATGAGTTAGGAATCCACTGCAGTAGTCCAGGAGAGTGATAGTTGTGGATGGTTCTATAATAATGATAGTGGAATTATAGAGAGTAGATCTGAGACATAATTTGGAACTTGGTAATATATTCTTAGACATGGAGACAAAAGTCAGTGAGGTGTGACAGAGTTCTCCAAGTTACTGGCTTAAGCATCTGAGTGGAGGGCTATGCATTTCGCTGAGGTCAGAGATACCAATGGGAGAGAAATGTTTGAGTAGGGAACTCACATTTAACTCCTATTGAGAGCAGGTCATCCAAGTGGAGCTGTCAAGTAAGTCATGTAGAAATCCAGAACAGAGTCACACTTACAGATGCAAATTTGGGATTCATCAGTGACTATATGATTACTGAAGTCACGGGATTGGATGGATTCACCTTGGAAGGCGAATAGAGATGGGGAAGGCATTAGATATGTTGCTGAGAAGGGGAGATCCAGAGAACATACGGAGAGACTGCCTCTGATGGGAGAAGGACACGTTTACTAATATAAAAAAGGAAAGAGAAAGAGATGGATGAAGATGCAGGTAAATTTAGATGAGGGTTATTGTTTTATTCCCCCCATAGAAAGTTAAGAGCTAACTTCTCTATGGAGTTAGCGGCAAGGTTATCGGCTAACAGTAAGAAAGATGGAAGTGAGATTGGAGGTTTGGGGAGGGAAGAGAGGGTTAAAAAGCAGTGTTTTGAGGATGCATGCCAACACTCCCATTGGCCTTCTTCCAGGTGGCTGCCAGCTCCTCCTAGGACAGTCCAGCACCAAGATGGCTAATGTCAATAGCAAGACTTTTTGGACATATTTGAAAAGTACAGGCTGATTTGGTCTAGTAGTCTCCATTTTTTTTTTTGCAAGGCTTATATCTATTTTTTAAAACATCAAACATGCTGTTGCTTCACTGCCTAGAATGCATGCCTTTATTGACACTTCAAGGATATAAAGCACTACATTTTTGGCTTCTAAGGGAGAATTGTCTATTTGGAGTGTGCATACAATTCTATTCTTGCTGAACACACCTGCCCTGAGAAAGTGGCCTTTGAATTTAGGCCAAGCAAGAAGTAGTCCCTGCAAAAAACCCAGTGACAGCTTTGAAGTAGGCAACAGGATAAGCCCATCTTTGCTGACCTTAATGGTTGAATTTCTATTTCAATAATGGCCTGTGGAGAAATCTATAAAAGACTTCCTTCTGGCGTAAAATTTTACCAAAATCTGTTGTTAATGATACTTAAGTACTTTCATGGTTTGGTTCTCTCAGAATCTCGTATCAAGCTGAAGAGTTTTCTAGTGAAACTTTTGATGGTCATGTTTAACAGCTGCTCATAATGTCATGATATGAATTGATTTAAAGCCAAACCCTATAAGTGGGATTAATGTCCCTCTCTCTGTTTTTCCATCCCTAGCACATATTTAACCACATTATCTTCTTCTCTCTTGATTTTATTTACTCATTAGCTGTGTTGTAATGAAGATTCCACAGTGACTAATTCTTTGGGCTCACAAGGTTGAGATACGTCAGTGTTGGCATAAGGAGGTAGTGTAAAACAGCTTTCTCTTCTCTCTCAAGCTGCCATCATGGAGGTACAAAATTACAACCTGCCATTTAAACACAAAGAGAATTCCCCTAAAGGTTTGTAGAATAAAATACCACAGAAGAGGCTATGGGCAGAGTAATACTGATCTTTTAGTGTTTTGAGCTCTGTAGCAGTTCTGAAGAGATAGAACAGAATTTAATTTACTGAAAGTGAATTCATGGAAAACTACTCAGGGTTGGTGAACATGCCTGTTTTTTCTTTTATTTTCCTACATAGTTATTTTTCACTTCCACAATTCACCTTTCTCCAACTTGCTGTAAGAGAGAAAACTTTAATTTTTGTGATATTTTTCTTCTTCCAGTATAACTTCCTGTGCTTTTCTTTACTGTAAAGTCCCCAAATTACCCTAATCTTTCTGTTTTCCAAAAAACTACAATGTTTGCTTCTCTTAATATCTTTAGATCTTATATTTTGTTATTCTCTCTGGGCACACAACACTCCTTCCTTCCTTCTTTTTTCACCCCTTTTTACTCTTCACAAAGTATTTAGTATTCACCAAAATCTCTTCCCAGTATTTTCACCGAGATCATGGTTCCCCCAAGGAAGAAAAGCACCTTAGTGCAATGAATATGCATTAGCTTACTTGCTGTGTTAAAATATTAAGAGTATTTGCTTTGTAACAGATAACCACATTAAAAGGAACTCAAAGCAATAAATACTGGTGGAATTTCATGTATTTTGGCCCTTGAATTCGCATCATGGGATCTTTTAGGACTGCCTGCACTGCCCACATTCAAAGTTAAAATTGGCCACATTCAAAGGCTTGGTTCCTGTTTTCTTTCTTTCGTTTTTTTTCCCCTCACGCTACCTAGTCTAAGATCCTGTTTTCTTAAACAGGTAATCTATATGAGTAATCTATATGAGTTCTTGGCCATGTGTCCTTTTTCCCAGGGGTATACCCTCTGATCCTTGCCTAGTGCAGACTCCCCATGGAGAGTAGAAGGAATGCTGAAAGCCTGACAGTACTGTTTTGGTCCAGACACCCATGGCTACCATGCATCATCTATCAGCCTCATATTCGTTACCTTTTTATGGGGATGACACCTATTGACCTTTTCACAGGGAGTTGTGGACTCCTATGGTACTTTTTTGAAATTTAGCAAACCTTATTATAATCTTTTTCTTTTTTAAAAAATGTGGCTGTCTTTAACCCTTAATGAAAAGTTTAAGAACTGTTTTGTTTTCATCTTTTTATATACATTTTCTTCCAGTGTCTAGTACAGAGTAAGCACATTGTAAGGGCTCAAAACAGTTTTTTAAAATATGTAAATTCAATTCAATAATGTTCAAGGAGATCTACATGTACAGCCTTTTTCTAGGTGTAATGGGGATGCCAAAATGAATAAGAACTTAAAATCTGTATGAGAGACAGGAAGATAGCTAAGTGCACACGTCAGAGAACAAAAGTGAGATCATGGAGATACTGAAGAATCATTTGGGGAAAGATCGATCACAATGGGAGGAATCTGGGAGGTGTTCTTCAAGAAAGTGCATTTCAACTAGTCTTGAAAGATGGGAAGAATTTGGGCATGGAGAAGCTCCTAAGCAGGGGAGGAAGAGCTTCTCTGCCCACTGCTATGCAGAGGAAAAAGTCAAGTGGGATTGGGCTGATTTGTAACACATAATACTCTTAGCAGAAAGCTTGAAAATTTGTCATTCATAATTAATAGAATAAGTGTCAGAAGTTCCTCTTTGATCAGATTTCAGAGTTCAAGCAAAGAGCTAATAAATAATTCATTGTCCCCAAGTGTTATCTTTATCTGCAAGTTTTTCCTAGATTTTGTATACACACAATGGAAAAATAACCATTTCCTTCTTTTAATAATTTTCATAAGGGAGATATACAGGTTGGGATGATCTTTCTGCTCAGAATAAGTGAAAAAAATGTATAATTTGCTTATACATAATTTGGCTCATTATTTTAAAAAACACAGAGTGCTGTATGGGCATAAGATGTCAAATTGTGTCCAAGAGGCCAGCATCCCTGGGTCTTCTTCATCCATGATGGAATTATGATTCTTGGTAGTAAGGGTTCAAGAATATTTACTCCAGCTTCTGTCCTGTCTTCTCTCCTGGGCCTGAGCCAACTCAGACCCTAAGCTGGGGTTCTGGGAGTCATGCAGAGAAGTATCTGTGAGAGCTTCATGAAGCTCTCGGGATGCTCTCCAAACACTCAGCAGTGCACAGCTTTGGTGCTTTTGGCACTAGGCCATTATGAAGACAATACACATGTTTCAGATAGCTCAATCTTCCTCTCTTCCAGTCCTTCCTCTAATAAAACACCTTCAAGAGTTTCCATTCTCAGATTCCACAACTTGCCCTTCACCTATGGATTGGAGAATGCTTGTGCTGTGTTCTTTGACACAGATTGATTATAACAATGCTTTATACTGTACAGGCTGCAGGATAAGAGATGCTACAGTATGGGAGAAAGTCTTGAAGTTTAAACTGTCAAACAGCAGATCTCTAAAGTGAGAATCCTCAAAAGGAGATTATAAATAGAATATGGATCACTGATAGTGATGTAAGAAGAAGGGAAACTTTCTAATTCAGGTTAGAGTAATGGAAAGCATAAATCCCCTTTCTAGCAGATGCCACGGTGCCCTGCCTAGATTCCTTTGGGTCCATCCTCCAGCTTCCCCATTTGTTGCTGCTAATAACTCACTCCTATGACCTTCAGAGGGTTGCCCTCAGGCAGTGGAGCCAGCATGGGAGCTGGAAAAGCGTGGAAGAGTCCTTTGCTATTCCTTCTGGGCATCTTCCAGCCAGTGACTAAGTGGTGTGGGAGGACCAAAACTCTGTTCCTTTACCTGTAGATGGAGAAATTTTGAAGGGTAATTTTCACTCTACAGCTTCCTGCAGGACCAGGCTGAGCCTGGGTCTTCCATGAGACATACCCTTGCTTGCCTTGGCCCCCTTCCCAATCCTGTTTCTTCTACCCCTTACTCTTCTGATAGCACATCCTTAATAAATCATTTGTATCTAAATCCTGGGGTGAGGGTCTGCTTAAGGGAGAACCTGATCTAAGATAGCATTATCACACAAACTAGGAAGAAACATTCCCCTCATTTTGGAGTGCAAGAAGGAGAAAGAAGAGTTGTTTCATTGTTAGCAAGATAGACTGTTCTGAAATACAGAATTATAACTCTGCTTCTGTCTGCTACTCTATAAGAATAAATCAAAAGAGTGATAGTAATACTACCAAATAGATATAAACGCATAGGACGTATTGGTCACAATGTTTTTGAAGCAAGATTTCAGAGGACAAAAATATTCTCCTTCTCATCTTATTGATTAAGTACTACATTCGTTTTTTCCATATTACTTTACATTGAAAACAAATGTGCTCAGGGAGATAAAAGATGGCCTTTCTCCTCAAGTGAATAACATAAATATAACTTCTGTTGATTTTTGACAGGATAATCTCTCTATATCCTGACAATAATCCTTTTAAAATTGGTCTGTGTGGCTGCTCCTGTTTCCCGCACAACCAAGACAATAACCACCCTAGTAACTGTAGTTGCTACCTTTGCTTCTTGGTGGCTTATGGAGAGTTCAGGTAACAGGCCAAATACAGGTAAAATGACAGCTCACTGTCAGGAACAAGGAAAAGAGAAAAGTGATTCAGGAGTCAAAATGTCACGACTGAGACTGAATTAGTCTGAAGGAATTGTATCTAGAATGATCATCACCTAATAGGGTGCTGGGGAATACAAACAAGACAGGAAGACTCAGTGTCAGGTCTTCACAATGGGGGCTGAACTGCACACATTTCCTCATTCTACATGACTTTGTCATCCTTTCCTAGCATCTCTTCTTACATTCAGGATTAATATGCAGTGTTGACCAGTGCTTATTTGTGCAAGCTGTGTCTGTGGCTTGAGGGTTTAGTTGTTGCTGTTGTTTTTCTTTTCTCTTTTTTTTTGAGATGGAGTCTCGCTGTGTTGCCCAGGGTGGAGTGCAGTGGCGCGATCTTGACTCGCTGCAACCTCCGCCTCCTGGGTTCAAGCAATTCTCCTGCCTTAGCCTACCAAGCAGCTGGGATTACAGTCGGCCACCACCACGCCCAGCTAATTTTTGTATTTTTAGTAGAGACGAAGTTTTGCCATGTTGACCAGGCTGCTCTCGAACTCTTGACCTCAGGTGATCCACCCGCCTTGGCCTCCCAAAGTGCTGGCATTACAGGTGTGAGCCACCGTGCCCAGCCATTTTTCATCATGTTCTCTCTGTTTTATTCGCCAGAGGATTGTTTTCTTCCTTTTTTAAAACTCCCCACTGTAAGCACTCCAGGAGTGTCTTAATCTCTCTTATAAAATAGATAGTTTCTGCAAAATTATTTTTGCTTCTAGGTTTATAATTTGAGTTCTTTATTATTTACTCAAGAGCATTTTGATATTTAAAGAAACCTTGCATGATTTCTTTAGAAAAAACAAATATTTTATTGAATTATGTACAGTCATTTTCAGGTTCTTTTGTGTAGCAATTTGGGATTTTCTTTCTTTTTTTTTTTTTTTTTTTTGCACAGCCTGAATTTTATTAACCAGGGAACTTGATTTTAGATGTTCTGCAACAAATATTGATTTTTTTTATTTTTATTATTTTTTTTTATTTTTTTAATTTTTTTTTTTTATTATACTCTAAGTTTTAGGGTACATGTGCACATTGTGCAGGTTAGTTACATATGTATACATGTGCCATGCTGGTGCGCTGCACCCACTAACGTGTCATCTAGCATTAGGTATATCTCCCAATGCTATCCCTCCCCCCTCCCCCGACCCCACCACAGTCCCCAGAGTGTGATATTCCCCTTCCTGTGTCCATGTGATCTCATTGTTCAATTCCCACCTATGAGTGAGAATATGCGGTGTTTGGTTTTTTGTTCTTGCAATAGTTTACTGAGAATGATGGTTTCCAATTGCATCCATGTCCCTACAAAGGACATGAACTCATCATTTTTTATGGCTGCATAGTATTCCATGGTGTATATGTGCCACATTTTCTTAATCCAGTCTATCATTGTTGGACATTTGGGTTGGTTCCAAGTCTTTGCTATTGTGAATAGTGCCGCAATAAACATACGTGTGCATGTGTCTTTATAGCAGCATGATTTATAGTCCTTTGGGTATATACCCAGTAATGGGATGGCTGGGTCAAATGGTATTTCTAGTTCTAGATCCCTGAGGAATCGCCACACTGACTTCCACAATGGTTGAACTAGTTTACAGTCCCACCAACAGTGTAAAAGTGTTCCTATTTCTCCACATCCTCTCCAGCACCTGTTGTTTCCTGACTTTTTAATGATTGCCATTCTAACTGGTGTGAGATGATATCTCATAGTGGTTTTGATTTGCATTTCTCTGATGGCCAGTGATGATGAGCATTTCTTCATGTGTTTTTTGGCTGCATAAATGTCTTCTTTTGAGAAGTGTCTGTTCATGTCCTTCGCCCACTTTTTGATGGGGTTGTTTGTTTTTTTCTTGTAAATTTGTTTGAGTTCATTGTAGATTCTGGATATTAGCCCTTTGTCAGATGAGTAGGTTGCGAAAATTTTCTCCCATGTTATAGGTTGCCTGTTCACTCTGATGGTAGTTTGTTTTGCTGTGCAGAAGCTCTTTAGTTTAATTAGATCCCATTTGTCAATTTTGGCTTTTGTTGCCATTGCTTTTGGTGTTTTGGACATGAAGTCCTTGCCCACGCCTATGTCCTGAATGGTAATGCCTAGGTTTTCTTCTAGGGTTTTTATGGTTTTAGGTCTAACGTTTAAATCTTTAATCCATCTTGAATTGATTTTTGTATAAGGTGTAAGGAAGGGATCCAGTTTCAGCTTTCTACATATGGCTAGCCAGTTTTCCCAGCACCATTTATTAAATAGGGAATCCTTTCCCCATTGCTTGTTTTTCTCAGGTTTGTCAAAGATCAGATAGTTGTAGATATGCGGCATTATTTCTGAGGGCTCTGTTCTGTTCCATTGATCTATATCTCTGTTTTGGTACCAGTACCATGCTGTTTTGGTTACTGTAGCCTTGCAGTATAGTTTGAAGTCAGGTAGTGTGATGCCTCCAGCTTTGTTCTTTTGGCTTAGGATTGACTTGGCGATGCGGGCTCTTTTTTGGTTCCATATGAACTTTAAAGCAGTTTTTTCCAATTCTGTGAAGAAAGTCATTGGTAGCTTGATGGGGATGACATTGAATCTGTAAATTACCTTGGGCAGTATGGCCATTTTCACGATATTGATTCTTCCTACCCATGAGCATGGAATGTTCTTCCATTTGTTTGTGTCCTCTTTTATTTCCTTGAGCAGTGGTTTGTAGTTCTCCTTGAAGAGGTCCTTCACATCCCTTGTAAGTTGGATTCCTAGGTATTTTATTCTCTTTGAAGCAATTGTGAATGGGAGTTCACTCATGATTTGGCTCTCTGTTTGTCTGTTGTTGGTGTATAAGAACGCTTGTGATTTTTGTACATTGATTTTGTATCCTGAGACTTTGCTGAAGTTGCTTATCAGCTTAAGGAGATTTTGGGCTGAGACGATGGGGTTTTCTAGATAAACAATCATGTCGTCTGCAAACAGGGACAATTTGACTTCCTCTTTTCCTAATTGAATACCCTTTATTTCCTTCTCCTGCCTGATTGCCCTGGCCAGAACTTCCAACACTATGTTGAATAGGAGCGGTGAGAGAGGGCATCCCTGTCTTGTGCCAGTTTTCAAAGGGAATGCTTCCAGTTTTTGCCCATTCAGTATGATATTGGCTGTGGGTTTGTCATAGATAGCTCTTATTATTTTGAAATACGTCCCATCAATACCTAATTTATTGAGAGTTTTTAGCATGAAGGGTTGTTGAATTTTGTCAAAGGCTTTTTCTGCATCTATTGAGATAATCATGTGGTTTTTGTCTTTGGCTCTGTTTATATGTTGGATTACATTTATTGATTTGCATATATTGAACCAGCCTTGCATCCCAGGGATGAAGCCCACTTGATCATGGTGGATAAGCTTTTTGATGTGCTGCTGGATTCGGTTTGCCAGTATTTATTGAGGATTTTTGCATCAACGTTCATCAAGGATATTGGTCTAAAATTCTCTTTTTTGGTTGTGTCTCTGCCCAGCTTTGGTATCAGAATGATGCTGGCCTCATAAAATGAGTTAGGGAGGATTCCCTCTTTTTCTATTGATTGGAATAGTTTCAGAAGGAATGGTACCAGTTCCTCCTTGTACCTCTGGTAGAATTCGGCTGTGAATCCATCTGGTCCTGGACTCTTTTTGGTTGGTAAACTATTGATTATTGCCACAATTTCAGAGCCTGTTATTGGTCTATTCAGAGATTCAGCTTCTTCCTGGTTTAGTCTTGGGAGAGTGTATGTGTCGAGGAATGTATCCATTTCTTCTAGATTTTCTAGTTTATTTGCGTAGAGGTGTTTGTAGTATTCTCTGATGGTAGTTTGTATTTCTGTGGGATCGGTGGTGATATCCCCTTTATCATTTTTTATTGTGTCTATTTGATTCTTCTCTCTTTTTTTCTTTATTAGTCTTGCTAGCGGTCTATCAATTTTGTTGATCCTTTCAAAAAACCAGCTCCTGGATTCATTGATTTTTTTGAAGGGTTTTTTGTGTCTCTATTTCCTTCAGTTCTGCTCTGATTTTAGTTATTTCTTGCCTTCTGCTAGCTTTTGAATGTGTTTGCTCTTGCTTTTCTAGTTCTTTTAATTGTGATGTTAGGGTGTCAATTTTGGATCTTTCCTGCTTTCTCTTGTAGGCATTTAGTGCTATAAATTTCCCTCTACACACTGCTTTGAATGCGTCCCAGAGATTCTGGTATGTGGTGTCTTTGTTCTCGTTGGTTTCAAAGAACATCTTTATTTCTGCCTTCATTTCGTTATGTACCCAGTAGTCATTCAGGAGCAGGTTGTTCAGTTTCCATGTAGTTGAGCGGCTTTGAGTGAGATTCTTAATCCTGAGTTCTAGTTTGATTGCACTGTGGTCTGAGAGATAGTTTGTTATAATTTCTGTTCTTTTACATTTGCTGAGGAGAGCTTTACTTCCAACTATGTGGTCAATTTTGGAATAGGTGTGGTGTGGTGCTGAAAAAAATGTAAATTCTGTTGATTTGGGGTGGAGCGTTCTGTAGATGTCTATTAGGTCTGCTTGGTGCAGAGCTGAGTTCAATTCCTGGGTATCCTTGTTGACTTTCTGTCTCGTTGATCTGTCTAATGTTGACAGTGGGGTGTTAAAGTCTCCCATTATTAATGTGTGGGAGTCTAAGTCTCTTTGTAGGTCACTCAGGACTTGCTTTATGAATCTGGGTGCTCCTGTATTGGGTGCATATATATTTAGGATAGTTAGCTCCTCTTGTTGAATTGATCCCTTTACCATTATGTAATGGCCTTCTTTGTCTCTTCTGATCTTTGTTGGTTTAAAGTCTGTTTTATCAGAGACTAGGATTGCAACCCCTGCCTTTTTTTGTTTTCCATTTGCTTGGTAGATCTTCCTCCATCCTTTTATTTTGAGCCTATGTGTGTCTCTGCACGTGAGATGGGTTTCCTGAATACAGCACACTGATGGGTCTTGACTCTTTATCCAACTTCCCAGTCTGTGTCTTTTAATTGCAGAATTTAGTCCATTTATATTTAAAGTTAATATTGTTATGTGTGAATTTGATCCTGTCATTATGATGTTAGCTGGTGATTTTGCTCATTAGTTGATGCAGTTTCTTCCTAGTCTCGATGGTCTTTACATTTTGGCATGATTTTGCAGCGGCTGGTACCGGTTGTTCCTTTCCATGTTTAGCGCTTCCTTCAGGAGCTCTTTTAGGGCAGGCCTGGTGGTGACAAAATCTCTCAGCATTTGCTTGTCTATAAAGTATTTTATTTCTCCTTCACTTATGAAGCTTAGTTTGGCTGGATATGAAATTCTGGGTTGAAAATTCTTTTCTTTAAGAATGTTGAATATTGGCCCCCACTCTCTTCTGGCTTGTAGGGTTTCTGCCGAGAGATCCGCTGTTAGTCTGATGGGCTTTCCTTTGAGGGTAACCCGACCTTTCTCTCTGGCTGCCCTTAACATTTTTTCCTTCATTTCAACTTTGGTGAATCTGACAATTATGTGTCTTGGAGTTGCTCTTCTCGAGGAGTATCTTTGTGGCGTTCTCTGTATTTTCTGAATCTGAACGTTGGCCTGCCTTTGTAGATTGGGGAAGTTCTCCTGGATAATATCCTGCAGAGTGTTTTCCAACTTGGTTCCATTCTCCACATCACTTTCAGGTACACCAATCAGACGTAGATTTGGTCTTTTCACATAGTCCCATATTTCTTGGAGGCTTTGCTCATTTCTTTTTATTCTTTTTTCTCTAAACTTCCCTTCTCGCTTCATTTCATTCATTTCATCTTCCATTGCTGATACCCTTTCTTCCAGTTGATCGCATCGGCTCCTGAGGCTTCTGCATTCTTCACGTAGTTCTCGAGCCTTGGTTTTCAGCTCCATCAGCTCCTTTAAGCACTTCTCTGTATTGGTTATTCTAGTTATACATTCTTCTAAATTTTTTTCAAAGTTTTCAACTTCCTTGCCTTTGGTTTGAATGTCCTCCCGTAGCTCAGAGTAATTTGATCGTCTGAAGCCTTCTTCTCTCAGCTCGTCAAAATCATTCTCCATCCAGCTTTGTTCTGTTGCTGGTGAGGAACTGCGTTCCTTTGGAGGAGGAGAGGCGCTCTGCGTTTTAGAGTTTCCAGTTTTTCTGCTCTGTTTTTTCCCCATCTTTGTGGTTTTATCTACTTTTGGTCTTTGATGATGGTGATGTACAGATGGGTTTTCGGTGTAGATGTCCTTTCTGGTTGTTAGTTTTCCTTCTAACAGACAGGACCCTCAGCTGCAGGTCTGTTGGAATACCCTGCTGTGTGAGGTGTCAGTGTGCCCCTGCTGGGGGGTGCCTCCCAGTTAGGCTGCTCGGGGGTCAGGGGTCAGGGACCCACTTGAGGAGGCAGTCTGCCCGTTCTCAGATCTCCAGCTGCGTGCTGGGAGAACCACTGCTCTCTTCAAAGCTGTCAGACAGGGACAGTTAAGTCTGCAGAGGTTACTGCTGTCTTTTTGTTTGTCTGTGCCCTGCCCCCAGAGGTGGAGCCTACAGAGGCAGGCAGGCCTCCTTGAGCTGTGGTGGGCTCCACCCAGTTCGAGCTTCCCGGGCTGCTTTGTTTACCTAAGCAAGCCTGGGCAATGGCGGGCGCCCCTCCCCCAGCCTCGTTGCCGCCTTGCAGTTTGATCTCAGACTGCTGTGCTAGCAATCAGCGCGATTCCGTGGGCGTAGGACCCTCTGAGCCAGGTGTGGGATATAGTCTCGTGGTGCGCCGTTTCTTAAGCCGGTCTGAAAAGCGCAATATTCGGGTGGGAGTGACCCGATTTTCCAGGTGCGTCCGTCACCCCTTTCTTTGACTCGGAAAGGGAACTCCCTGACCCCTTGCGCTTCCCAGGTGAGGCAATGCCTCACCCTGCTTCGGCTCGCGCACGGTGCGCACACACACTGTCCTGCGCCCACTGTCTGGCACTCCCTAGTGAGATGAACCCGGTACCTCAGATGGAAATGCAGAAATCACCCGTCTTCTGCGTCGCTCACGCTGGGAGCTGTAGACCCGAGCTGTTCCTATTCGGCCATCTTGGCTCCTCCTCCCACAGATGGAGATTTCAATCCAGGTCTTATTTTCGCTGTGCTTGCCGTGTTTAGTGCCCTCCCTAAGCGGCTGCCAGCGAGGCACCTGGCCCAGCTGAGATGGATGTCCTCTCCCCAACAAATATTGATTTCATGCAAAGTATATATTATCTAAATCCTCTCCCTTTATCTCTAGAGATCTGCGGATAGTCACCTGGGGCCCAGGCACTTATTCCACTGTGAAAGTGAAAGGTTTTCAATACAAATAAACCATTTAGGAAGGGTAAAAGTGACCACAGAGAATGTCTTTCATCCTCTGTGTCCAGCTTGCCAGTTTAGGACCATCTGGTAACCTCAGATACTTTCCCCTCCATGCTCTCTGATAACTAAAGCAGTCCCTCTTATCCAATTGTAATGACCTGGAATTAGGGTAGTCTCTGGGCCTCTATTTTAAAATCCTTAAAGTTTTAAAATACTTACTGTTGTCTAAAACACAGACTTAGCATAGTGACTTGGGTGTCACCTAACACATCTGATATTATAATGGATTTAAAGGGCATGAACTACTTTTCCTCTGTAAGATGACCTGCTTGGTTTCTAATCCAGGGCAAGGCTTTATAATTTAGTGAAATAGAGTTAACTTAAGTTTCTTAAATGTGGCCCTTTGCTGTTTAGGTGCAAGGGGAAAGATAAGGATTCAAGAACACCAGATCTTGAAATTCTCTTTCTGGACCCGTTTCCCAGGGCTTTTGAACAGTCTTGTTACTATTCAAATTGAGAGCTTGCCAGAGTTTTTGCAATGGCTGCTGCAGCTTCTCAGAATTTAACACTTTCTGGTGCTGCATCTTTTTCTCTTGGTCACTTCGCAATATTGTGGATTTGAGCTTCTGGCATTCTAAAACTAATAATCCATCCATACTGAAAAGTTCTAAGGAGCTAGAAATTGGCTCCTTGAACTAATATTTGAGTATGGACTTCTGGTAAACATGGCAGGTTCACAAAGGCACTTATCACCACTGCCTCCTTAAACCTAGATTTGATTATAATGGGAAGAAGAAAATAGCAATTGAGAGATATCAAGCGAATTTTGGAAAATAGAAAGTATATAAAGAATCTCCCCAACCCTGTGCAGAGAGGTGAGTTCCCTTTTATTCTGGAGAAGTATTCTGAGGCATGATATGGTCTCAGGGGGATCTGGCACAGCTAAGGACAGGGTGAGGGTACATGCAGATAACAGGGTATTGAGTGAGAATCTGTATATAGAATGAGGAATGCCTTAGTTCCTTTTTCCTGCTTAGCATCCAGCTCTCTAGATGTCAGATGAATACCTCTTAAACAGAAGATGAGAGGAAAGACATGGGCCTATGAGAGAGATGTTCAGAGTTACCTGGGGAGTATTCCTGAAAAATGGTCAGGTTCCCAACTGGTCAGCCTGCAAGTCAACAAACTTTGCCTCCATCCAATGTCCTTAAATATGAATGAATCCACCCAACGATCACCAGACATTTGAGGAAGGCTTTACTATGAAAAATGCAGGCCAAAACAAAATGGAGGGGAGAGGGAATTCCACAGGAAATAGAAATAGGCAAGGAGCATAAGAAAACATCTTTTAAAAACAATATTGTCAAAGAGATAAGAAGCAATTGCATTTATGAAAGTGGAGCAACATGAGATAAAAAGGGGACTATTCAGAGAAGAAAAAGAAAGCACCTGGAAATTAAAACTGTGATAGGAGATAAAATTGAGGAACTCTCCTAGAAAATAGAAACAGTAACACCACCACACGGTGTTGACAAATAGGAAGGTTCATAGTCTTGGATGGCCTAGTAAGAAAATAATATCATTTGAAAGTGATGATGTGTATCTTTTACTGTCCATATAATTATTTCTCTTATTAGTTATTCTTGTCTTATCCAATTGCCTTGGGCTTCCAGTACAACACCGAAGAGTGTAGAAATAGCAGGCATCCTTATTTAGCTCCTGACTTGAATAGATACCCTTTAGCTGGTTGAGGATGAACCTTTATATTCCTGGCTTACTTATTGCTGTGGTTCAAATATGTCTCCTCCACAATTCAAGTGTTGCCAATGTGCTAGTATTAAGAAATGGGGCCTTTTAAGAAGTAATTAGGCCATGAGGGCTCCTTCCTCATTAATGGGATTAAGGCCTTTATAAAAGAGGCTTCACACAATTCTGCTAGCTTATTCTCTTACCCTCCCACCTCCCACTATGTGAGGATGCAGTAAGAAGGCCCTCGCAAGATGCTGGCACCTCAATCTTAGATTTCCTCACCTCCAGAAATGTGAAAAATAAATTCCTGCTCTTTATAAATTATCCAGTCTTAGTTATTCTGTCAAAGCAGAACAAAGGGACCAAGACAGTTACTATCTTTAATCATGAATGAGTGTTGAATTTTACAAAATGAAGATCTGCAAGTCTCCATTCAGAAGTTCATATGTGTATGTGTGTGTGTATGTGTGTATATATATATATGTATATATATGTGTGTATATATATGTGTGTGTGTGTGTGTGTGTGTGTGTGTATATATATATATATATATATATATATATATATGGCCTTTAAACTGTTAAAACAGTGTTTTATTGGCCCAGGAATATAGTATAGAATTGAGAGTCAGGGTAGAATAAACATGCTTGTTTTATTCCTAATAAATCTTTCACAAAAAAAAATATTACTTAATATAAAATTTTTTAAGGAAATACAACATTAATGATGCAGCAATAACAATAATTTTAGTTATGATTTTTTCTTAGGTATCATTTAGGACAGAGTTAATTTGATAGGGTAGAAATAATTGTTTTGAACCTAATTTGTTAATCTAATTATTTTGTTTACATCAGTGTGGTGATATTTTACCAGTATCGCAATCACTTTTAGACAAAGTTACAAACCCTATCATAAGGATAAGTTTGATACCCATAAATCAGTAACTTTAGTTAGATAACAAAAAATCAAATTCGTCTTGTATTCCACCGTGCTGATAGAGTAACCTATTGATGGTGTGTATATTTTTACTTGTGTGGACTGGCAGTGTTCACATTCCCAGAATGTGAGCTGGAAAATAGAACTCTTTAAACATTGAAGAATAAAAAAAAAAAGTATGCTCTGAATTACTTGAACCAGAGAAATAAAGAAGTGAATTGGGAAGTAAATACTAGATTAGTAGTGAAAGTTCTGCTTAGAAGATCTCTGAAAATAAATACATTAGGGTGGTAAGCATCCTGGACTCTGGAGTCAGACTGCCTGGATTTGAATCCCAACTGTCTCCTTATTGGCTGTGTGGCTTTAGGAAAGTAGTTGACCTCTGTGAGCTTTAGTTTCCTCCTCTTTAAAATGAGGTTATAATAGTGCCTACCTCATAGGGATGCTATAAGAATCCAATGAATTAATATATGCCATGGAATAGTGCCTGATCCCTTAGATGTCTATAATGTCACTTATTATTTACTTGTTATTTTTAAGCTCAAAAACATGCATCTCTTTCTTTTCATAGATTACCATGGGACCATTTACAGTCTTCTTGTCTCCATAGGAGAATTAGTATACGTGTGCTTGTGTATATGTATAGTATGCTCCATGTTAGCCAGAATAACCCAATGAGTCATAATTGCAGAGCCTGATGCTGACAGCCCCCTATGTAATAAAACTTACAGAAATTGGATTACAATGTCATTGAGTAGTTGCCTCTATTTCCTTATGACAGCAAGTTTTCCACATTCTGGCAAGCCTCCTACTGTGTTTTGGATCAGAGCTATATGCCAGAACCCCAGGTTCTAAATTTACTTCCTACCTTGAGCTGTTTGGCTTCAGGTTTGGGTTTTACTTTTATGAGGTGTGTTGGGATTTTAGAAGGAAACTCAAACTGTGATCCACAATGTTTCTTGGCATTTCTGGAAAACAGACACTTATTAAGCCACACATGTCTTTGAAAATGTCATACTTTCTTCTTGAGCCTAATAAAACAGCAACAACATCCTTCTTGAGCATTGGATAATCTCTTGATTCTCCTTTCATACATGATATTATAATTGTGCCTCTCTTTAATGAACACAAATTTCAAAACTTAGAAACAATGACAATAGAGTATTTTGTAATTTGGATAGAGAGAATTTGAACAATAAGAATGTTTAGAATGTATGTCTGTGTCTTCTCTTAAAAATAGGAAGTAATCTGTTGCCAGAATCATTGGAAGTAAAGAACTTCCTTAATTTCTTTCCTACATGACCTTGGCACGGGGCTAGCTCTGAAAAGAAGTGGGAAGGAGACCTTGTCCTATCTTTTACATTTTTTGCACAACTCCTCTTTTTTTCTCCTCCCTCCAACTAAAGAGTCCAGCGAGCCCTAGATCTCTTTAAACTGCTCAATCTTCTCCAGAACAGCCTGATTTCTAGAGTGTATAGAAGACAGGCACAAACTCTTTAATCTGGACACAGTATATCGCTTATGTCCAGGAGTTCGAGGCTGCAGTGAGCTATGATAGTGCCACCACACTCAAGCCTGAGTGATAAAGTGAGACCCCATCTCTTAAAAAATAAGCTGGTCATGATGCTAATATGTTAGCTGCTCAAGAGCATTTGCATTTTCAGGAAATTAAGAATAAGTCTCTGGTAATGGTAATTTTGCACATCGAGAAATGATGGGAGGGCCTCGGCAGGGGGCTGTTCTAAATTCTCTGAAAGCATATCACAACAAGCAACAGCTTTACTGGTACAGGGCTTCACAGTTTATGGAGCACTTTAAAATTCATTTAGTTTTTCATATTTTATTTCATCTCTGTAACAACCTTGTGAAGTAAGCATTATTAATATCCTCACTTTATGGAGAAGAAAATTGAGGCCCAGAATATTTAAATGGTTTGATGCAAGTAACAAAACTGTTAGCTCATGGAGGTAGCTCATCTCCCCAGTCAGATGTTCTTATTGTTCCTTTGGGCAGATGGGAAAAATAGACTCTCTGGGTAGGTTATTCTACCTGAAAAGACAAATACAAACAAAACTAAGAGGTTTGATTCCCCTGGTTGAAAATAAGGGAAGAGGTATCTTCCCTCCCTCTCTTTTTCTCAGGGCATCTATTTTAAAAATGCTTTAGAAACTTTGTAATTATAAACATTTTCTCCTCTCTTTGAAATGTAAACATCAAAGGAGCTAACACCACTATCTCCCAGTTTGTGTGGGAGGGGAGGAAGCTAACTTTGGTGGGTGCTTTGCTCCAAGGTGCAAAACTACCTCCTGTCATAAAGACATAGAAGCTTATTTTTCCTGTAAAGACAATTAGCTTTAGATGTTAAACCCAATTGCCAGGTAAAGTTAGGATGAACTATGTGTGACTAAAGTATTCTTGCTTGAAGACTAGTTATTGTTTGTTTTGAAAACACATAGGTAATGGGTCATATTTGTTTGGTTATATAAAGGATGAGATTCCTTTCTGTGTTTGCAATCTCCTAGCAGATTGCCTGTGACAGGCATTGCATTCTGGTTTGATGCTTATTCAATAATAAAACTGTTTTCTTTCTCTACTACCTTTGAGGAGAGGTTTTCTGGGTTGGGAGAACATTTTATTTTTAATTATATTTCCCCAACATACCCGTGCCAATTTCACCCTCTTTTTTTACAAATGGAAAATCAGATAATTCTCAGGTAGCTGAAATCTGGATTTACTCTTTGTAAATTTGCATTTGTGTGGGAGTATTAATATTAGATGAGATTTTGTCATATGCCTTTCACTTAGGATGAGTATTGTCTTTAGTAGTCACTGGGAATTGCCATATGTTTTGCTTTTTTTTAAACCTCTTTTGTAAGAAAGAAAGTAGCTCAGAGCAGTCTGCAGAATGTGACTTACACAAAATTTATCAGGCCTAGGGAGACATGAATATGAGACTTCAGTCACGCTCAGTCCCCACTGCCTAGGCCCAGGGGCAATTATTTATTTTTTATTTGTTAAATTAAATTAAATTATTTATTTTGAGACAGGGTCTCACTCTGTCATCCAGGCTGGAGTGCAATGGCGCTATCACGGCTCACTGCAGCCTTAACCTCCCAGGGTCCAGGTGATCCTCCACGGGCAATTATTTAAAGGCATTCTCTTCTTTCTTTCCTTCCTTGTAGTTTCCAGACTAGGTGATAAATTATCTAAAATGTTACCACAGATTGTGCAATGTAACCCTCACTCATTATCTTCATTGGAATTTATAATACAAAGACCAATGTATACCTAATCAACAACTTGTGTTATTTTAACACAAACTATTGATACACAGATTTAGAAACTACCCCTTCTTTTTCCTTTAAAAACCTACTTGTAACTGCTACTAATCACAGCATATATTCAGAGCAATTTGAATCTATGTCTCCCAGTTGCAGTCCTCAAATTTGGCCCAGATAAACTCTTTACTTACATTAATTTTGTCTCTAGTTTTTTCCTTAGGTCAACATATGTCAGATAGGTCTATTTATTTTTACCTTTTTTTATTCTTTAATTTTTAGTTAATTTGCCCTCTCAGGCCCACAGAACTAAAAAAGATGTGGTGACTGGCTGAACACAAATGCCAAATTCCGTCAACTCTTCAACAGGCACCATGAACCACAGAAGCATAATCTAAGATGGTCTTGGAGACCTAATATTAAATTATTTATATTCAGCATGGTATAGTTCTCTGTTTTAATATTTTCAGCATGACTAGATATATAACATCCAGATAGGTCCAACCATGCTGAAAATACATAACTTCTGTGGTCGGTGGACAGTCTTCTATTACTTCCTTTAGTAGTAAATAAGAAAAGGTTGATTTTACCTGGCCAGAACAACAGTTGTTTCCAACAAAAATTACTTGAGTTCAAGACCAAAGTCCAACATAGAAACTCACATAGATCATTGAGGAGAAGCTCTGTAATTGGAAGAGGTATATGCCATAGGGATGCATTGTGCTAATATGATTTATTAACTAAATTCCATCTGAAGTTTAATCAGTCTTCAAAGTAAGGAGATGGATTAAATGTCATCTTCTTGTGATAGATGATGAAAAGATTTTATTCCATCTCAGACTGATTTTCTACTTTGGCATTTATTTAGGAAAGACAAGATCCACTTCGAAGCTAGTCTATACACCTTTGCACACTTTCTGTATTAAAAGTTCCACCTTGTTTTTATATAAACTATTTTTATTAATGTTAATTGCAATTGAAACAAAACGTTCCTCTTGGCTGCCTTTCAGGGTCTGAAAATTTTCACTGCAAGATTTCTGAACATACCAACAGATCTAATTACTATACAAGCTAAAACTGTGTGTGTGTATGTGTGTGTGTTGTGTGTGTGTTTTGTGTGTGTGTGTGTGTGTGTGTGTGTGTGTATATGTATATGTATGAGAGAGAGGGAGAGAGAGAGAGAAATGAAATATATGTGATTGGTCAGCTCATGGATTATAATCCAACTTCTCTTTTTATTGTAGTTATTAAATAGTTCTGCAATGACTGTAACTTTAAAGATTACTCAAATTTCATTTTTAATGAAAAGTGTAATAAATAACATAATATCACTATCATAAGCACTGAACACAATGAAGTATAATAAAACAACTGCATTGTTAATCAGATCTGAATTTAAAATTAGTTTTGTCATTTATAAGCTGTGAGACTTGATGAATCTCAGTGGACTCATTGGTAAATGGGAGGAACAATAATATATATTTCTTTAGGGTTGTATTTAGAAATTGGCTATAGTGCCCAGCACAGTAACTGCAAACAAGGTGATTTATTAATGTTGTTTTTGTTACAGAAATGGTTGGGATGTAAGCTGTTTATGATTCTCCTGAAAGCAAGTCATTCAATTTTACGATAGGAAGGATATGACCAAGGAGATCTAAAAGATTTTAAGTTCTTCTTAGAAGTAACACAGTGCTTCTCAAGGTTTGATGTGCCTCTGAATCACCTGGAGATCTTATTTGATGCTGATTCTGATTTAATAGGTCTGACTGGAGCTACTGATTCTACATTCTGAACGGGCTGTCAGGCATGATGATAACGTCCCTGGCCCATGGACCTCACTTTGAATAAAATGGTTCAAGTACTAGGCAAGCTCTTGGACAATTGTTATAGCATAAAAGGTAGTTTCTTTTTAAGTTGATACAGGAACCACTACACATATTAATAGTTTTTTTTCCACTTATCTGATATTAAAAACAGTATATATTATTTTACATATCACTCTTCTTTTTAAAATTATTTTTTCATTTGTCATCCACAAATTGCATTTACAGAAAAGTTATAATATCCTTATCACTTGGAAGGAAGTTTTTAAAATTACTTCACATTCGTAAGGTTAACACTTAGCGCAATACCTGGCAGGTAGTGGGTGGTCAACAATTGCTTGTCGATTATCCTGAGGGTTTTAAGCAGTGTTACATGGAGTGGCTTTCTATCCTGGATACATAAGAATTACCTGGTGGTCTTTTAAAACATACTCATGCTTGGTCCCTCCTCAGACCAATTAAATCAGAATATCTGCGAGTGGGTCTTTGTATATTTTCAAAACTCCCCAGGCAACCAGGGCTGAATCACTGAAATGAGTATGAACAAACATCTGACATTTTCTACAAACATCCTACCTGTGGACTCCTCCGGGTCATTTACATGATTTTCACTGCCCTATTTCCTGCTTGTGTTTGGCATAAATGTTAATCATGTCCTCAAAACTTTCTGCTGTAAACTCAGAGCTTAAAATTCCCCTGTGAAATTTCAATTCCTTAGCTAGCTCTTGCTATCCTGGGATCTTTTACTTGTCTCTCTGTGTTGAGTAACTTTTAAAGATCATTGTATTGGCCGGGCGCGGTGGCTCACGCCTGAATCCCAGCACTTTGGGAGGCCGAGGTGGGTGGATCACGAGGTCAGGAGATCGTAGACCATCCTGGCTAACACGGTGAAATCCCGTCTCTACTAAAAATACACCCACACACATAAATTAGCCGGGCGTGGTGGTGGGCACCTGTAGTCCCAGCTACTCAGGAGGCTGAGGCAGGAGAATGGCGTGAACCTGGGAGGCGGAGCTTGCAGTGAGCCGAGATTGCGCCACTGCACTCCATCCTGGGCGACAGAGTGAGATGTGAGACTCTGTCTCAAAAAAAAAAAAAAAAAAAAAGGATCGTTGTATTTTTTTATTTTCATTATAAAAGTAGTACATGCTTATAACTATTTAAAAATCAAATAATAAAAAAGTGAGGAAATCAAAGTAAAAAAGTCTTCCTCTCTGCACATCTCCCGTTCCCACTGCATTTAATAAAATCACCTGCCATTATCAGTTTTTGTGTATCCTTATGGAAATTTTTATACATATACCATTATATATGCAGTTATCCCTTGATATCCAGGGGGGATTGGTCCAGGATGCCCCAGGATACCAAAATCTGGGGATGCTCAAATACCTTATATAAAATAGCATAGTATTTGCATATAACCTACACACATCCTCCATATACTTTAAATCAGCTCTAGATTACTTATAATACTGAATACAATGGAAATACCATGGAGATAGTTGTTATACTGTATTTTTATTTGTATTATTTTTTATTGGTCTTTGTTTGTTTTTGTTTTGTTTTTTTGAGACTGAGTCTCGCTCTGTCGCCCAGGCTGGAATGCAGTGGCGCGATTTCGGCTCACTGCAAGCTCCGCCTACCGGGTTCACGCCATTCTCCTGCCTCAGCCTCCTGAGTAGCTGGGACCACAGGCTCCCGCCACCACACCTGGCTAATTTTTTGTATTTTTAGAAGAGAAGGGATTTCACCGTGTTAACCAGGAATGGTCTCAATGTCCTGACCTCGTGATCCACCCGCCTTGGCAGGGATTACAGGCGTGAGCCACTGCACCCGGCCGTTTTAAACCTTTTTTTTTCCTGGAATATTTTCTATCCCAAGTTGGTTGAATCTGCAGATGCAGAACCCATGGATATGGAGGGCCAACTATATTCTTACATAAACACATACCACAATACACACATGCACACACACACACGGAAATACACACAAACACAATTACACAATATTATGTTGGCAACTTGCTTTTTCATTTAACAACATATCTTGGAGCTATTTCCATTAGCATGTACAATTCTACCTTATTCTTTTTAAAGGATACTTACAACTCCATCACATGGCTATGCTATAATTTATCTAACCAGATACTTATCAAGACACGTGTAGAATGTTTCCAGTTTGTAACTACTGCATTAAAATCAGTGCCACGATGATCATTCTTGCACATCTTCACATAATTTGGGCACTATATCTGTTAAATTTTTATACATGTAACTATTCAATTTCCACTCTCACCAGCTGTTACCGGTGGTGTTTTCTCATCTCTCCTCTTGTGAATGCCGAATGTCAGCCCCTGCAGCTGTCCTTCTCAGTTTCTCACGACAGAGCTGGTTAAGCTTCCCACCACAGCCTCAGTTGCAACCCATTGCTTAGATTTATCCTGAGAGGAAGCAGAGAAAAAATTGAGGTGGGGAAAGAAAGAAATGTTGACTATGCTCCAGTTATTGCCAGCAATATAAAAAGTGATTATTATTAGCTAGGTTTTATAGATGATAAATGTGGCCAACAGAAATTTACTTATTCAGGCAAATAGAAGTAGAATTAAGAGCTTTCTAATTACTTAACCATCTTAAGTCATCTCTCTTCTTTTTCCCTGCTCTAATTAGGTTCTACACACTGCAGACGAGACCAGGGTGACTACTGGGCTCCCATGTCTCTGAATTGCAATTCCTCCCCTTACCTCAGAGTGTCTATATTCCAGTAACTCACTGCTTGTGCCATGCTCTTGTATCCAAGTTTCTCTTCTAGTACTTCATTTGTTATCTCAAGCATTCTAAGACTAGGGACCAGCCTTCTGTGTTTCACATATTTTAGGGCAAGATGTTACTGTAGTTTTGCTGAAATGCATGATAGGGGTAGAAGTGTCTGTGGTGTTTGCAGGATGTGACATGACATCTGAGTTTCTGCTGAATGGAGTTTTGTGTTCAGCTTAGCTTCCCATCAGGAAGTCACTTTACCCAAAAAGGGCATGTGCTTTGCAAGCCTTCCCTTTGCAGAGGAAGAACAAAAAAGTCAAACTAAGCCATAGATGCAGACATAGGGAACCAAGATAGATGGCAGAGCAAATAGAAAAGGATGCAATTCTTCAGTAATAAGTACTAGTAGCAGGCATTTTTCAAAATGTTTTCCAGAGAAAGATATGCCTTCTTTGCAATACAGAAGGTGAACCTTGAATAAGAGCTTTGGAAAAACAAAGAATTTTCTGCAAACAATGAATCATCAATACACCAGCATATACCACAAGAAAATGATACCCCAGCACAGAATAGCTTTGAGTAAGATAGGTGAAGACACACAGAAATCTATAAATGAAACAAACACAAGGAATTGAAACTTCATGCTAATAACTAATCCATTGTGAATAGTTTACCTTTTTCTGAGAAGCCTACTTCCTTACCACATTACCACATTATTACCACAGTTACCACATTATCACTTACATGAAATCTTAGGAATGGGGTTTAGTGCAGCAGAACAAAGAGTTTGATATGAAGCAGCCCAGGTTTTAAATTCTGAGTAGGCACTTAATCATCCATGTCAGATTGTATTTTCCAAAGACAACCTCAACAATCTCTCCCATCTCCCGTGTTCTAGTTCCTTGATACTTCCATATCAAGAGGTGAAGTCTAATTATCCTCCACTTGAAAATAGGTAAATTTGTGACTTTATTGTAACCAGGAGAATGTGGCAAAAGTGACACTGTGTGATTTCACAAGCTAGCTCTGAAAAGGTGATGTGATCTCACATTCATTGAGAGAATACTTGTGCTAAAAACCTGAGCCACTATATAAGCAATTGAACTGTCCTGAGGCTGCCATGCTATGAGGGACCCCAAACTCCAAACCTTAGGTGTTCCACTATAGCCAACGTCTGACCATAGCATCATGAGAGACCCCGTGAGAGAATGGCCCAGAAGAGCCCTTTACAAATGTAATGCCACCCAATCTGAAAATCTAATAACATGGCTGTTTTATGCCACTAAGTTTTGAGGTGGATTGTTATACTGCAATAGTAATTGGCTCAACATCTTACGACCTTGAGCAAGTTATCTAATTTCAATGAATCTTGACTTTCCTACCTATTGAATAGGGACAATAATAAACAACTGAAGAGGTAAATATTATACTAGCTGACCTGATGACCTACTGCTAGGAGCTAGGCCCCTTCCCACTGTGGGTGTGCCACTTCCCAACTGTTCCACACTACCCCATCTTTCTGTAAGCAGATACTCCTTGCTTTCATCGGCACAATGACAAGATTTTTAAACTTCTAGACATTTTGGAATCACAAAAGAAAACACAATATGGTTTAAGTAGAATTAAATGGGCTTCTCACCAGTTCACAGAGAAGATATGGGACATGGAAATGACCTATGCATATTATAGGATGGAAGTGTCTCATGGACATGAATATATATTATCTAAAAGAAATAATACATTGATTTCCTATTAACCTTTGACTCCTAGGCTTAAATTAGTTTACCAGGTTATTTACTGAACTGGATTCCAAGGACCTAATACCGATAGAATAGTTTTGGCTTGAGAGGTAGTGGATTGGGGACAGGTATGACATACACCAGCAGAGGAACGCAGCCAAATTACTGCATGTCGGTAAATATAAAGGATGAATTAAAGGTGCCTTCTTCCCCTTGCTCACCTTGCCTAGAGGATTCCTCTGATTTCATAGATCCTACTCCATTTACTAAAATTATGCGTTGACTACCAATGTTCACAGACCTTCAGAATGTTATGAGATAGACCACTTTTTAGTTATCTTCTTTTCTTTTCTTTTTTCAAAGACAGGGTCTTACTCTGTTCTGCAGGCTGGAATGTGGTGGTGTGATCACAGCTCACTGCAGCCTCAACCACCCGGGACTCAAGCAATCCTCCCACCTCAGTGTCCCAAGTAGCAGGGATCACAAGCGTGCACTATCACACCTGGCTAGTTTTTGTATTTTGGGAGAGACAGGGTTTCTCCATGTCGCTCAGGCTGGTCTGGAACTCCTGAGCTCAAGGGATCCACCCGTCTTGGTCCCCCAAAGTGCTGGGATTATGGGCATGAGCCAGGGCACCCAGTTTTTTGTTCTCTTCTTATTCATAAAGGCGCTAATAGGCATTTCTCTTTCAACAAAACCAAATTGTATTAGCAGGTGATCTCATGTAGGTCTTACTATTTCTCTTTTAGTGAATTATATTTTTAGAATTTTAATTTGTTTTCTTGTGAAATTGACACATGTTCATGTCATTTTAAAAATCGAAATACATGTAATTAGATAGGAGAAAATCTATCTAAATTAGTAGTCCTACTAACCAAAGACAGATACTGTGAAATATTTTTGCTTTTATTTCTGATTTTTTCCTTATCTGTGCATTTTTTAAGTTTAATTATATTTCTTTCTTTCTTTCTTTCTTTTTTTCTTTGAGACGGAGTCTCACTCTGTCACCCAGGCTAGAGTGCAGTGGCACGATCTCGGCTCACTGCAGCCCCACCTCCTGGGTTTAAGCGATTCTTCCACCTCAGCCTCTCGAGTAGCTGGGAGTATAGGTGCATGCCACCACACCCAGCTAATTTTTGTATTTTTAGTAGAGATGGGGTTTCACCATATTGGCCAGGCTGGTCTCGAACTCCTGACCTCGTGATCCGCCCACCTCGGCCTCCCAAAGTGCTGAGATTACAGGCGTGAGCCACCACGCCTGGCCTTAATTATATTTCTAGTACTTTTTTGAAACTTATTTCTAAGAACTAATTGAATTCTTAGGAGTTGGGCACTCTGAATGGAATCTTTGGTCATAAGAGCTATTTCTCATCCTGTCCTAGAGAAGACCCCTTAGAGCTGTGCTGCCCAATGCTACTAGCTGCTGTATTGTGACTATTTAAATTTAAAATAATTTAAATAAAGTGTAAAACTCAGTTATTTAGTTGCATTAGCCACATTTCAAGTGCTCAATAGCCACATATGGCTAGTGGCTACCATGTTGCACAGCATAGATGTAGTACACTTGCACCATCACAGAATGTTCTTTTGGACAACATTACTCTAGATTAGGGTTTCTCAACCTTCACTCTATTCGCATTTGGGGCCAAATAACTCTTTGTTGTTGGGGGAAGGGGATTATCATGTGTATTGTTGAAGGTTTAGCATCTTCTCTGGCCTCTACCCACTAGATAACAGTTAGCATCCCATCCCCCAGTTGAAAACCAAAAATGCCTCCAGACACTGTCACATATCCCACAGGGGATAAATTGCCCCCATTAAAAACCGCTGTCCTAAAGAATAATCGCTAAAAGCAACAACAACAAAATTAGTAACAAATGTGAGGGTGATCTGGCTGTGACATGTTACCTCATTGATCGCCAGGGTTGATTCTGCTCATCTGGCTGGATAGTTGAGTGTCCTCTTTCTCCCTCATCACTCCATGTGCATCCCTCCCAAAGCTGTACACTCTGCTAACAAGGCTGATCTTTCTGAGAGAGGAAGACTGTTCATCAATCAAGGGTACAAGAGTGTGTACGCTCTTCTGCTACAACCTCCAGAAAAGGTCTAAAGGCTGATTTGTAGAAGAATGTAGGTTCATCAAGCTTTCAAGACTCCAGACACATCCAAATGAGGTGCTACATGTGGCACTATGTTTTCCTTTAAACAATTTTTTAAAAATAGGTATAATAATTACCACATATATCAAGCACTAATACATACTGCATGTTATACATACATTATAATCTCTACAACAGCCCTATTAGATAAGTACCATTTATTACCTGTTATGCAAATGAGGAAACAGACTTACAGAGGGGAATTGCTTGATGTCATATAAATAGGGAGGGACAGAGTGAAAATTTCAGTCCAAATGTCTCATATGTAAAAGCCTACGTGCTTAACTAATATGCACGCTGACATCAAATTTTTACTGTGATGAAATGTTGCCAGCAAAGCTACAGTTTTCTGGCCCCATATTGCGGGATCTGGCCAGCAGCCCGCAATGCAACAGGGCTCTCTCTTTGTTCCCAGGTGGATCGGCAGGTTGAGAAATAATAGACACACACAAGATAGTGAAAGCCAGGTCCAGAGGGGTCACTGCCTGCTGGTCCTGTGGTGCCAACAATGCACTGGATGTACCAGCATTTATTATTAAGTTTAGTGAGGGCCGGGATAGGTTAGTGAGGGATTTAGCGTCATTTGATTATGAGGTGAGATGGTCACATGGGGATGAAGTAATTCTTTAACATAACATCTGTATGCAGAAGTACAGTATACAGGGATAAGAATTTACAATATAGTGTGTGCATCAGTAATTTCTAACAGAGCCTTAAAACAGAAACACAGTCTATCCATAACCTATGATTAGCAATATATTAATCAGCAGTAACAATTGCAACAGAAGCTGGTTACAAAAAAATCCATAGAAACAGGACGTGAAGCTAGACAACTGGTTAGACCAGAAATTCTCAGAAGGGAGTATGCCTTAACCCTAAAGAGGCCTAGAAGAGCCGTGGCAAGATGAGGGCGTTTATAGCCCTATCTTATCCATATGGACAGGCGCCCCCCATGCATCCGTTTATAGGCTTTCCACAAGGGTCGCGTCCGATTCCCAGAGCTATGAACATCTGCTTTTCTGGGATAGGAATCTTGGTGATGTGAAACCTCCCTGACTGCACGTCCATTCATAGGCTCTCTGCAGGGGAAAGCACATCACGCACTCTTGGCTCATTCTGGCAGTCCAACCTGGTATTGTCTTTACACAATCCTGCATGCAATTTTGTATTTACAATAATCAGGAGCATTTCGTCTTTTATTCCATAGCAATAGTTTCAGGGGGTCTCCCTACAGTCCCAGGCAACACTGTAACATTGTCGGAGGCCTGTAAACTATCTAGAAAACAGAGGGTTGTGAGGGGTGGTAAACAGTACTGGAAATCAAACACTGAGAGTGAGTGATGACACCCTAGAATACTAGAAGAAAATGGGATAGAAATTTAGGTTGGAAAGGGACTTTCAATGTTATGCAGTTATATCTCTTTTTGAATGAGAAAACTGATTGTATTAGGCTGTTCTTCGATTCCTGTAAAGAAATACCTGAGACTGGCCAGGTACGGTGGCTCACGCCTGTAATCCCAGCACTTTGGGAGGCCAAGGCAGGTGGATCATGAGGTCAGGAGATCGAGACCATCCTGGCTAACATGGTGAAACCCCATCTCTACTAAAAATACAACATATTAGCCAGGCGTGGTGGTGGGCACCTGTATTCCCAGCTTCCCGGAGGCTGAGGCAGGAGAATGGCGTGAACCCAGGAGGCGGAGCTTGCAGTGAGCCAAGATCATACCACTGCACTCCAGCCGGGGTGACAGAGCGAGACTCCATCTCAAAAAAAAAAAAAAAAACACCCTGAGAATGAGAAGACTGGGTAATTTATAAAGAAAAGAGATTTGATTGACTGATTGACTCACTGGCTCATGGTTTTGCAGGCTTCATAGGAAGGGTGGTGCCAACATCTGCTCAGCTTGTAGGGAGTCTCAGGAAGCCTACAATTATGGTGAAGGGGGAGCAGGCACATCACATGGTAAAAGCAGAGCAAGAGAGAGAGAGAGACGTAGGGGGTGGGTGTTGTCACACTTCTAAATGACCAGATCTCGTGAGAACTCACTATCACGAAGACAGCACCAGGCCATGAGGAATCTGCCCCCAGGATCCAAACACCTCCTACTAGGCCCCACCTCCAGCATTGGCAATTACAGTTCAACATGAGATTTGGGTAGGGACAAATATCCAAACTGTATCACCGATTTTTTAGAGAAGCAATTTGACTAGCCCAAAGTCTGAAAGAATCCAGACTAGAACCCCATCTTCTGACTCCTAGTCCTTTCCAGCCTCTTTCTATAAAGCTAAAGGTGACTCTGTTGCTGCTCCCGTGTTTGTCTGGGGATTAGAAAGGGCAAGGCAAGGAAGAAGTGGTGTCTAGGAGCTGCTGAGAATGGCGTGGATAGGGGCAGCAGTGAGGTTATAGACATTTAGCAACCAGCTCTGTAGGAGGGAAAAAGCCCTGCTTTGTAGCATTTGCCAATTCCTTTGGGTGAAAACTCCCATCATGGCCAACTTCAAGCTACCAATGTGACATTCCTGTCACGGAGTCAGGAAGAGCTGAGTAGTAGTGGTACGACCACTATATTGTGTTTCCACCATGCAAATACAATAGACATAAATAATCACAAAAGCATAATTAACACTAAGATGTAAGAAATACACAAGAGTAAAATGTGGTCTGTTGAAAATTTATCTCTATTTTAAATATAATTTTTAATAATGGTTATATTTAACAACTCTTTGGTAAAATTTCTAAAACTTTAACAACTGGCTCTCACCAGCCAATAGCAGACATGTCTAGCACCTCACTGGGAGGTTGTACAATAATTCCACATCAGCAGCTATAGCAAGCCTCAGAGAAGGTCTTCCAAGCACTTATACCACAAATGTGATCAAGTTATGTTGAGATAGTCATCTCCTTCATGGTGCTGTAGGGCCTGAGTCATTTAGAGCTCTCAAACAGTTACCTCCGGCTTCAAGTAGCCTTATTCATTTAGCCCCATCTGCTGTGCAAGGGGCTATTTGCCATCATGCCATGACATGAAAAAGATTGGGAAGCATTGCTTCACAATACCCACTACCTCCTTTCAAGCCATTGATATTTCTCTCTTGAACCATTATCTATTTATTGACCAAAATTTATCTTTTTCTATATGTTTATGCATATGATAATTTAAAACTGCAATCAGACAAATAACAAACATGCGCCCTGTGGACACTTAAGGGAAGAATACAATAAAATTTCAGCACTGCAGAAATCTATAATCTAGTTACAGAAATAAGACTAATACTTCAAGCACAAAAGCAATAAAAGATAGTAGATGTGTGTAATAAAAGACTGTAATATAGCACAGGCCATAACTGTCACTGAACTTCAGGGAAGGAGTTGAGAAAACAAAAGGAAAGTGATCTGACTTTACTTCTCGGTTTACAAATATAGGACTCCAAGTGATTATTAGCCAGCAGAGTAGAAAGTGAGCCAGTGTCCATTATCTATTCAATCTGCTCAATAACTAAGCACCTGTCATGCCCCAGGCTGTGTTTTCAAGATGACTTCTCTGTTAGACACAGGAGGTCCAGTGTGAAGGGCCCACAAAAATGTTTTCTTTTTTTTTTTAATCAGAAGAAAAAAATTAAACTTCAGGTCACATAAAAATTATAATATGTGATGTTAGTATATTTGTCTTTATACCAATTGAGTCATGAAATATAATTTTAAAAATTTCCTTATGGAGCAAGGAGCCCAGGAAGACAGAAGTACTGCAGGCCCACGAAAGTTATAAGGCCCTAACTACCCTAGGTGCTAGGGAAAGATAAAATGGTGAACCAGGCAAACAAGTTTCTGCTTTTGTGGAGACTTCATTTTATTAAGAGGGAGAGACCAATAATGAACCAATAAACAAGTCAATAAGCCAGATAATTGCAGAAAGTGATAAAGGTGATGAGAAAATAAAACAGAGTTGATAGAGTGATGGAATGGGGTTGTTCCAAAAAGGCCTTTCTGAGACTGTGATATTAGAGTTGAGCCCTAAATGATAAGGAAAAGACCAGTCCAAAATAAAATCTGAAGGAAGAGTTTTCTAGACAGAAGGAACAGCATGGGCAAAGGTGCTGAGTCAAGAATGAGCTTGGTGCGAGGGAGAAACTCAAAGTCCACTTGGCTGGAGCAGAAAGAAGAGGAGGAGAAAGGAAGAAGAGGTCAAAGTAGTAGGAGATGCTGCTGGATGAGTCTTGACGCCATTTAATAGCAATTAATTCTGTGTTGAGCACAATGGGAGGTGTTGAAGCTATCAAAATGATAGCTCTGGTCTGAGTGAAGAATGGCTGGAGAGTGGGGTGGGAGTTGGGGAGACCCAGTTAGGAAGCCTGTGCATAAATGCAGGTGAGTTTAATGAACCTTAGGTCAGAATGGTAGCATTGGATATGGAAAGAAAAGGATGGATCCAGGATGTATTGGGGATGCATAGTAGCAGGAATAGATGCTGGGAGGCTGGGAAAGAGGGTATACAGGGTGGTGAGGAGCCGGCAAAGTCTTCATGGAAGAGACATAATCATGCAGTTCGAAGAGTGGATTGTTTCCTAAAGAAAATAAAACTATGCTATTCACCAACTTGAAGGGAGCTTCATTCAGATTTTTAGACTATAAAAACATACCAAATTAATGAGATAAAATGTATGCATGCTTGTATTGCAGTTATTCGTAATGTTTTGGTATTTCAGAGATATTAAAGAAGGAGTAATTTTTTAGGCTTATATCATTTATGAATCAGAAAATAAATTACTTGATAGCAGTTTTAATTGTTCTGCAGTATATTTTACTGAAAACATATTGTGGATAAATGAGCCACAAGGTAAAGCCAAATTTTGAACACGAAGAGTACTCAAAAACAAATGAAAATAATTGCATGAATAGAAACAGAAGACAATTTTAATATTTCATAAAACATTGAAATAATTTTTCTGTATTAAATATTATAATTTGAGTCTGTTATGTAAAAATTAAGCAAAATGGAATGGGTAAAACATGTTTAAATTGATAAAATCTTGTATGTGATAGAACCATGAGAATCCAATTGGAGGGGGTCGAGATGAACATCAGAGGTGTATTTAATCTCTCCAAGCCCCTGATTCCTAAAATGTAATAACACCTAATTCATAGGGTAAAATTAGATAAAATAATGGATAAAACAAGTTTCATAACCCCATAACCCACTATAGAAGTAAAAGTATTCCTTTTTAGAGATGTGGTCCTAAAAATTTAAGTGAACTAGTTACTAAACCAGTTTTAATCCAGTTAGTCTTTTAAGGCAGGGTGGAGAAAAATGGTGGAATAGAAGCCTACACTGTTAATCCCACCCCACCCCACTTGAAACACCAAACTTTAACAAATATCTGCACATAGAAAAGCACCATAACGAGAACCAAAAATTACCTGAACAATCAAAATACTTAGTTTTAATTTCATATCACCAAAAGGGGACTTGAGGAGGCCAGGAGAGACGATCTTGAATCACTTATGCTATTCCTCCCTGTCCTTTGGCAGCTGCATGGAGAAAGAATCTGTGCACTTTGGTGAGGGAGAGTGCAGTGGCTGTGGGACATTATATTAAATTCAGTGCTGCTCTGTCACGGCAGAGAATAAAGCTGTGCTGGGCTCAGCCAGAGCCTGCGCACAGAGGGAACAGCTGGATTAACCCTAGTCAGAGGGAATTTTCCATCCCCCGATCAAAACTTGAGTTTCGCCGCAAGCCTTGCCACCACAGGCCAAAGTGCCCTAGAATCCTATGTAAACTTGAAAGGCAGTCAGGCTGCAAGGACTGCAATTCCTAGGCAACTCCTAGTGCCAGTCTGAGCTTAGAGCCATGAACTAGGGTAGCACATTACCTAGGGAGACACCAGCTAGCGTGGCTAAAGGAGTGCTTGTGCCATGCCACCCCCAACCCCAGGCAATGCAGCTCACAGCAATGACAGTGACTTCTTCCTTGTGCTTAAGAAGAGAAGAGGAAACAGTAAAGAGGACTTTGTCTTACATCTTGGATACCAGCTCAGCCACAATAGGATAGGGCACCAGGCAGAGTCATGAGGCCCCATACCAAAAGAAAGAATTAGTGAGCTTAAAGACATGCTATTTGAAAATATACTGTCAGAGGAGACAAAATAAATAGTAGTAGAAAATAATAAAGCATACCTACGAGACCTAGAAATAGCCTCAGAAGAGCAAATCTAAGAATTATTGGCCTTCGGGCACAGTGGCTCATGCCTGTAATCCCAGCACTTTGGGAGGCTGAGGCAGGCGGATCACGAGGTCAGGAAATCAAGACCATCCTGGCTAACACAATGAAACCCTGTCTCTCTAAAAATACAAAAAAATTAGCCGGCGTGGTGGCGGGCACCTGTAGTCCCAGCTACTCAGGAGGCTGAGGCAGGAGAATGGCGTGAACTCGGGAGGCAGAGCTTGCAGTGAGCAGAGATTGCACCACTGCACTCCAGCCTGGAGGACAGAGCGAGACTACATCTCAAAAAATAATAAAATAAAATAAAATAAAGAATTATTGGCCTTACAGAGGGAGTAGGGAAACAGATAGGGGTAGAAAGTTTATTCGAAGAGATTATATCAGAGAACTTCCCATACCTAGAGAAAGATATCAACATTCAAATACAAGAAGATAATAGAATACAACCAGATTTAACCCAAAGAAAATTAGCTTAAGGCATTTAACAATCAAACTCCTAGATGTCAAGGATACAGAAAGGGTCCTAAAAGCAACAAGAGAAAAGGAACAAACAACATGCAATGTAGCTCTGATACATCCAGTGGCAGAATTTTCAGTGGAAATCTTATAGGCCAGGAGAGAGTTGCATGACATATTTAAAGGGCTGAAGAAAAAAAAAACTTTTATCCTAGAATAGTATATCTGGCAAAAATATCATTCAAATATGAGGGAGACATAAAGACTTTCCCAATAAAACAAGAGCTGGGGGATTTCATCAAAACCAGACCTATCTTACTAGAAATGCTATCAGGAGTTCTTCTATCGGAAAGAAAAAGATGATAATGAACAAAAAGAAATAATCTGAGGCACAAAACTCACTGGTAACAGTAAGCATGCAGAAAAACAGAATAGTTTAACCCTGTAAATGTGATGTGTAAACCACTCTTCACTTAAGTAGAAAGGCTAAATGATGAATCAGTCAAAAATAATACCTACAGCAACTTTTCCAAACATAGACAGTACAATAACACATAAAGAGAAACAACAAAAAGTTAAAAGCAGGGGATGAAGTTCAAGTGTAGAGTATTTTTTATCAGTTTTTGTTAGTGTTAAGCAGTCAGCCACTTAAAATAATGGGTTATAAGGCAGTGTTTGCAAGCCTCATGGTAACCTCAAGTTGAAAAACATACAACAGATACGCAAAAAATAAAAAGAAAGAAATTAAAGCATACCACAAGAGAAAATCACTGTCACTAAGAGGAAGACAGGAAGAAGGAAAAGAAGACCACAAAACAACCAGAAAACAAATAACAAATTGGCAGGAGTAAGTCCCTACTTATCAGTAATAACATTAAGTGTAGATGGACTAAACTCTTCAATCAAAAGTCATAAAGTAGCTAATTGGATTTTTAAAAATCCCAAGACTATGACCTTTTGCCTACTAGAATCATACTTCACCTATAAAGATACCTATAGACTGAAAATTCAAAAAAAGAGTAGGAGTAGTTATATAAGATAAAATAGATTTCAAGACAAAAACTGTAAGAAGAGACAAAGCCATTATATAATGATAAAGGGGTCAATTCAGCAAGAGGATATAATGATTGTAGATATATATGTACCCAACACTGCAGCACCCAGATATACAAAGCAAATATTATTAGAGCTAAAGAGAAATGCATCCTAATACAATAATAGCTGGAGTCTTCAACACCCACTTTCAGCATTGGACAGGTCTTCCAGACAGAAAATCAACAAAGATACATTGAACTTAGTCTGCACTGGACCCAGTAGATATTTACAGGACATTTCATCCAGTGGCTGTAGAATACACATTTTTCTCCTCAGCATGGAACATTCTCGAGGACAAACCATACGTTAGGTCACAAAACAAGTTATGAAACATTCAAACAAATTGAAATAGTATCAAATGTCTTCTCTGAACACAATGGAACTGAGAATCAATAACAAAAGGAATTTTGGAAACTATACAAACACATAGAAGTTAAACACTATGCCCCTTTCTTCAATGAAGAAATTAAGAAGAAAATTGAAAAATTTCTTGGAACAAATGATAATGGAAGCATAATGTAGCAAAACATATGGGATGCAGCAAAACCAGTACTAAGAGGGAAATTTATATATAGATATAAGTGCCTACAACAAAAAAGAGAAGAAAAACTTCAAATAAATAACCTAATACTTCAACTTAAAGAACCAGAAAAGTGAGAGCAAACCAAACACTAAATTAGTAGAAAAGAAATAATGAAGATCAGGGCAAAAATAAATGAATTTGAAATGAAGAAGAAAACAAAAGATCAATGAAACAAAAAGTTGATTTTTTGAAAAGATAAAATTGACAAAACTTTAGCCAGACTAAGAAAAAGAGAGAGAAGATCCAAATAAACAAAATTTATGAAAAGAAACAAAATTAATGAAAACAAAAATGAAAAGGAGACATTACAACAAAACAAAAATGAAAAGGAGAAATTGAAAGGATCATTAGTGGCCCCTGTGAGCAACTATCTGGCAATAAATTGGAAAATCTAGAAAAAATGGATAAATTCCTAGATACATACTACCTGCCAACATTGAACCAAACAGACCAATAACAAGTAAAAGCCATCATAAAGAGTTCCAGTAAAGAAAAGGCTGGGACCTGATGGCTTCACTGCAGAATATCTACCAAACACTTAAAGAAGAACTGTTCTTAATCCTATGAGGTCAATATTACCCTGATACAAAAACTAGAAAAAGATACATCCCAAAAAAGAAAACTACAGTTCAATATCCCTGGTGAATATTGATGCAAAAATCCTCAACAAAATACTAGCAAACCGAATTCAGTAATACACAAGAAAGATTATTCATAATGACCAAATGAGATTTATCCCAAGGATGCAAGGAGGTGATACACAAATCAATCAGTGTGATACATCACATCAACTGAATGAAGGGCAGAAACCAAATGCTTATTTCAATTGATGCTAAAAAAGCATTTGATAAAAGTTAACACCCCTTCACGATAAAAACCCTCAAAAAATTAGGTATAGATGAAACATGCCTCCACATAATGAAAGCCATATATGACAGACCACAGCTAGTATTGCACCGAATGGGGGAAAACTGAAATCCTTTCCTTTTAGATCTGGAACACGAAAAGGATGCCCACTTTCACCACTGTTATTCAACATAGTACTGGAAGTCCTTGCTATAGCAATGAGACAAGAGAAAGAAACAAAGGGCATACAAATTGAAAAGGAAGAAGTCAAATTATGCTTGTTTGCAGATGAGATGATCTTATATTTGGAAAAATCTGAAGACTCCACAAAAAGACTATTAGAAATCATAAATTCAGTAAAGTTGAAGGATACAAAATTAACATACAAAAATCAGTAGCATTTCTCTATGTGCACAGTGAACAATCTGAAAATTTAAAAGGTAATCCAATTTACAATAGCCACAGATAAAATTAAATACCTAAGATTAACTTAACCAAAGAAATGAAAGAGCTCTACAATGAAAACTATAAAACATTGATGAAAGAAATTGAAGAGGACACCAAAAAATGGCAAGATATTCCATGTTCATGGATTGGAAGAATTAATATTGTTAAAATGTCCATACTACCCAAAGCAATCTACAGACTCAATGCATCCCTGTAAAAATACCAGTGACATGCTTCATAGAAATACAGCAAACAATTCTGAAATTTATATGGAACCACAAAAGATCCAGAATAGCCACAGCTATCCTAAACAAAAAGAACCAAAAACAGGAGGAATTACATTAGCTGACTTCAAATTATACTACAGAGCTATAGTGACTAAAACAGCATGGTACTGGCATAAAAATAGACTCATAGACCAGGGGAATAGACTAAAGAACACAGAAACAAATCCACACACCTACAGTGAACTCATTTTCAACAAAGGTGCCAAGAACATATATTGGGGAAAAGACAATCTATTCAATAAATGGTGCTGGGAAAACTGGATATCCATATGTAGAATAATAAAACTTGACCCTTGTCTCTTGCCTTATATAAAAATCAAATCAAATGGATAAAAGACTTAAATCTAAGACCTCAAACTATGAAACTACCATGAGAAAACATCGGGGATTGACACAACTTTTATTTACATGCAACTATAATTATACCAAACACAAATTGCTCTATTTATTAAAGTGGTTTTAGCAGGATCTCATAGATCATTTATGCTGTGTGTTTAACTATGATATAGTTACCTTAAAAATCTGTAGATTTTTCCATAGTTGAGAGGATATTTTGTAGTTAGTCTTTGACCAAGCATCAATCCATGTAATTCTATTCTCCTGGACTGCCCGAGGCTGACATAACTAATCACTAGTGTAGGAGAAGATTCCACTAACAAGAGGAGGAGGCCCAGAGGGGCCAGAATCAGGGAAAGGGATGAGGGGTTAGCATGAGTGCCACGAAATAAAATGGGAGGTGGCATTTTATTCAAATGCGAGATAAAAAATAACTGTGCTAACTTTGACAATGGTATTATTAAACTCTCATGATGATAAAGAAGAAGCAGGCAATAATCATGAGAGCAGAGGCTTCTGGGAATGGCTTTGAAGGGGGCCATTTAATTTCTTATTATAATAAGTTCAGCACTGAAAAACAGATTCTAAGCTCTATTTTCTCTCTTCCCTCTCATTCTTGCTGCTTCAACTCCCAATTCCTCTTCAGCTGAGGAAAATGTATTGGTGTCCTGATATAAACTTGAAAGCTGAGGAGGAAGAATTCAGAAATGATGGTTGCTCTAAATAATGTATGTGAAAATTTATAAAATGATAGGCACATAAGAGAAACACCAAAATATTAAAATTTATTATCTCTGGGCAAAGGGATTATAAGCAATTTTTATTATTTACTCTCATCTTCTCTATATTTTCCAAATGTCCTACAATAAGCATGTATCACTTTTGTAATTACGAGAACAACGTGAAAAAAATAATTCTGCTGGTATGGACTACTGAGAAAATTGAGTACAGAGAATGCTGTCAGTGAAACTAGAATGATTTCCTACAAAGCATGATGTTTTAAACACTAATGGAATACTGCCTTAAATTATAATAGAAGGGTGCCTGGTAGATTACATATGCAAAATATTTGCTTTAGCAGAATAAATCTGTAAAGCAATTACATTTAATATACTAAATCCATGTACTATCATAAGTCTTAAATTCAAAGCAACATGAAACATGGTTGAGTTTACATTGTGATACTGGAGACATTCCAAGGAGAATCATGTGGGAGAAGTCACAATGTAACAATGTTTTCAGTGGCTTCCTTGGAAAGGGCAACTCTAGCATGAATGGAATCACATCAGAGACTTCAGGAACCATCAGGTTTGCAGTGACTGGTATGGACAGAGACCACCTCCTGCAGCAATGGAGGGAACTTCTCAAGAGAGCTTCTTTGGCCTGAGTGCAGAGGTCACTGAGGCACTCCTTAATACTTGGGTTAATGTGATTATATTATATTTTGACCAACTCCCAATGTAACTAGATTGCTGTAACCTATATAGAGGACAGAATATTCTAGTCATTTGGAAATCAATGTAGAGACATTTATATCTGGTCTTAAAGATAGACTGAGTCTTGTGGAATATTATACAGCTGAGTCTGTCTGGAGCCCTTTGGTCTATATTTCTCTAAAACATCATTTTAGATTTTAAAAGAAAAATGTCAAGGATGGTTACCAGAGGCTGGAAAGGGTAGCGGAGGGTTGGGGAGGAGATGCAGATGGTTAATGTCTATAAAAAAATAGAAAAAATGGGGCTGGGCACGGTGGCTCACGCCTGTAATCCCAGCACTTTGGGAGGCCGAGGCAGGCGGATCACGAGGTCAGGAGATGGAGACCATCCTGGCTAACATGGTGAAACCCCGTCTCTACTAAAAAGTACAAAAAATTAGCCAGGCGTTGTGGCAGGCACCTGTAGTCCCAGATACTCGGGAGGCTGAGGCAGAAGAATGGCGTGAACCCGGGAGGCAGAGCTTGTAGGGAGCCGAGATCACGCCACTGCACTCCAGCCTGGGCAACAAAGTGAGACTCTGTTTCAAAAAAAAAAAAAAAAAAAGAAAAAATGAATAAGACCTACTATTTGATAGCGCAAAAGGATGACTATAGTCAATAATAACTTAATTGTATATTTTTACATAACTTAAAGAATGTAATTGGATTGTTTGTAACTCAAAGGATAAATGCTTGAAGTGATAGATACCCCATTCTCCATGATGGGCTTATTTAATATTGATGCCTATTTCTTTTTTTTTTTTAATTTTACTTTAAGTTCTGGGATACATGTGCAGAACATGTAGGTTTGTTACATAGGTATACACGTGCCATGGTGGTTTGCTGCACCTATCAACCCATCATCTAGGTTTTAAGCCCAGCATGCATTAGCTATTTGTCCTGATGTTCTCCCTCCCTTCCCCTACCCAACAGGCCTCAGTGTGTGTTGTTCCCCTCCCTGTATCCATGTGTTCTCTTTGTTCAACTCCCACTTATGAGTGAGAACATGTGGTGTTTGGTTTTCTGTTCCTGTGTTAGTTTGCTGAGGATAATATCTTCCAGCTTCATCCATGTCCCTGCAAAGGACATGTTATCATTCATTTTTATGGCAGAATAGTATCACATGGTGTATATATACCACATTTTCTTTTTCCAGTCTATCATTGATCGGCATTTGAGTTGGTTCCATGTCTTTGCTATTGTAAGTAGTGCTGCAATAAACATACGTGTGCATGTGTCTTTGTAGTAGAATGATTTAAATTTCTTTGGGTATATACCCGGTAAAGGGATTGGTAGGCCAAATGGTATTTCTGGTTCTAGATCCTTGAGGAATTGCCACACTGTCTTCCAGGATGATTGAACTAATTTACATTCCCACCAACAGTGTAAAAGCATTCCTATTTCTCCACAGCCTTGCCAGTATGTGCTGTTTCTTGACGTTTTAATAATCACCATTTTGACTGGCGTGAGGTGATATCTCATTGTGGTTTTGATTTGCATTTCTCTGATGATCAGTGATGTTGAGCTTTTTTTTCATATGGTTGTTGGCTGCATAAATGTCTTCTTTTGAGAAGTGTCTGTTCATATGCTTTGCCCACTTTTTGATGCTTTGATGTGGTTGTTTTTTCTTGTACATTTGTTTAAGTTCTTTGTAGATTCTGGATATTAGACATTTATCAGATGGGTAGATTGCAAAAATTTTCTCCCATTCTGTAGGTTGCCTGTTCACTCTGATGATAGTTTCTTTTGCTGTGCAGAAGCTCTTCAGTTTAATTAGATCCTATTTGTCAATTTTAGCTTTTGTTGCAATTGAGTTTGACATTTTCATCATGAAATCTTTGCCCATGCCTATGTCCTGAATGGTATTGCCTAGGTTTTCTTCTAGGGTTTTTATGGTTTTGGATTTTTCATTTAAGTCTTTAATCCATCTTGAGTTAATTTTTGTATAAGGTGCAAGGAAGGGGCCCAATTTTAGTTTCCCAGCACCATTTATTCAAAAGGGAGTCCTTTCCCCATTGCTTGTTTTTGTCAGGTTTGTCAAAGATCAGATGAATGTAGATGCATGGTGTTATATCTGAGGTCTCTGTTCTGTTCCATTGATTCATATGTCTGTTTTGGTACCAGTACCATACTGTTTTGGTTACTGTGGCCTTGTAGTATATTTTGAAGTCAGGTAGCGTGATGCCTCCAGCTTTGTTCTTTTTGCTTAGGATTGTCTTGGCTATACAAGACATATGGTTCCATATGAAATTTAAAGTCATTTTTCTAATTCTGTAAAGAATGTCAGTGGTAGTTTGTTGGGAATAATATTGAATCTATAAATTACTTTGGGCAGCATGTGCATTTTCAAGATATTGATTCTTCCTCTTTATGAGGATAGAATGTTTTTTCGTTTGTTTGTATCTTCTATTATATCCTTGAGCAGCAGTTTGTACTTCTTCTGCAAGAGGTCTTTTATGTCCCTTGTCAGCTGTATTCCTAGGTATTTTATTCTTTTGTAGCAATTGTAAATGGGAGTTCATTCATGATTTGGCTCTCTCCTTGTCTATTGTTGGCGTAAAGGAATGCTTGTGATTTTTGCACATTAATTTTGTATCCTGAGACTTTGCTGAAGTTGCTTATCAGTTTAAGGAGTTTTCAGGCTGAGATGAAGGGGTTTTCTAAATATAAAACTATGTCATCTGGGCTGGGCCCAGTGGCTCATGCCTGTAATCCCAGCACTTTGGGAAGCCAAGGCGGGTGGATCACAAGATCAAGAGATCGAGACTATCCTGGCCAACATGGTGAAACCCCATCTCTATCAAAATTACAAAAATTAGCTGGGCATGGTGGCGTGTGCCTGTAGTCCCAGCTACTTGGGAGGCTGAGGCAGGTGATCCACTTGAACCTGGAAGGCGGAGGTTGCAGTGAGCCGAGATCGCACCACTGCACTCCAGCCTAGCGACAGAGCAAGATTCTGTCTCAGAAAAAACAAACAAAAAAACCATGTCATCTGCAAACGGAGAAAGTTTGACTTCCTCTCTTCCTATTTGAATACCTTTTATTTGTTCCTCTTGCCTGATTGCTCTGGCCAGAACTTTCAATACTATGTTGAATAGTAGTGGTGAGAGAGGGCATCTTTGTCTTGTGCCGGTTTTCAAAGGGAATGCTTCCAGCTTGCCCTCTCATTATAATATTGGCTGTGGGTTTGTCATAAATAGGTCTTATTTTTTAAAGATATGTTCCATCAATATCGAGTTTATTGAGAGTTTTTAACTTGAAGGGACGTTGAATTTTATCAAAGGCCTTTTCTGCATCTATTGAGATAATCATATGGTTTTTGTCATTGGTTCTCTTTATGTGATGGATTATGTTTATTGATTTGTGTATGTTGAACCAGCCTTGCATCTCAGGGATGAAGCCAACTTGATCATGGTGGATAAGCTTTTCAATGTGCTGCCAGATTCAGTTTGCCAGTATTTTATGGAGGATTTCCACATCAATGTTCATCAGGGATATTGACCTCAAGTTTTCTTTTTTTTGTTGTGTCTCTGCCAGGTTTTGATATCAGGATGATGCTGGCTTCATAAACTGAGTTAGGGAGCAGTCCCTCCTTTTCAATTGTTTGGAATAGTTTCAGAAGGAATGATACCAACTCCTCTTTGTACCTCTCATAGAATTCTGCTATGAATCCATCTGGTCCTGGACTTTTTCTTGTTGGTAGGCTATTAATTACTGCCTTAATTTTAGAACTTGTTATTGATCTATTCAGGGATTCAACTTCTTCTTGGTTTAGTCTTGGGAGGGTGTATGTGTCCAAGAATTTATCCATTTTCTAGTTTATTTGCCTAGAGGTGTTTATAGTATTCTCTGATGATAGTTTGTATTCCTGTGGGGTCAGTGGTGATATCCCCTTTATCATTTTCTATTGTGTCTATTTTATTCTTTTTTCTTCTTTATTAGTCTAGCTAGTGGTCTACCTATTTTGTAAATTTTTTCAGAAAAACAGCTCCTGGGTTGATTGATTTTTTGAAAAGAGTTTCATGTCCCTATCTCCTTCAGTTCCACTCTGATCTTAGTTATTTATTGTCTTCTGCTAGTTTTTGGATTCGTTTGTGCTTGCTTCTCTAGCTCCTTTAATTGTGATGTTAGGGAGTCGATTTGAGATCTTTCTATCTTTCTGATGTGGACATTTTATGCAATAAGTTTCCTTCTTAACACTGCTTTAGTTTGTCCCAGAGACTCTGGTACATTGTCTCTTTGTTCTCATTGGTTTCAAAGAACTTCTTGATTTCTTCCTTAATTTCTTTATTTACCCAGGAGTCATTCAGGAGCAGGTTGCCAAATTTCCATGTAGCTGTGTGGTTTTGAGTGAGTTTTTTAATCCTGAGGTCTAATTTGATTGCACTGTGGTCTAAGAGACTTTTTGTTATGATTTCAGTTCTTTTGCATTTGCTGAGGAGTGTTTTACTTCTAATTGTGTGATCGATTTTAGAGTAAGAGCCATGTGGCGCTGAGAAGAGTATATATTGTATTGATTTGGGGTGGAGAGTTCTGTGGTTATCTATTAGGCCCATTTGATCCAGAGCTGAGTTCAAGTCCTGAATATCCTTGTTAATTTTCTGTCTCATTGATCTGTCTAATACTGATAGTGGGTTGTTAAAGTCTCCTACTATTATTGTGTGGGAGTCTAAGTCTCTTTATAGGTCTCTAAGAATTTGTTTTATGAATCTGAGTGCTCCTGTATTGGGTGCATATATTTAGGATAACTATCTCTTTTTGTTGAATTGGTCTTTTTACCATTATGCAATGCCCCTCTTTGTCTTTTTTATCTTTGTTGGTTTAAAGTCTGTTCTGTCAGAGACAGTCAGAGACAGGGTTGCAACCCCTGCTTTTTTTTAGCTTTCCATTTGCTTGGTAAATATTCCGCCATCCCTTTATTTTGAGCCTATGTGTGTCTTCTAACATGAGAGGGGTCTCTTGAACACAGCACACCAATGGGTCTTGACTCTTTATCCAATTAGCCAGTCTATGCCTTTTAATTGGGGCAATTAGTTCATTTACATTTAAGGTTAATATTGTTATGTGTGAATTTGGTCCTGTCATCATGATGCTAGCTAGTTATTTTGCACACTAGTTGATGCATTTTCTTCATAGTGTCATTGGTCTTTATATTTTGGTGTGTTTTTGCAGTGGCTGGTACCAGTTTTTCCTTTTCATATTTAGTGCTTCCTTCAGGAGCTCTTGCAAGGCAAGCCTGCTGGTAATGAAATCCCTCAGCATTTGCTTGTCTGAAAAGGATTTTATTTCTATTTCTGGGTTGAGAATTATTGAATATTGGCCTCCACTCTCCTCTGGCTTGTAGGTTTTCTGCTGGGAAGTCCACTGTTAGTCTGACGGGCTTCCTTTTATAGGTTACCTGGCCTTTCTGTCTGGCTGCCCTTTACATTTTTTACTGCATTGTGACCTTGGGAAATCTGGTTATTATGTGTCTTGGGGTTGATGTTCTCATGGAGTATCTTAGTGGTGTTCTCTCTATTTCCTGTCTTGCTATGTTAGGGAAGTTCTCCTGGATAATATCCTGAAATGTATTTCCCAACTTGGTTCTATTATCCCCCATCTCTTTCAGGTATACCAACCAATTGTAGGTTTAGTCTTTTTACATAGTCCTATATTTCTTGGAGGTTTTGTTTGTTTCTTTTCATTCCTTTTTCTCTAATCTTGTCTGCTTGCCTTATTTCAGTAAGATGGTCTTCAATATCTGATATTCTTTCTTCTGCTTGCTTGATTGATTTGGCTATTGATACCTGTGCATGCTTCGCAAAGTTCTCATGCTGTGTTTTCCAGCTTTCTCAGGTCATTTATGTTCCTCTCTAAACTGGTTATTCTAGTTAGCAGCTCCTGTAACCTTTTATCAAGGTTCTTAGCTTCTTTGCATTGAATTAAAACATGCTCCTTTACCTCAGTGGAGTTTGTTATTACCCATGTTCTGAAGCCTACTTCTGTCAATTCGTCCATCTTATCCTCCATTCAGTTTACGCCTTTGCTGGACAGGTATTGCGATCATTTGGAGGAGAAGAAGCACTCTGGCCTTTTCGGTTCTCAGCATTTTTTTTTATTGATTCTTTCTCATTTTCGTGAGATTGTCTAGTTTCAATCTTTGAGGCTGCTGACCCTTGGATGAGGTCTTTGTGGAACTTTTTTGTTGATGCTGTTGTTGTTGCTTTCTCTTTGTTTGTTTTTCTTTCAATAGTCAGGTCTGTCTTCTGCCAGGCTGCTGCATTTGCTGGGGGTTTACTTCAGGCCCTATTCATCTGGTTCACTCCTGCGCCTAGAAATGTCACTCAGGGAGGCTGGAGAACAGCCAAGATGCGTACCTGCTTCTTCCTCTGGGATCTCTGACCTTGAGGGGCACCAACCTGATGCCAGTAGATATGCTCCTGTACAGGATGTCTGACAACCCCTGTTGGGGGGGGTCTCACCCAGTTAGGTGGCATGGGAAGTAGGACCTGTTTAACAAAGCACTTTGGCTGTCCCTTGGTGGAGGGGATGTGCTGTGGTGGGGGAAAACCTATTCAACTGGGCTGCCTGGATTCCTCAGAACTAGAAGGAGGAGAGGCTACATCTGCTGGTCTACTGAGACTACAGCCACCCCTCCCACTAGGGGCTCAGGCCCAGAGAGCTCAGAATTCTGTCCCTGAGCCCCTGACTGCAGTTGTTGGAGTTCCTGCAGGGATGCCCTACCGAGTGAGGAGGGATGAGTCAGGCTTAGGCCTGAGGAGGTACTCTGGCCACATTCTACCACAGCAGGTGTGTTAGGCTGTGGGTAGTACCTCTTGGGACCAAGCCATCCAGCCTTCCTGGCTCCAGCAGGGGAAAAGTACAGCCTGGAGCTATAGAGATGGCTTCCACCCTTCCCCCGCCCTGGGAGCTTAGTGTGTTAGGCAGCTACGAGTCCCAGAGTTGGCTGCCACCATCCCCAAAGAGCTTAGACAGCAGGCAGCTGCAGCTGTGGCGATGGCCGCCCCTCCTCTGGGGAACTTGGCAGGCTTAGGCAGTTCTAGCTGAGTGGCTGTTGAGAATCTAGGTGTTGCTCTGTGGTTGCGACCTTAGACCCTGGTGCCCTGGTGGGCTCACATGTGGGATCTACCAATCTGTCGGTTGCACAGTTACATGTAAAAAGCAGTTTCCCAGGCTGGGTAGCATGCTCACTCACCGCCTCCCTTGGCTGGGGTGTGGGGGCTCCCCTGCCCCGTGTGGCCCTCAGGTGGGCTGTCACACCACCCACGCTGCTCTTCCTTTCTCCTCATGCCTATTTCTTTTATATATATATATGTAAATATATACATATATGTATATATAAATATATATGTGAATATATACACGTATGTATATATAAATATATATGTGAATATATACACGTATGTATATATAAATATATATGTGAATATATACACGTATGTATATATAAATATATATGTGAATATATACACGTATGTATATATAAATATATATGTGAATATATACACGTATGTATATATAAATATATATGTGAATATATACACGTATGTATATATAAATATATGAGTGAATATATACACGTATGTATATATAAATATATGAGTGAATATATACACGTATGCATATATAAATATATGTAAATATATACACGTATGTATATATAAATATATGAGTGAATATATACACGTATGTATATATAAATATATGTGTGAATATATACACATATGTATATATAAATATATGTTTGAATATATACATATATGTATATATAAATATGAGTGACTATATACATATATGCATATATAAATATATGTAAATATATACACGTGTGTATATATAAATATATGTGTGAATATATACACATATGTATATATAAATATATGTGTGAATATATACATATATGTATATATAAATATATGAGTGAATATATACTATATGCGTATATAAATATATACACGTATGTATATATAAATATATGTGTGAATATATACACATATGTATATATAAATATATGTGTGAATATATACACATATGTATATATAAATATATGTGTGAATATATACACATATGTATATATAAATATATGTGAATATATACACATATGCATATATAAATGTATGTAAATATATACATATATGTATATATAAATATATGTGTAAACATATTTACATATATGTATATATGTACATATATAGTTTCTTTTTTAAACTTTAAGTTCTGGGATACACATGCAGAACATGCAAGTTTGGTACATAGGTATACATGTGCCATGGTGGTTCTGCATGCCTATTTCAAAACCTCTCATGTATCCCCTAAATATATACACCTACTATATACCCACAAAAAATTTAAAAAGTAATTTAAAAAATTAAAAATAAAAACAAGCTAAAATTTATAACAACAACAAAAAAAAGAAAAATGTCTTCACCATTGAATACCCAGAATGACCCAATACTATGTTTGGATGTAATCTGAACCAGTATTTAACGGAGGTAGAATTTGGGTGACTAATGTAATTATAAAAATTTTAAATAAAACTAGCATCAAAAATTTACTAACATCTTCAATCCTTTTATACTAAAACAAAGTCGATACTTTATGACACAAAATGCCACCACTGATAATTTATTTTTAAAACATTTTTTTTTGCATGAACATTAAGTGCTTACATAAAGCATCGCTACTTGTCTGTACGTGAGTCTATGAAAAGATGACAGGTTTGACTCTTGTTTAGGGAAAAACACAACAGAAACCCAAAGATCTCAAATTTAAAGGCCAAGATGAAAAAAATCACACATGACAGGAGTATAAATGACAATTCTGCACAGAAAAGATTCATATAACAACTGAGCTCGTAGTACTTCACCCTAGATGGCAAATCACATAGCCTCGTTTCCACATGACAAGAAAATTACTCCATCTGTAAATAATGCCTGTTCTCTGTGGTTCTAAAAACTGTGGCAGGTGAGAATTTAAAGTTTGGGGTTATTACGTTATCAACTCATAAGATGTCAAAACTGAGAGAGTCTTTAGAGAAACTTGCTTTTTTAATTTTTATTTTTTGATGGAGAACATGAGAGAGAGAGGAGAGAAAAAAATAATTTGAGGAATTCCCCCTTGGTCAGAGAGAAAGCCAATGTGTTAATTACATAATAGTTACTTATATGGCCTAATTGTTTTTATGACAATCTTCAAAGCTTATGTCTCTCCTTCCTTCTTTGTAGACTCCCATGGTTAGGATAAAACACGGGAGTAAGCACAGTTTACCTACAGATTCATTCTGATTGCTAACCATTTCCAAACTTCCACATGTTCTTTAACCGCTGAGTTCTAGCCTATAGAGAACATGCTTTCTTTTGTGTGTGTGTGATAAAACTATGATAAAACAACCTGATAGTTTTTAAAAAGGCAAAAACTTGAACAGACTTTTCATCAAAGAAGATCAGCAAAAGACCAAGAAATTATGCAAAAAGATGCTCAATATCATTAGTCGTTAGGGAAATGCAACTTAAAATAATATACCACTGGGGCCTGGCACAGTGGCTCATGCCTGTAATCCCAGCACTTTGGGAGGCCGAGGTGGGCAGATCACCTGAGGTCAGGAGTTTGAGATCAGCCTGGCCAACACGGTGAAACCCTATCTCTACTAAAAATACAAAAATTAGCTGGGCATGGTGGCACACGCCTGTAATCCCAGCTACTCGGGAGGCTGAGGCAGGAGAATCACTTGAACCCGGGAGGCAGAGGTTGCAGTGAGCCCAGATCTCACCACTGCACTCCAGCCTGGGCAACAGAGTGAGACTCCATCTCAAAAACAAACAAACAAACAAAACAAAAAACACTGCATACTCACTAGAACAACTAAAATCAAAAAGACTGGTGAGACTAATTGTTGGTGAGGATGTAAAGCAACTGGAACTCATAAAAATTCCTGGTGAGTGTGTAAAATGATACAGCACTTTGGAAAACAGTTTAGCCATTTTTCTAAAGTAAAGCATACACTTATCACATATCTCAGTCTTTCCAAGTATTTACCCAAGAGAAAAATCTATGTGTATAATTTTACATAAATATTTATAATACCTTTATTCATGATAGCCAAAATTAGAAACATTGATAGGTGAATGAATAAACAAATTAGAGTTTACTTGTGTGATGGAGCACTTCTCATCAATAAAAAGAAGCAATCTACTGATAGATACAACAATATGTTTGCATTTCATAGATATTTGAGCAAAAGATGCCATTTGTATAATATCCTAGAATACACAAGACTAATCTATTTGACACAATCAGACCAGTGGCCACATGGAATAGGTAAATAGTTGGAAGAGATTGACTAAAAAGGGGTGCAAGGGAACTTTTTTGTGGAATAGAAATGTTCTATATCTTGATGATATTTACAAGGGTATGTACAATTGTTAAGAGTCACCGATCTGTATGTACACTTAAAAAGTGTGATATTATTTTTATTGTAAGTATATTATACTTCAATGAAGTTTACTTTAAAAATATACCTTTCCTATATCTCTGTTGCAGTGCCTTGAAGTAATGGATGTTCATTGCAATATTGTTCATAAGAGTATTAAATTGGAAACAAATTAATAATTCATCAATAGAGAGACAGTTAAATAACCTATGGCCATAAAAGACTGGAGGCAGGAATCATTGAAATTACTACAAATCAGCAGAAATATCTACTCATTTATTTGCAGCTAGTACTATGAAACTTAATTATCAATAGACATACATTGTACTCTGGTTATTCCACATTTACTCAGACTCATTCTCAATCCTTCTATTCCCTACATATTGTCCTGTGTAGTTGATGCTTAGGGGCAGCATTGCCCAGATTCTCTAGTCTGCTGGTTTCCTGTGGAGTTTATCTAACACAGCCATCAACAAGACATTGGAGTGAAAAGAAAGAAGTAGGATTATTTCTTCACCATTCCCTCCCTGCTGTGTTTCAGGGTTCTGGCAGTGGCTGTGGGCCCCTAAGACTGTAACTTATTCTGTTGGGCAGCCTCTCCTCCATGACTCCACCTCTTACTCTGTTCTGATGACCTTATTTACACCCTTATTTCTTTCCTGCCTACAGCCATAGCAGCTTCCTGTTTTGTTATATCTGGGTTTCATAAACTTTGCCTACACCTCTGTAAATAGTCCTTTTATTAAAGTCTCTTGAATTGCTCCATTTAAATGAAAATTTTGTTTCTTCCCAAGACAGATTAACTGTGATCTCACTGAAATACTCTCAGCTGCATATGACAGGTTTACCTTACGAATGTTAAAACAACCAAAACAAAGATGAATTGGGCTAAACAAATCTAAAAACAGATTACTTTTCAGTTGCTATCATTTGACCATTTTCCATCAAGCAATTTATAGAGACTTGCTACTAGACTTTTAATTTTACACCTTTGAAGATATCTTTAGAATGATACATGTGTTTCTAATATTGAATGGAATTTAACAAAATAATTCAAATATCTTTTGCACAGTTTTCTGAGCTATTTTAATTGGGACTTTGATTTTTCTATGATTTCTTTCTCTTCCTTTACTAAGGGTATTACAGAATTCAGTTTTGCAGCAAGACCGCCTGAGGGTCTACTATCATTTAGTACTTTTATAAAATTTAAGGTGAGGCCGGGTGCGGTGCCTCACACCTATAATCCCAGCACTTTGGGAGGGCGAGGCAGGCAGATCACCTGAGGTCAGGAGTTCGAGAGCAGCCTGGCCAACATGACGAAACCCTGTCTCTACCAAACATAACAAAAATTAGCTGGGTATGGTGGTGCGTGCCTGTAATCCCAGCTACTCGGGAGGCTGAGACAGGAGAATCCCTTGAGCCCAGGAGGCGGAGTTTGCAGTGAGCCGAGATTGTGCCACTGCACTCCAGCCTGGGCGACACAGAGAGTCAGTCTCAAAAAAATAAAAAATAAAAATCACAAAAATTAACTCAAGATGGATTAAAGATTTAAATGTAAGACCTAAAACCATAAAAACCCCAAAAGAAAACCTAGGCAATACCATTCAGGACATAGGCATGGGCAAAGACTTCATGACTAAAACACTAAAAGCAACGGCAACAAAAGCCAAAATTGACAAATGAGATCTAATTAAACTAAAGAGCTTCTACACAGCAAAAGAAACTAGCATCAGAGTGAACAGGCAACCTACAGAATGGGAGAAAATTTTTGCAATCTATCCATCTGACAAAGGGCTAATATCCAGAATCGATAAAAAACTTAAACAAATTTACAAGAAAAAAACAACCCCATCAAAAAGTGGGCAAAGGATATGAACAGACACTTCTCAAAAGAAGACGTTTATGCAGCCAAAAAACATATGAAAAAAAGCTCATCATCACTGGTCATTAGAGAAATGCAAATCAAAACCACAATGAGATACCACCTCATGCCCGTTAGAATGGCGATCATTAAAAAGTCAGGAAACAACAGATGCTGTAGAGGATGTGGAGAAATAGGAACACTTTTACACTGTTGGTGGGAGTATAAATTGGTTCAACCACCGTGGAAGACAATGTGGCGATTCCTTAAGGATCTAGAACCAGAAATACCATTTGACCCAGCCATCCCATTACTGGGTATATACCCAAAGGATTATAAATCATTCCACTATAAAGACACGTGCACAAGTATGTTTATTGCGGCACTGCTCACAATAGCAAAGACTTGGAACCAACCCAAATCCCCACCAATGATAGAATGGATAGAGAAAATGTGGCACATATACACCAGGGAATACTATGCAGCCATAAAACTGATGAGTTCATGTCCTTTGCAGGGACGTGGATGAAGCTGGAAACCATCATTCTTAGCAAACTAACACAAGAACAGAAAACCAAACACCACATGTTCTCACTTACAGGTAGGAGTTGAACAATGAGAACACATGGACATGGGGAGGGGAACATCACACACCAGGGTCTGTTGGGGGTTGGGGGGCTACAGGAGGGATAGCATTAGGAGAAATACCTAATGTAGATGATGGGTTGATCGGTATAGCAAACCACCATGGCACATGTATACTTATGTAACAAACCTGCATGTTCTACACATGTGCCTCAGAACTTAAAGTATAATAATAATAAAAAAATTAGGCTGAATAGCCTGATAAGTACACCACCATTTTAATTTTTTTAAAAAACAGGTGGCACCCAACTTTCTTAAATGTGTTTATTAGGTATAAATCTGCCTTCCCTAGTTTGGACAGATTTCCTCAAAACTTTTTGAAGGATTTTGCACTGATAAAACCTCTTATACTCAGTAAACAATTGATTTAGACATTGCTAAAATATTAAACTGACCACTTTTCACTTGTTCTTCTCTGTCCTTTGCTAAATAACACAGTAATATATGTGTGTTATTCTCTGTTAGCTCTGAGCTAAAACTCAGAAGGAAGCAATGCCAAGAACTGTGATTACAGATTCCAAGTGAAGAGGCCACTATTGTCAAACATTTCTTCCTTGACTGGGAAAGATGAGAAGTCTATCCTGTTTAATATAATCACTCAAGTGATACTACACTGGATAATGAAAAATTGCACTTTATTTGGAATCAGAACATCTACCCATATTAACAGGAGCAAGAGCTATCTTTCTAGGACAGAAACTTGGAGCAACCTTCAGGTATTCAGCAACATTACCTGTGCAGATGTTGACAATACAGTCAAAGCTACCTGGCATTTATGAAAATCAAAATTGATTTTGTACTAAACCAAGAGCCTACGAAGACTTCACTTCAATGGATGATTTCTTTTGATTAGCTATATCGTTAGTTTTGGGAGTATGGGAGGTGATTAGCTTTGCTCAAGGAAGACGAATCCCTATTGTGAAAGGACAAGGAGCCTTTCCTCCTTTTGGCTGTGACACCAATCAGCTCTAATGTGAACTGTCATTCTTCAGTGCCCTGTAATTTTCCTAAAAGCCTCAGATTGGAAAATGCTGCTCAAACTGACAGCTTCTTTCTCTCCTTGTGTACTTGCACAGCAGGCAGATGTAGAAGTGACAGAAATGTGTCCTGTTTCATTACTTAATCTTTTTGATGGATATTGTGCTCAAAGAGCCTATCTCCTTATTCTACAGTTAGAGAAAGGCCCTCTTTGCTGTCATGGTTACATGTCAGTAGTGGAATTTTAAATAAAAATACATTGAAGTTGGTGAGAGCTTTTCTGCAATCTCCGTCTAATAGTGTCCCTGTCATTGATAGCTCTGCAGAAGGAAGTCTGTGTCTATTTCGAAGTGTTCAAACCAGTTTTCATAAAGCGATTAAGAAGTCGTTGGATGATCATGAAATGTATAAACTTCAATTGTTTGAGAATAAAATTGTCTTTATTCATTGTCTTCAGTTAGTATCTTATTTTTTGTTATTCTTCAGAAAATATTAACTATTTCAGTAACTATTTCCCCAGGGAGCTCAATTAATTCTCGTTTATTATTATTTTAAACCCTAAGTTTTTTTACAAAAATGTGGCATTCACTGAAACAGCATTCTATATACTGTTAACCAATTTACCCTATCATTTTTTTGTATAACACTATCTCTTAGACAACTTGCTCTAGTTACTATCTAAAATTCAATGAAGATAAACTTCACCTTATGTTTAACAGACATAAAATTACAGTCAATTTTGACATGATGAGTCTAATCATATTTCTGTTTAGGTTAATATTTTTTAATTAATTTATTTGAAAGCATGCAGCATGGCAAAATTATCTTGAAGTATTTCTGAAGTTATGCTTATTGCATCACCTGTAACTTAGTATTCAGCATTTATAAACTACTATTAAGCACTCACAATATTCAAACTTTTAGTACTGTCCATCAAGTTCCTTTGAAAATGAACACATTAATCCAATTTTAGACAGGAAAAAGTGAAGGAGAAAGATTTTGGAAAGTTGTAGGTTCCAGTAAGTGTTTATATTGTAAATACTCCTGTTTATATTTGTGTTTATATTGTAAATATATGTGTTTATATTGTAAATAGTTCTGTTTATATTTTCACTGTAATGACTGTAGCATTTTATTTTGAAAAATGAAGTTTCTGAGAAGAAAAAGTAATATGAGTCCAATGATAACTATTGCTCCTTTGCAAATAGACTATATAGCTATATTATGGTAAGTATATTGCAATATTAAGAATTTATGCTTTTGCTTGAGCCACATAAAATACAGTTAAAAAAGAATATAGCTTCGGTGATCTAATAAACAAAATCTTCCAAACTTGAATGCAGATAAGTATTTTTTTGCAAAAATGGCAAACACTTCCAGATAATTATTTACACTTTTACTTTTAATTTTTTAATTTTTAAAGATAATGTTATATTCTGTTTTTTTGGTGGTTAAGACATCTTATTTGTGTGAGAGATGTGTCCTGACCAACCTGGGTAGTAATTATATAATTCAGCTAGTCCTAACAATGTGTGTTACAGACTTCCAGTGGTCAGAGCCCCGTTTCCCTAGATTTTATGAATATACATATGTTTGGAATGCTGAGACATGCCAGTCAGTCTTGATTACTTTGATCAGCCTCCTTCTGTTTCTTGTGGAGGGGTGGGTAAATTGGAGTGGGGAGAGAGGCATTTTTTCAACAACTTCCATAAGCTTCAAATTAAGACACATTGCCTTCTCTCTTTAATAGACTTCTTGTAAGGGTAATCAATGAGCTAGATTCTGACCTATGGATTACTCTGTAAAACAGATAGGAGTGTGTGTGTGTGTGTGTGTGTGTGTGTGTGTTAAACATCAGCACTTTGGAAGGCTAAGGCGGGAGGAAGGCTTGAAGCCAGGAGTTCAAGACCAGCCTGGGCAACAATGCAAGACCACCTCTCTACAAAAAATAAAATAATTGCAGTTATGGTGGTGCACACCTGTAGTGCCAGCTATTCAGGAGGCTGAGGTAAGAGGAAAGCTTAAGCCCAGGAGTTCAAGGCTGCAGTGAGCATGATAGTGCCACTGCATTCCAGCTGGGGTAACAGAACCGGACCCTGTCTTCAAGGAAACAAAAAACAAACCTCATAAGACATTGTTATAACTGGTTTATGTGGTTAATATTTATTTAGTTTACCCACCTGTTTACAATTTCATTATTTTTTACTCCATCCTGCATCTCTAAGATTCATTTAAAAACATGTTCTTCTACTTGGAGATCATTCTTTAGTACTTGTTTTAATGCAGTTTTGCAGGTGATAGATTCTCTATTTTTTCTATGGCATGAAGATATTTTGTTTAATTCTGAATGATATTTTCAATGGCATAAAAATCAATTACTTCCTTTCAACCCATTGAGGAGATAATTATATTTTTGTCTGATAAGAAGTCCACTCTTGATCTAATTACTGCTCTTTGAAAATGGTGTATCTGGCCAGGTGCAGTGGTTCACACCTGTAATCCCAGCACTTTGGGAGGCTGAGGCGGGTGGATCATGAGGTCAGGAGATCGAGACCATCCTGGCTAACACGGTGAAACCCCATCTCTACTAAAAATACAAAAAATTAGCTGGGTATGGTGGCACACACCTATAGTCCCAGCTACTCAGGAGGCTGAGGCAGGAGACTCACTTGAACCCAGGAGGTGGAGGTTGCAGTGAGCTGAGACAGTGCCACTGCACTCCAGCCTGAGTGACAGAGCGAGACTGTCTCAAAAAAAAAAAAAAAAAAAAAAGAAAAGAAAACAGTATATATTTTTCTCTAGCTAATTTTAAGATTATGTCTTTACATTTGATTATTTCTGGTTTCTGTTACGATATGTGTAGGTGTGGATTTCCTTGCATTTGTTATGCTTGGACTGCTTTAAATCTGTGGATGATGTCTTTCATCACATTTGGAATATTCACAGTCGTCATCTTCCCAAATATTGCTTGTACAATATCCTCTCTCTTTCCTTTTCTTCTGGGTCTGGAGATAAATGTATGTTTGCCCTTTTCACTGTATTATCCATGCCTCTTATTACCTCTCTTTGGTGCATTTCATTCATTTGTTTTTCTGTTCTTTAATCTAGATTATTTCTCCTGACCTACCTCTCAGTTTACTGATTCTCTTTTTAGCTATGCCTAACTAGTTGTTATACTCATCCATGAAGTTCTAAATTTTAGTTGTTAGAACTTTGCACCCTATAATTTCTATTTTGTTCATTTTCATCTCCTTTTTTAAAAAAAATATGCTAGGCATTTTTTAATATTTCAGTTTTCTTTTGAACTCATTGAATATGACCAACATAGTTATTTTTAAAGTCTGTTTAAAGTCTGTATCTATTAGTTCAAACATATGGACCAACCTCAATTGGTATGATTAATTGTCTATTGTTTCTGCTGATTTATATTCATCTTTTCTTTTTGTGTACCTGGTTATTATAAATGGGATCCAGGCATTTTATTTGGAAAAGTGCTTATAGAAATAATTTGAGGTTTGGGTAATGTGATTTTTTTCTGAAAAATATTTTGTTTGCTTCTACCATGCACCTTTGGGCACTGTAATCTCTAATCTGGTATTACCTTAATTCAATTTCAAAATTTTATCAAACTCCATGACTTGATATTGGGCCATAGTCCATATCGGGGATAGTTCACTTCTGATTTAGCCTTACTTCTAGAGTTAAGCCATTTTAGGTTCCAATCCAAGCACAGGGATTTATCAGTTTCTCCACTTTGGTAAAAACTGGCTTATTCTTCTGTCTTCCAAATTCCATGAAGCTGAGAAAAGTGTTGCTTAGTAACTGAGCAGCTTCTTTGGGAATCAACAGATGCCTCCAGGGAAGTATCTCCAACTGCTAGGTGCCTGTCTCTGCCTTTTCATCTTCTCCTGAATCTTGACCTAGTAAATCTTCAGTATCTTCTTATCTATATGATGCCAACAAGTTTTTTCTCATCTTTTCTATGTCATCTGGGTGAATGTTGGTCTGAGCTATCTGATTTTCAATTAGTGAAAGTGGAAGTCTCATATTTTTTCTCATGTGATCTTACAGTTCACATCATCTAAAAAAATGATATGAAAAGTATTGAAGCAGCCATGTCTATAGCAGATATAAAAACTCAATCTGGCTGGGCACAGTGGCTCATGCCTGTAAACCCAGCACTTTGGGAGGCCAAGGTGGGTGGAACACCTGAGGTCAGGAGTTTGAGACCAGGCCGGCCAACAGGTGAAACCCCATCTCAACTAAAAATACAAAATTAGCTAGGTGTAGTGGCACATGCCTGTAGTCCCAGCTACTCAGGAGGCTGAGGGAGGAGAATCACTTGAACCCAGGAGGCAGAGGTTTCAGTGAGCAGAGATCGTGTCATTTCACTCCAGGCTAGGTGACAAGAGCAAAACTAAGTCCTGAAAAAACAAAACAAAAAACCTCAATCTGCAGAAGAAGCCATAAGCAAAATGAGACAGATATCATGAGATCGGCAAAGAAGAAAGGACATGCCACTTCTGATATGGAGTCTCTTGTTCTCTTTCTGAGCTTATTTTTGCTGTGACACCTAATTGCACAAAGCATAGTGATATATTTTTTATTCTTCCATTAAATCTCTCCCATTGCACTTTTTTTTTTTTTTTGCAAAGACGGTATATGTAGGTTCTGTTACTTGTAATTTAAATAATTTTTACCAGAGCAAGACCATTTTCTGAATTGACTTTTTGGTCATTTGATCTATTGTTACCTCTATATGCATGCACAACTGGAAGTTTATTAAATCTTTTTGGTCCCAAAAATAAAATGCTTTTGTCAACTCAGTGGATTTCAGACAATCTTTGCTGAACATCATGCTATTATGTGATCTTTTTTCTAAGGGAAACTTTCACATAGAGGCCTCAAATGAGGCGATATAAAATGCCTTTGAAAAGTCCCAAGGAAAAGAAGCATTATAAATCTCTCCAACCCTTGATTCATGCTACATTGTTTGTGATTAACCACACAAGGAAGTGTCATGAAGTCCATAGTGGAATTATCTTCTTGGAAGAGCATTTTACAGAATGTCCCACTACAGGATTTTAGAGATCTCTAAATCTGAGTTTTCCTATGACTTGTGAAAATAGACTTTAAAAAAAAAAACCTGCGTTGCCGGGGGCTGGGGGTGGGTATTTTATCTTAGTTTAAATGTGTACAGAGTAAGTCAGCTATACTTTTTAAAAATACTCTTCTGGGAAATAATAGGATTCATGCAGCAACTTTTAATGCCTGGAAAAATGATGAGAATTTTGTGCTTTTAAGTAGAGATTTCAGAAAATGATTCCTTTTTTTCTATTTACTTGCAAAATCAAAAGTAACCCTCAATAGGGTCGAGGCAATTGAACGTGGGGGTTTTTGATAAGTAAAAATTGACAAAGCACAGTCCTCTCTTGAATTTGCAGAACTATGAGTTAGCAGACAAAATGTTTATCATCTACTTGGGAAGACAAATCATAAATGCATGGAATAACTAATAACAAAGGCAGTATTTATTATGCATTCAGAATCCCGTGATTATACAGTAAAATCTAAATTGCATTCAATGGAGTGAGAACAGATGGAGTGTTAACCGTGTGGAGTACTATTAAGAAGACCAAGAAAAACTTTGGGAAAGATGATAATTATGACCTGGGGGTTTCTCAGAGGGAAATGTCCTATGGTAAGGGGAATTAAGAATTAAGCCAGGTGTGCTTCCCTCCAAAGATACAATGTAAACAAATGATTTAACCATTTTTAAATTAAAAATAACAGCAAACAAAATACAAAGTGTGAGTGGCTTTCATGAAAAAGTACAAACTGAGAAAGCCCAAGATGGGAAAGACAGTAGAAGAAATGCTGCTCTACAGGATTTGAGTGTAAACCGTAGAAAGTACAGTGCCTCCTGAGATGAACATCGTGAGGAGTAAATAGAGATGCTATTCTCAGCTCGAAACACCTTTGAACTGAACATTTGTCCTTTAATCAGATTTTTCCGGTCACCTTACACTATAGTCTAAGTTCTTCTCTTTCTCTTTTTGACTGCCATAATCATTAGCAATTTGAGGGAAACTTGGATTTGAGGATCATGTCCAATCTTCTAAATAAAAAGGACGGTTTGGCAAGTAGCCCGTCTACCGAGCTTACGCTAAACTTGGTAACAAAGTCTCAGAAGGTGGAAGGGGAGAAAGGAAACTAACATTCTTTCCCCAGTTGCCTTGCTGGGGCCAGTGGTTCTCAATGCCCACTGCATAACACAATCACTTACAGAGTTTTTTTGCATATAGAAGCCTGTTCCCCACTCCTCTAAAAGTGTGGGGGCTCACGCCTGTAATCCCAGCACTTTGGGAGGCCGAGACGGGCGGATCACGAGGTCAGAAGATCGAGACCATCCTGGCCAACATGGTGAAACCCCATCTCTACTAAAACTACAAAAATTAGCTGAGTATGGTGGCGGGTGCCTGTAGTCCCAGCTACTGGGGAGGCTGAGGGAGGAGAGTCGCTGGAACCTGGGAGGCAGAGGTTGCAGTGAGCTGAGATCATGCCATTGCACTCCAGCCTGGGCAACAGAGCAAGACTCCATCTTAAAAAAAAAAAAATCTAATTAGGTAGCTCTGGAAGGGGGGACAAGAAATGACCATGGGCACTGATCTTAAAAAAAAAAAAATTCTAATTAGGTAGCTCTGGAAGGGGGGACAAGAAATGACCATGGACACTGACCAGCACTGTTACAAACAAATCATCAGTAGTTCTCATGAGCAGCCGAAGTTAAGACCTACATTTTAGGTTCAAAAAAGTGGAAAAATACTATTTGAAAAAGGGTTACTTTTTTTGACAAATCCCTGTTATTTTTCCTTCTTTGAATTAGATCCTTTGTTTTCTACTTTTTATACTTTCCATTAAGGTTTAATTGTAAGTCTGATAGATTGCAACCACTTGGACTTCTAAAACTTAACAAGGTGCCTTGAATATAGTAGTTACCCAATGAGTGTTTTAAGTGTTTGTTGAATGAGTCCTTCACATCTGATGTCAATATGTGAAAGGTTGCTTTAGGCTATCAACTTGACTGGATTAAGGGATACTCAGCTGGTAAAGCATTGTTTATTCTCAATGCTTCTGTAGGCTCTGAGCCTATCCCGCTTCTGCTGAAATGAATCTCAGGTGGTTTTGCTTTTGATTAAAATGGTTTGGCTGCCCCAGGTGTGCCTGTGAGGATGTTTCTAAAGGAGATTGGTGTGTGAGTCAATGGACTGAGTGGGGAAGATCCACCCTGAATGTGGACAAGCACCATCCAATTGGCTGGGGGCCTATATGGAACAAAAGGCAGAGGAAGGGTGAATTCTCCTTCTCTTCTGGAATCAGGGTGCTTTTATTTTCCTGCCTGTGGAACTCAAGGTTCTCCAGCCTTTGGACTCCTGGACTCATACCAGCAGCTCCTCCCAGCTCTTGGGCCTTCAGCCTTGGACTGAGAATTACACCATTAGCTTCCTTGGCGCTGAGGCCTTTGGACTTAAACTGAGCCACGCTACTGGGTTTTCTGATTCTCCGGCTTGCAGACAGCCTACGGTGGGACTTCACAGCCTTCATAATCAAGTGAGTCTATTCCCCTAATACATTTCCTTTTATATGTCTATGTATACTATCAGTTCTGTCTCTCTAGAAAACCCTGACTAAAATAACATGGATAGATATTATTGCTTTCAATTTAAAGTTGGGATACTGGAAAGCTTGAAATTCACTTAGAGAATTACTAGAAATAGCCCTCAGGATTTTATGTTTAGTTGAATATAGTATTTTCACAGATATCAGTTTACCTATCCTAATTAACAGGCATCTATCAACCAAAATAGTGACAGTAGCATCTATCATCTTGCCCTTACAGGCTACGTAAGGGGAAGTTGGAAAGTCACCAGTTTTAAGCCATAATTTGTCTTAGGCCAGCCCTAAAGTAGGTGCTTCAGATGGATGCACCAAGCATTTGCTGAGTGTCTTCTTCTGCCATCTTCTTCTTAAACATCACATTGCAGGGTACGATGGTAGTTGGCAGTTTTGTTTTTTTGTGTTTGTGTGTGTGTGTGTTTTTGTTTTTTGTTTTGTTTTGTTTTGTTTTTTGAGATGGAGTCCCGCTTTGTTACCCAGGCTGGAGTACGGTGGCTGGATCTTGGCTCACTGCAACCTCCGCCTCCCAGGTTCAAGCAATTCTCTTGCCTCAGCCTCCCAGCTACCTGGGATTACAGGCAAATGCCACCACGTCTGGCTAATTTTTTTGTGTTTTTAGTGGAGACGGGTTTTAGCCATGTTGGCAAGGCTGGTCTTGAACTCCTGACCTCAAGTGATCCACCCACCTCGGCCTCCCAAAGTGCTGGGATTACAGGCGTGAGCCACCACGCCCAGCCGTAGTTCAGTTTTTGAAACATAAAATTCAAGCAGATGAATGGACTAAAAATAAACCTGGACATGCTACCATCTTCTCTTTATTCCCATCAACTTTAGAGCATTTTAACCTTATGCCCTGGAAAATAACTAGATTGGCCCTCTCCTTGCCTCTGTGTGGAAAATCTAATGAGAAAACTCATTAATACTTTAAATATGGATATAATTAGGCTTACAAGTCAGCATCTGATATGAGGAAAATTCATGCCATGTTGATCTGTCTATAAAATGAAAATAATGTAAAAAGTCTTCAAAAAGGCGATCAGTGTTCTCTGCTGTAAGAACATTAACTTTACTAAGGGTGTCTGTTCATCTTAAGTGTTAATTTCTTCTATAATTTTTGGTTTGATTATTCATAGTCACACTAAATTGAATTTGGGTATATATATATTTGTAAGGCATCTGCTAGTAAGGGTGACTTTTAGACATTGGTACAGAATCTACCCTCAAGGGGAAAAAATGTACAATTTGAGGACAATCCAAAATTTAGCATAGAAAATAGTGTTCTGCCACTATGTTTGAGATGAAGACATGTGCTTGAAATAAACCAATCATGTATTTTGGTTGTTCACAATGGGTGTGGGTGTGTTTTAAAGGGCAGGTGCCCTCTACTAGGTAAAAGTAGGCAACAACTTCAGGTCTCCTCCACTACTTTCCTACTAGATGGCATGTTACAAAGAAAGCAAGATTTAGACTACATTTTGTTACAGTACAAATATTTATTAGCAATAAGGCTAATAACAGGTCCCAGAGCACCAGAGCAGATTCAACCTTTTCTTTAAGATCTGTGAATTTTGGTTCTATGGCTTTTTTTTTTTTTTTTGAGACGGAGTCTTGCTCTGTCACCAGGCTGGAGTGCAGTGGTGAGATCTCGGCTCACTGCAACCTCTGATCTCGTCTCATTGCAACCTCTGCCTCCCGTGTTCAAGCGATTCTCTTGTCTCAGTCTCCCGAGTAGGAGGGACTACAGGCGTGCGCCACCATGCCCGGCTAACTTTTGTATTTTTAGTAGAGACAGGGTTTCACCATGTTGGCCAGGACGGTCTTGATCTCTTGATCTCATGATCTGCCCGCCTCAGCCTCCCAAAGTGCTGGGATTATAGGCATGAGCCACCATGCCTGGCTGGTTCTATGACCTTTTTAAAAAATAATTTTTTTAAAATTAATTTTGAAAAAGTGTTATATACATACATTTCTGTTCAATGTTGCAGCTACTGTTCCTCCTGACAAGTTTGTCATTTAAAAAAATATCTTCTTAAAAGAAAAAAAGGGATACACGTTCAGAATGTGCAGGTTTGTTGCATAGGTATACGTGTGCCATGGTGGTTTGCTGCACCTACTGACCCATCATCTAAGTTCCTTCCCCTCACTCTGCAGTCCCCAACAGCCCCTGGGGTGTGATGTTCCTCTCTCTGTGTCCATGTGTTCTCATTGTTCAACTCCCACTTATAAGGAAGAACATGTGGTGTTTGGTTTTCTGTTCCTGTGTTAGTTTGTTGAGGATGATGGCTTCCAGTTTCATCCATGTCCCTGCAAAGGACATGATCTCATTCCTTTTTATGGCTGTATAGTATTCCTTGGTGTGTATGTACAACATTTTCTTTATCCAGTCTATCATTGATGGGCCTTTGTGCTGGTACCATGTCTTTGCTATTGTAAATAGTGCTGCAATAAATATACATGTACATGTGTCTTTACAGTAGAATGATTTATATTCCTTTGGGTATATACCCAGTAATGGGATTGCTGGGTCAAATGGTATTTCTGGTTCTAGATTCTTGAGGAATCGCCATACTGTCTTCCACAATGGTTGAACTAATTTACATTCCCACCAACAGTATAAAAGCATTCCTAATTCTCAAGAGCCTCACCAGGATTATTGTTTCCTTACTTTTTGATAATTGCCATTTTGATTGGCATGAGATGGTATCTCATTGTGATTTTGACTTGCATTTCTCCAATGATCAGTGATGTTGAGCTTTTTTTGTGTGTGTTTGTTGGCCACATAAATGTCTTCTTTTCAGAAGTGTCAGTTCATATCCTTTACCCACCTTTTGATGGGGTTGTTTTTCTTGTAAATTTAAGTTCCTTGTAGATTCTGGATATTAGACATTTATCAGATGGGTAGATTGCAAAAATGTTCTCCCATTTTGTAGGTTGCCTGTTCACTCTGATGATAATTTCTTTTGCTGTGCAGAAGCTCTTTAGTTTAATTAGATCCCATTTGTCAATTTTGGCTTTTGTTGCAATTGCTTTTGTGTGTTTTTGTCATGAAATCTTTCACATCCCTATGTCCTGAATGGTATTGCCTAGGTTTTCTTCTAGGGTTTTATGGTTTTGGGTTTTACATTTAAGTCTTTAACCCATCCTGACTTACTTTTTGTTTAACGTATAAGGGAGTGGTCCAGTTTTAGTTTTCTGCATATGGCTAGTCAGTTTTCCCAGCACTATTTATTAAATAGGAAATCCTTTCCCCATTGCTTGTATTTGTCAGGTTTGTTGAACATCAGATGATTGTAGATGTGTAGTGTTATTTCTGAGGTCTCTGTTCTGTTCCATTGGTCTATATGTCTGTTTTGGTACCAGCACCATGCTGTTTTGGTTACTATAACCTTGTAGTATAGTTTGAAGTCAGGTAGTGTGATGCCTCTAGCTTTGTTCTTTTTGCTTAGGATTCTCTTGGCTATACTGGGCCTTCTTTGATTCCATATGAAATATAAAGTAGTTTTTTCTAATTCTGTGAACAATGTCAATGGTAGTTTGATGGGAATAGCATTGAGTCTATACATTACTTTGGGCATTCACAATATTCTTCCTATCCATGAAGATGGAATGTTTTTCCACTTGTTTGTGTCCTCTTATTTCCTTGAGCAGTGGTTTGTAGTTCTCCTTGAAGAGGTCCTTCACATCCCTTATTAGCTGTATTCCTAAGTATTTTATTCTCTTTGTAGCAATTGTAAATGGGAGTTCATTCATGATTTGGCTCTCTGCTTGTCTATTTTTGGTGTAAAGGAATGCTTGTGATTTTTCCACATTGATTTTGTATCCTGAGACTTTGCTGAAGTTGCTTATCAGTTTCAGGAGTTTTTGGGCTGAGACAATGGGGTTTTCTAAATATAAAATCATATCATCTGCAAACAGAGACAATTGGACTTCCTCTCTTCCTATTTGAATACTTTTTATTTCTTTCCCTTGCCTGATTGCCCTGGCCAGAACTTCCAATACTATGTTGAATAGTTGTGGTAAGAGGTCATCCTTGTCTTGTGCCAGTTTTCAAAGGAATGCTTCCAGCGTTTGCCCATTTGATATGATATTGGCTATGGGTTTGTCATAAATAGCTCTTATTATTTTGAGATATGTGCCATCAATACCTAGTTTGAGTTTTTAACATGAAGAGATGTTGGATTTTATCAAAGGCCTTTTCTGCATGTATTGAGATAATCATGTGGTTTTTGTCTTTGGTTCTCTTTATATGATGGATTACATTTACTGATTTGCGTATGTTGAACCAGCCTTACATCTCAGGGATGAAGCTGACTTGATCCTTGTGCATAAGTTTTTTGATGTGCTGCTGGATTAGGTTTGCCAGTATTTTATTGAGGATTATTGCATCGATGTTCGTCAGGGATATTGGCCTAAAGTTTCCTTTTTTTGTTATGTCTCTGCCAGGTTTTGATATCAGGATGATGCTGGCCTCATAAACTGAGTTAAGGAGGAGTCCCTCCTTTTCAGTTGTTTGGAATAGTTTCAGAAAGAATGGTACCAGCTCCTCTTTGTACGTTTGGTAGAAATTCAGCTGTGAATCTGTCTGGTCCTCGGCTTTTTTTGGTTGGTAGGCTATTACTACCTCAATTTCAGAATTTGTTATTGGTTATTCAGGGATACAGCTTCTTCTTGGTTTAATCTTAGGAGGGTGTATGTATCCAGGAATTTATCCATTTCTTCCATATTTTCTAGTTTATTTGCCTAGAGGTGTCTATAGTATTCTCTGATGGTAGTTTGTATTCCTGTGGGGTCAGTGGTGATATTTTCTTTATCATTTTTTATTGTGTCTATTTGATTCTTCTCTCTTTTCTTCTTTATTAGTCTAGCTAGCAGTTTATGTATTTTGTTAATTTTTTCAAAAAACCAGCCCCTTTATTCATTGATTCTTTTGGAGGGATTTTCATGTCTCTATCTCCTTCAGTTCTGCTCTGATGTTAGTTATTTCTTGTCTTCTGCTAACTTTTGGATTAGTTTGCTCTTGCCTCTCTAGGTCTATTTATTATGATGTTAGGGTGTCAATTTTAGATAGTTCTAGATTTATGATGTGGGCATTTAGTGCTATAAATTTCCCTCTTAACACTGCTTTAGCTGTGTCCCAGAGATTCTAGTAGGTTGTCTCTCCGTTCTCATTGGTTTCAAATAACTTCTTGATTTCTGCCTTCATTTCACCATTTACTCAGGAGTCATTCAGGAGCAGGTTGTTCAATTTCCACATAATTGTGTGGTTTTGAGTGAGTTTCTTAATTCTGAGTTCTAATTGGATTGCACTGTGGTCTGAGAGACTGTTACTTTTTCAGTTCTTTCATATTTGCTGAGGAGTGTTTTACTTCTGATTATGTGGTCGATTTTAGAATAAGTGCCATGTGGCACTGAGTAGAATGTATATGCTGTTGATTTGGTGTAGAGAGTTCTGTAGACGCCTACTAAGTCCACTTGATCCAGAGCTGAGTTCAAGTCTTGAATATCCTTGTTAATTTTCTGTCTCGTTGATCTAATACTGACAGTGGGGTGTTAAAGTTTCTCACTGTTATTGTGTGGGAGTCTAAGTCTCTTTGTAGGTTTCTAAGAACTTCTTTCATGAATCTGGGTGCTCCTGTATTTGGTGCATATATATTTAGAATAGTTAGCTCTTTCTATCGAATTGTTCCCTTTACCATTATGTAATACCCTTCTTTGTCTTTTATGATATTTCTGGCTTAAAGTCTGTTTTGACAGAGACTAGGATTGCAAACCCTGCTTTTTTTTTTTTTTTTTTTGCTTTCCATTTGCTTGGTAAATTTTTCTCTATACCTTTATTTTTAGCCTATGTTTGTGTCTTTGCACGTGAGATGAGTCTCCTGAATACAGCACAATGATGGGTCTTGACTCTTTATCCAATTTGCTAGTTGTGTCTTTTAATTGGGGCATTTTTCTCATTTATGTTTGAGTTTACCTTTGCTATGTTTGAATTTGATCCTGTCATTATGATGCTACTTGGTAATTTTGCACACTAGTTGATGCAGTTTCTTCATAGTGTCATTGGTCCTTATATTTTGGTGTGTTTTTGCAGTGTCTGGTACTGGATTTTCCTTTCCATATTTAGTGCTTCCTTCAGGAGTTCTTGCAGGGCAGGCTTGGTGATAATAAAATCCCTCACCATTTGCTTGTCTGAATAGGTTTATATTTCTCATTTTCTTATGAAGCTTATTTTTGCTGGATATGAAATTCTGGGTTGAAAATTCTTTCCTTTAAGAATGTTGAATATTGGCCCCCAATCTCTTCTTGTTTGTAGATTTTCTGCTGAGAGGTCTGCTGTTAGTCTGATGGCCTTCCATTTGTAGGTGACCTGGCCTTTTTCTCTGGCTTTCCCTTGACAGTTTTTCCTTCATTTTGACCTTGGAGAATCTGATGATTATGTGTCTTGGTGTTAATGTTCTCATGGAGTATCTTAGCGGTGGTCTCTGTACTTCCTGAATTTGAATGTTGTCCTGTCTTGCTAGGTTGGGGAAGTTCTCCTGGATAATATCCTCCAGTGTGTTTTCTAGCTTGTTTCCATTCTCCCAATCTCCTTCTCGTACTCCAATCAATCATAGGTTTGGTCTTTTTATGAAGTCCCATATTTCTTGGAGGCTTTGTTCATTCCTTTTCATAATTTTTTCTCTAGTCTTGTATGCATGCCTTATTTCAGTAAGGTGGTCTTCAAACTCTGATATCTTCTCTTCCACTTGGTCGATTCAGCTATTGATACTTGTGTATGTTTCACAAAGTTCCTGGGCTGTTTTTCAGCTTCATTAGGTCATTTATGTTCCTCTCTAAACTGGTTATTCTAGTTAGCAATTCCTCTAAACTTTTATCAAGTTTCTTAGCTTTTTTGAATTGGGTTAGAACACTGAGCTCCGTTAGCTCAGTGTAGTTTATTACCCATCTTCTGAAGCCTACTTCTGTCAATTCATCCATCTGTTCCTCCATCCAGTTCTGTACCCCTGATGGAAAGACATTGCCATCATTTGGAGGAGAACAGGCACTCTGGCCTTTTGTGTTTTCAGCAATTTTTTGTTGATTCTTTCTCATCTTTGAGTTTGTCTAGTTTTTGAGACTGCAGACCCTTGGATGGGGTTTTTGTGGGGGCTTTTCTTGGTTGTTGTTGATTCTTGTTGTTGCTTTCTGTTTGTTTTTCTTTCAATGGTCAGGTCCCTCTTCTGTAGGGCTGCTGCAGTTTGCTGGGGGCTTTAGCCCCTATTCATCTGATTCACTCCCACACCTGGATATGTCTCTTAAGGAAGCTGGAGAGCAGCAAAGATGGGTGCCTGCTCATTCTTCTGGGACCTCTGACCCTAAGGGGCACCAAGCTGATGCCAATAGGCTCACTCCTGTATAAGGTGTCTGACAGCCTCTGTTGGAGGGTCTCACCCAGTTGGGTAGCACGGGGAACAGGACACTTTTAATGAAGCACTTTGTCCCTTGGTAGAAGGGGTGTGTCTTGCTGGGGGGAAACCCACTTGTCTGAGCTGTCCAGATTCCTCAGAACTACCAGGAGGAAAGGCTGTGTCTGCTGGCCTGCACAGACTGCAGCCACCCCTCCCCCTAGGGGCTTAGGCCCAGGGAGATACAGGTTCTGTCCCTGAGCCTCTGGCTGGAGTTATTGGAGTTCCTGAAGGGAAGTCCTGCCCAATGAGGAAGGATGGATCGGGGTCAGGCCTCAAGAGACACTCTAGTCTATGGCCTTTTAAGTACTTCATTGAAAACTTTTGCCTGAAAGCTTCCCTTCAATGCAAAACTGATTATTGTTTTTAAGAAGGTTCAGGTTAATTTTGGATTGGCTCAGGTGAATTTTGGATTGACTGAGGCAACAGAACACTCCTTTAAGAGGTGGGCATACAACTGAGTGGAATTCTAGGCCAAAAGATTTAATCCTAAGGTGGAAGGATGATGGACTCATCAGTTTCTTATGCTACCTTCATGCAGTCATAGAGGTATCAGTCCAATATTTCTAGGCAACCCATATATCATAAACACAGTTCATTTCATCAAAGAAATACTAATTTTAACATTTATACTGATTGATGAACTTGGGAATTAAGATAGTAGTATTGAAGCACTAATAGTAGCTGGGTTAGGAGTGTGGCCTTTTGATGAGGGTATTTCAAAGGTTTGTTAACCAGTTCTATAGTATGAATTTGTCATTAGAATCTCTTAAAAGTTAATTGTCTATAGTTACATAACTCGCAAATATGTAATGTTGTCTGTGATTAAGTGGATTCAAGCAAATTACATTCAGTCTATCAACAGGGTAAGAGTTTTAGAAGGCTAGATTTGGAGTTGATTTTAGATAAAATATGTTGTTTCAGCATTTACCTCGCCATGTTCCTTCCTCCCATAGAACCTGTAGAACACTCATGGGCCAGGAATGGTGGCTTACACCTGTAATCCCAGCACTTTGGGAGGCCAACGCGGGAGGATCATGAGATCAGGAGATCAAGACCCATCCTGGCTAACATGGTGAAACCCCGTCTCTACTAAAAATGCAAAAAATTAGCTGGGCATGGTGGCGGGGGCCTGTAGTCCCAGCTATTCTACTCTACTCGGGAGGCTGAGGCAGGAGAATGGCGTGAACCCAGGAGGCGGAGCTTGCAGTAAGCCGAGATCGCGCCACTGCACTCGAGCCTGAGCAACAGAGCGAGACTCCGTCTCAAAACAAAAACAAAACAAACAAAAAAACACTCACGATGCCATGTTCACATCCAGTGTAGTTTGCCTGTTCTCTGTACCCAACAGAGGCCAAAGATTATCCTTTTATCATGGGTTATTTTCTTAACCATGGGAGATTAAAAACAAAAACAGGCCGGGCATGGTGGCTCAAGCCTGTAATCCCAGCACTTTGGGAGGCTGAGGTGGGCGTATCATGAGGTCAGGAGATCAAGACCATCCTGGCTAACAAGGTGAAACCCCGTCTCTACTAAAAAATATAAAAAAAAGTAGCCGGGCGTGGTGGTGGGCGCCTGTAGTCCCAGTTACTCGGGAGGCTGAGGCAGGAGAATGGTGTGAACCTGAGAGGTGAGCTTGCAGTGAGCCAAGATCGTGCCACTGCACTCTAGCCTGGGAGACAAAGCGAGACTCCGTCTCAAAAAAAAAAAACAACTTCACTTGGTGTCATGTCTCCCAAAATGTCATAGGTTTTATGTACCAAGACCAGCGATTAAGCATGAAAAGACCTCCTTCTATAACTAGGAGATCTGTCAGAAGCCTGGTCTGGAATAGGATGTAAACTCCTCATTCTTCACCTGTGAGCAGGTCTTTGGAGGTCCTGAACTAACACGGATCAATTCACTACCAGTCACTGGCAGTTAGTCATTTGGACACAGCAATATGCTTCTTGGAATCCATCCAAATGCTTTCCCCAATCTCTTGCCAAATGATTCAAAAGCACTATAGTGCTGTTCTGGTTTGTTTACAAACTGCAGCCTACCAGGCATTTTTCTTTTAAATGTAACAGCTTCTATTGTCTCTAAAACATTAACCAAGAACAATGGGAGCAAAGAGTGAACTGCAGGCGGATGGAGCGGTGGGCTGGTAGCAAGCGGGGTCCCCTCCCCACCTCCTGCATGACCCTTCCTGGATCCATCCCTGGCTCTTCTCAGTCCCTAGTGCTTCATCTATATAATCAGCTCCTATCCTGGCTGAGAACATCTCCTCAGCAACCTTTCTATGCACAAACGGTGCGTCCGGAGACTTAAAAAGTTATATCTAATTTGAAGGCTTTCTTTTACCGGAACAAGACAATTACTGATTTCAGAAAGTAGTCTGTGAAAATAAAACATGGAACAAACACATAAAAATTTAGCTCATTTGTCTTAATTCCCAAATAGGATTGCAATGTAAGCCTACATCATGAATACCTCAGAACACAGTATAAAAACAACCTGTGCTTGTAACTCAAGCAGTTTGTTTGCAATATCAGAAAGGAAAAGGTTTTTTGGGGAAAATCGTTTACTGTATACATTTTTATTCATTATTTTCTTCCTGTTTTTACTACAAATGCAATTAAGTGCCATGGAATGTAGATATAGTGGTCTATTGCTATGACTAACACAGCAGCTTTAAAAACTATTATTTACTTATTTCGTGGTTATAAAAGAATATGTTCTCTGAGTAGAGAATTTGGCAAATAAATAGAAGCATAAAGAAAGATGTACAGGCCAGGCATGGTGGCTCATGCATGTAATACCAGCATTTTGGGAGGCCAAAGCAGGCGGATCACGAGGTCAGGAGATGGAGACCATTCTGGCCAACGTGGTGAAACCCCGTCTCTACTAAAAATACAAAAATTAGGTGGGTGTGGCGGCACGTGCCTGTAATCCCAGCTACTCGGGAGGCTGAGGCAGGAGAATTGCTTGAACCCAGGAAGCGGAGGTTGCAGTGAGCCGAGATTGCGCCACTGCACTCCAGCCTGGCGACAGAGCGAGACCCCGTCTCAAAAAAATAATAATAATAATAAGGATGTACAAATTGCCACATGGTTAACCTTCAGATGTGTTTCGTGATAGACATTTTTTTTCCATGATTACTGGCTGTATATTAATTTAGACTTACAGTCTCTCTCTATTATATAATACACATATGTATTTAGGTGTGTATAATGGCTTTATATGTCAAGTATTAATAGATATACTTTTTCTCATACTCTGTATTTATCCAATGACATTCCTCTATTAAGGGATTATCAGCAAAAGAAGCAGAGTACCAGAATGATTTTTTGATTGGAGTTTGGAAAAGACTGATAATAAGCTATCAGCTTTTTCTCCTTCTCGTACACCCAGTCTCCAGACCAGATGAAGATTCCCAGGTCTGAAGAAGAAAAGCAGCATGTAGATTTCCATCGGCCTGCTCTGTCTCACTGTTCCTCTGCTCCCACCACCTCAGTCAGTGTGGTAGAGCAGGCTGGGCTGAGGGCATGCGAGTGGCAAGTCCATCCCTGAGATAAGTTTGGGGACCCTGAGCTGAGCGTGTGCTCCTGCCTTTCGATAGTTAGCAGACTCATAGCTGTTTCCTGTGCTTTTGTGGTGTGGGAGCCACGGGACAGTAATCGTCACAAGGGATGTTAGGACAGAGTGATGTCTTGGTGTCCTTCATTGTCCCCAAAGGAAGACAGAAGAGCCGCTAGCCTTCCACATGCCTCAAAAATTGGCCATTTATGTAACCCAGGTTGGAGAGAACTCACTGACTTCAGGGCGATTTGGCATCCTCAGGAAATGACCAAAAAAAAAGGAGCCAGGGTGGGCCACTCAGCTGGCCTTGCTGAAGCAAATGAATGGTCAGCTCAGAAGGGGTTACAGAGGAAGCCGATCACCCCTGGAGTAGCAGGCCAGCACAAAATGAGTGGAAGTTGTGCACAGGCATTCGATAAACCTCTGGAGCCCAAGCATCAACTCCGGTGGAGAAGTGTTAAAGAACTGGGTTTTAAAATTTCATTGCTTGAGAAAAACACAGAAATTGACTGTGCTTACCTAGAAGCAACTATGTGAAATATTCTGCATTAGGCAGAAGGGAGGTTTGAGGCATACAGAAACAGAACAAGGGGTTTTGGACTGTATGATTATGAAATTTGTATTCATGTCATACATCTCCAAACAAAAACAAACCTCACTGGGAAAGAAGAGAATAAAATTTCTTGTGAGCTTTCTTCTAGGGACTATAGGTAGAAGAAGAAACTCTACCTAATATTTTCATATTGAACTGGCTAACAAGAATCTCTGAAGACAAAGCTTCTTTGTATTCTTTGTGTTATTGAGTGAATATACTTATTAAAGGCTTTTTGGTTCTGGACAACACTTAAGTGACTTTTTCTTTATGCAGAGGTGGGCTTATCTGAAATGGAAGAAGACAAGTTAGATCACTCTACAAAAGAAAGTCATAGAAAACTGTAATTTCCCTCTAATGGGTATCAGAGAATGGAAATTAGGACTATTGCAGAAGAGATAAGAGTTAAAAGGAGGAGAATAGTCTGGAGGGTGAAAATGAGCCCATCCTTTCACCCCTACCCCTACATCTTGGCCACAGATGTCAGCAGGTAGGAGCAAGATAGCTAGTGAAAAATTTCCGGGGCAAGTAAGGCTGAGGGGATTTATGAATGGTGGTAGTACATATTCGACACTCAGTGTTATTCTCTTTCCCATTTCCCTAAGGGAAACTTGAATTCTGGGTAATTAGCTGTTCCTCCTCAGGCACAGAATCTGGGACAGTTAATCAGCTTCCCTGTTCTGACTTATCAAAGGGCAGGCACGTGACCAAGATAGACCATTTGGAATTGTGGTTTTAGTAGAGTGAAAAGGATTGAAAATGGTTGGAGTTGATTCATTCTGGCACTAGTGCCCAATCCAGATGATCCTGCTTGTTTCTTAGCCCTGTGGAGCCTGCCCATTTCTAATTCTAGTTCACCAGCTTTCTCATCAGTTTTGTGAGCTCCTGACACTTCCAATATATTCCATTGGGAACCAGCATAATGTAAGAGACTAAGAGTATGTGTATATTTGAGACTGAATCCTGATTCTAAAACTTTCCATCTTGTGTTTCTCTGTCTATGAAGTGGCAACTTTAATGCTTCTTATGTCATAGGATTGTTCTGAGAATTAAATGGAGATGAAAAACTTAGAAAAGTACCTGCTATGAATCAAGTTTTCAATACATTTTAGCTAATGATATTAAATTAACTACAGTGGGTTTCTGTGGTTTACAGATACATAACTTATCACAGTGATACAATGATAATATCTAACTTTTCCCTGTTTGGTACATAATATACACATTTATGGGGGTACTTGTGACATTTTGATACATATATACAATATGTAATGATCAAATAGAGGTAATTAAGATATCCATCACCTCAAACACATCATTTCTTTGTGTTGGAAACATTCCAAATCTTACAGCTGTTTTGAAATATACAATACATTAATAAATATAGTCACCCTACTGTGCTAACAAACACTAGAACTCATTCCTTCTATCTTACTATATTTTTGTACCCACTAACCAACCTCTTTTATTGTCCCTACCCTCTCCAGCTTCTGATGGCCACCATTCTACTCTCTAACTCCATGAGATCAATGGTTTTTTAAAAAAATTTTAAGTTCTGGGATACCCTTTGCAGGACGTGCAAGTTTGTTACATAGGTAAACATGTGTCATGGTGGTTTGCTGCACCTATCAACCCATCACCTAAGTATTAAGCCCTGCATACACTAGCTATTTATTCTGATGATCTCCCCCACCCACAGGCCTCAGTGTGTGTTGTTCCCCTCCCTGTATCCATGTGTTCTCATTGTTCAGCTCCCACTCATAAGTGAGAACATGTGGTGTTTGGTATTCTGTTTCTGCATTAGTTTGCTGAGGGTGTGGCTTCGAGCTCTATCCATGTCCCTGCAAAGGACATGATCTCACTCCTTTTTATGACTGCATAATATTCCATGGTATATATGTTCCACATTTTCTTTATCCAGTCTATTATCAGTGGACATTTGGGTTGATTCCATGTCTTTGCTATTGTGAATAGTACTGCAATGAACATATGCATGCATGTATCTTTATAATAGAATAATTTATATTCCTTTGGGTATATACCCAGTAATGGGATTGCTGGGTCAAATGGTATTTCTGGTTCTAGGTCTTTGAGGAATTGCCACTGTCTTCCACAATGATTGAACTAATTTACATTCCCACCAACAGTGTAAAAGCATTCCTAGTTTTCCATAGCATCACCAGCATCTGTTGTTTCTTGACTTCTTAATAATCGCCATTCTGACTGGCATGCGATGGCATCTCATTGTGGTTTTGAACTTTTTTAGCTCCCACATGTGAGTGATAACATACGATATTTATCTTTCTATGTCTGGCTTATTTGACTAATCATAATGACCTCCAGTTTTAGCCATGTTTCTACAAATGACAGGATTTCATCCTGTTCTATGGCTGAATAATACTCCATTATGTGTGTATAAACCACATTTTCTTTATCCATTCATCTATTGATGGACACCTAGGTAAATTCCACATCTTGGCTATTGTGAATAGTGCTGCAATAAACATGGGAGTGCAAATTTCTCTTCAATATACTGACTTTCTTTTTGTTGAATATATACTCAGCAATGGGATTGAATGGGTGGTGAATAGTCAATATGAATTCTGTAGAGAAACAGATACATGTGGTTTAAGCATTAACAATGACATTATAAATGAGAGCTTTACAAGACAGAGCTGGGAGTTTCTTTGGTCCTCTGGGCTAGTCAGCTATCCCTGGAACATTGTTCTTGGTTCTGAGTGCTTCTGGGATCAAGAAAGCACCTAAGATAGCAGCTATCCATTGATGAGGGAACTTGGAATCAGACTGTACAAAAATATCAAATAGGATTGCATTTAGGTGCATGTAATACAAACCCTGTTCTCACATTCTTGGGGTGTGGCTCTTGTTCCCTTGGCCACCAGATGGTTGCTCCATCTATAGGCATGGCATCTGCATTTCAGGCGGTAAAGATGTGAGATAGCGGTGAAGGGCAGAAGGTACATCTGTTCCTTATTGAACAAGAAAAAAACCACAACTTTTTGGTCCACCTACCCCATAGGCATTTGCTTAAATCTCATTGGCCAGAACTAATGACCTTAGGAAAGACTTGCCTGCAAGTTCTAACTAAACTGAAATTAAGCTTTACTGTTAGTTCTGGCTAACTGTACAAGGAGGTGTGAGGAGGGGGATATTTTTAACTGGGCTTGTTGTCCTTTACGAAAATCAGAGTTGTGATAATAAAGAAAAGAAAGAGAGTGCTTATTGGGTAGGCAACTCACCATAAGTACTACAATGAGAAGCCAGGGAAGAACTGAGAAACTGAATCTATGGAGAACAAGAAAACACAGTATTTGAAGGTATCATTATAAATCCAGACATCGGTTGGATAGCTTTCTTTCACCAGCTCCCTCTTGTCTATCTGTTGTTTCTGTCCTTCAATTAATGCCTCAGCTTCTACCCCTAGTTCTGGAAAGACAGAATGAGATGGAAATGAAAGAATACATGTGAAAGTAGTTTTCTAAAAATGCTTGACTAACCCTACCAAGATGTATCTGGTTTTGGATTTCATTTGCTGCTACCTTAATTATCCAGTGATAGTCACAGATAGAATTTCTTAAGCACCTATTATAAGGCATAGATATTACTATTCTTAATTTGTTGGATAGGAAATTAATGTTTACAAAGGGTAAGTCTATTGGTGACACAAGAGGTGAATCTGGGATTTGATCTATCATCTGAACTACTTCGAGCACATGAGAGGTGCTCATGTTAAACACCTCATGCCTTACGCTCTGAGCTGGGTGCTGTAGTCTGCTTAAAAGCTCTGACTTTATTATTATGAATGCCCTATGCCAAAAGAACATTTCTAGAAGAATCCTGTGTTTCTTAACCTGCGGCCCTCATATTACAGGTAGTTTTGAAACAGGAAAGGTTCCTTTGTCCCCCTCGCAGGGCAAGCGATGGAGTGGTTCCCTTCTTCAGTGCTCTGCTGCTCAAACCTCTAGGGGAACAGGCAGACAGGCAGGCTATGGGGCTCTGGACCCCACGGCAGTGTCTAGGGGTGAATGTTTACAGCTCCTGAAGCCCCAGTGGGCGTGTGTTTCAGGGTGCTCTCTTTGCCGTCTATAGGCAGCTTGTGTTAACCAGGTCAATTAGACCTTCTATCTTGTCTCAAGGACAGAGGGCTTTCTGTATCCCGGGTTCTTGCCTTGGTGTACCGGAAGAATCGGATCACACGTGGGCTTGGAGAATGAGTGCAAAGTTTTATTGAGTGGAAGTAGCTCTCAGCCAATGGGGAAGCCAGAAGGAAGATGATCTTCCCTTGGACTTGGGCTGCTCAGTGGCCCTGGCTCTCAGACTGTCCTGGCCAAACTCTGCCTCCTCCCCCTGGTAAATGGCCTGCCAAAGTGTGTGCTCTTCTGCCGCTGTACTCTTCTGCCGGTGTGCTCCCCTTGACGTCCTCTTGATGTCCAGGAGCTTGTGTCTTCTTCCGTGGATCTGCTACTCTCAACATCCAGCCGCCTCTGTCTCTGCCTTGCTAGGGTCTCTAGGGTTTTTATAGGCCCAGGATGGGGGCATGGAAGGCCAGGGTGGTCTTGGAAAATGCCACATTTGGGCGGGAAGGCAGAGTGCCTGTCCGTGGGGGTAGAGCTCTAGCCAGGGACCACGCCCTCCTCACGCAGCACTTCCCTTCCCCATTTCCTATCATTTAAAGGGACCAGGCTCTTCCCTTCCCAGCACTCCTGCGTCAGTTTCATTATTTTAAAACATCCATGGGAGCTTTATATTTACCTATTATTACACTGCTGAGGGGAATGAAGTAGCATGTCTCTTTCCTTTTGATGTGAATCTCAGCAATTTTACCTATTAACACTGGGACTGAACAGAAAATGACTTGCAATTATATGTTGTCATCTAATTCAAAATGGAGAATCAAAGTAGTATTATTGAATCAATGTAATGTAGGTACTTGAGAAAAGAAGCATATAAAACTTGAGACTCCCAGGAGTCAAAAGATAGTATAGTCAGTAGAAAGTTTGGGGATAATCATAGCAACGAAACACAAAACCTGAGCAGGCTTCTCTTTAGTATATCATGTGGCAACATGAGTCATTCAGGGGCTGAAGTTCATCTATCTTTTTTTTCTTTCTTCCTTTCCTCTACCTCTTTCTTTTGTTCCAAGTTCTCTGTCACCCAACATCACCCCTCACTGGCTTTCTGGAGCTGGGCCCAGTCCACCTACATCACAGCAGGGATTTTATCAGTGGTAGCAACAGAATCCAGCCAGTGGCCGCTTGCTCTCACTCATTCCCTCAGACAGCGAGCATCTGCTGGATGGTTTTCTGAAATAATGTACCGTATTTTTTAAAAGGTCAACAATGCAGAGGCTAGCCATGCTGATTGTGGAAGCAGGATGCACAACAGGTAGTAATGAGACAGGGTTTTTCTTTCATCCAGTTTAACAAAGGTGGTTGTCCTCTAACTGTGATCTGATCTGAGATTGTTTTGTTTCCACGGTGAAAGCCCAAGTAGAAAGGGATTGCCACATATATACTAAGGAGGGACATGTGTCTAATGGGGGTAGCTTAATGCTGTATAAAGACCATGGTTTGCTTTTCCCGGTTCCGTCCTTTTCAGGACTCATATTTCAGTTTTCAATACCCACAAAAATACTATTACTCTCTAGGCAGTAATTTGGAGAAATGACTGGGTATTTCCCGGTAGTAGGGAGTTGGTGGGGGGAGCGGGTGATGTAAGAGCAGCCTGGGAATCAAGCACAAGTTAGCAGAGATGGAGATGATGTGGAAAGTGTGTTAAAGGCCTACAAATCTGTAGTTTTTAACTTCTATTGGGTGTAGAATCTAAATACAAAAGAAAACAATTGGAATTCTGGAACTTTGAAGATGAAAGGTCTTTAGAGATCTTTAAGTCCTCTTACGTTACAGCTGAAGCACAGAGATACACAAAGAAAAAGTGAGGGCCCAAGACTACAGAGCTGTTCAGTGGCAGCACCAGCCTCTGCCCAGTGTGGACCATAGCTCATAAGTTACATAGGAAACAGAGACAACAAATTATTCCTTGGAAAAGATACAAGGTGACCACTTTAGGCCTTGCCAAATGTGGGGGAAATGATTTGTGAAAATCTGGAAAGATCCTAAAAGGTCATTTAGTTCAGTCTCTGTCTTACTGATTTCAAAATGTTTAGTGTTTTCTGTAATTATTTTATTAAATTTTTAAATTTTGAGATGATCGTAGATTCACAGTAGTTGTAAGAAATAATGCAAAGAGATCTTGTGTATCCTTTGCCTAATTTCTTCCAATGGTGCTATCTTGCAAAACTATAGTAAAATGTTACAACCAGGATATTGGCATTGACATAATGAAAATAAAGAACAGTTTCATCACCAGAAGGAGACTTCCTATTGATGGTTCATAGTCACACACCTCCCTCCCTCCCCCAATCCCACCTCTGCCATAGACCGCTGGAAACCATTGATCCGTTCCTCATCTCTACTACTTCGTCATTTCAAAGATGTTATATAAATAGAACCATAAGATCTATAAGTAGAAAAATAAAATCCTAATCTTTGGAGATTCATCTTTTTTACTTGGTGTAATTTCCTTAAGATTTACTCAAGTTGTTTTGTGTTATCAGTAGTTTATTCCTTTTTTTTTTTCTGTGGAGTATTCCATGATATGAATGTGCCAAAGATTATTCACCCATCAAAGGACATCTAGGTTGTTTCCAATTTCTGGCTATTGTGAATAAAGCTGCTATGGACACTCATGTACTTATTTTTCTATGAACCTATCTTCATTTCTTTGGCATAAATGCCCAGGAATGCAATTCCTGGGTCATACAGTAGTTGCATATTTCAGTTTATGAGGAACTGCCGAACTTCCTTCCAGAGAGACGGTATCATCTTACATTCCTACTAGCAACATATGAGCAATCCACTTTCTCTACTTTGTCACTAGCACTTGATGTTGTCATTAATTTTTATTTTAACCATTTCAGTAGGTGTGTATTGATAGCTCTAGTGTTTTTAATTTGTATTTCTCTAAGGCTAATGATGTTAAACATACTTCATGTGCTTATTTTTTATCTGTAGCTTTGGGGCAAATGTCTATTCATATATTTTGCCTATGTTTCTGGTTGGATTTCTAAAAATTGTTTTTGAAAGTTTTTTGTATATTCTAAATACTAGTTTGTTGGAAATATGGTTGGCAAGTATTTTCTCCCAGTCAACAGCTGTTGTGCCTTTACATTCTCCTCAAGTGGTCTTTTGCAAAACAGAAGTTTTTGATTTTGATGAGGTCTAATTTATCAATTCCCCTTTAGTGTGTTATGTTTTGGAGTCAAACTGAAGATCTCAGTGTAGTCCTTTCTAGTCCAATGTCTCAAAGATTTTCTCCCATGTTTTTTCACTAAAAGTTCTATAGTTTAACATTTATGTTTAACATCGTGGCCAGGCGTGGTGGCTCACGCCTGTAATCCCAGTACTTTGCGAGGCCGAGGCGTGCGGATCACGAGGTGAGGAGATTGAGACCATTCTGGCTAACATGGTGAAACCCCGTCTCTACTAAGAATACAAAAAATTAGCCAGGTTTGGTGGCGGATGCCTGTAGTCCCAGCTACTTGGGAGGCTGAGGCAGGAGAATGGTGTGAACCTGGGAGGGGGAGCTTGCAGTGAGCCGAGATTGCGCTGCTGCACTCCAGCCTGGGCGACAGAGGGAGGCTCTGTCTCAAAAAAAAAAAAAAAAAAAAAAAAGATAGTGATATATTTTGAGTTGACTTGTGTAAGGTATAAGATTTACGTCAACTTTTTTTTTTTGCCTTCAGCATCATTCGTTGAAAAGGCTATGGTTTATCCACTGAATTGCTTTTGCACCTTTGTCAAAACTTGGTTGGACATATTTATGTGGATCTATTTCTGGGTTCTCTATTCCATTTATTTATGTGTCTAATCCTCTGCCAAGACTATATACTTTTGATTCCTGAAGCAATATAATAAGGCTTGAAATCAGGTAAAATGAGTGCTCTCACTTTAGTCTTTTTAAAAAGTGTTTTAACTATTATAGGGCCTGTGCCTTTTAAATAGATTTTAGAATAAGCTTGTCTATATCTACAAAACATCTTTCTGGGATTTGGATGGGAATTGCATTAAATCTACAGATCAATTTGGGGAGAATAAACATCATTACTATACTGAGTTTTCCAATCCATGAGAACAGTGTGCCTCTTCATTTATTTAGGTGTTATTTGATTTTTTTCAATCAGAATTCTGTAATTTTCAGCATACAGATACTATACATGTTAAGTTTATACCAATATAAGTATTCTACTTTCTTTGGCAAGATTAAAAATGAAAGTACATTTTAAATGTTGATTCCCATAAAAAATAGTATATAGAAACTCTTTGTTAGTATATAAAAATGTTGATTTATATATGTTAATCTTGTGTCCGGAGACCTTACTGACCTTGCCTATTAATTCTAGGAATTTTTGTAGATTCTTTGAGATTTCCTACATACAGTATCATATCATCTGCATTACAGACAGTTTTATTTCTTACTTTCCCATCTGTATATCTGTTATTTCCTTTTCTTGCCTTATTTCAGTTGCCAGAACATCCAGTATTATGTTGAAAAAGAGTAGTAAGAGCAAATATCCTTGCCTTATTCCTCATTTTAGAAAATATTGTATTTAGCTGTTCACGATTAGGTGTTACGTTAGCTATAAGAGTTTTGTAGTTACTATTTTATCAAGAAGATGTGGTTACTCTCTATTTCTAACTTGCTGAGAGTTTTTATCATGAATGGGTGTTAGATTGTGTTAAGTGCTTTTCCAGTGCCAATTGATACGATCATATTTTTTCTTCTTCTTTATCTGGTAGGTATGATAGTTTACATTGACTTTTTTCCAAATGTTGAACAAATCTTGTATGCCTGGAATAAATCCTACTTGGTTACGGAGTATAATTTTTTCTATACATGGTTGTATTCAATTTGCTGATATTTTGTTGAGGATTTTTGGTTCTAAGTTTATAAGAGATATGGGCTGATTTTCTTTTTTGTATTTTCATTTGGTTTTGGTGGCAGGGCAATGCTGGCCTCATAAAATGAGTTGGGAAATCTTACCTCCTCTTCTGTTTCTGAAAGATATTTTGTAAAAATCATGTTAATTCTTTAAATGTTTTATAGAATTCTCCAGTGAAACCATCTATACCTGGAGATTTATTTTCAGGAGATTTTAAATTACAAATTTAAATTTTTCAGTGATTGAAAGGGCTGTTCAGATTACTTACCTCATCTTGCTTGAGTTTTGCTAGTTGTGGTTTTGAGGAATTATTCTATGTCTTCCTAGGTGCCAAATTTATTAGCGTAAAGTTGTTCACAGTATTCCATTTAATAGCTGCAGGATTTGTGGTGATATCCCTTGTTTTATTCTGAATATCAATGATTTGTGTCCTCTCTTTTCATATTTGGCAATCTTATTAATTGTACTTTTTAAAAAGTTTTTTGTTATTTTTCTGTTTTCCTGTTTTCAAGTTCATTGATTTCTGCTCAATTATTTCCTTCCTTCTGCATGCTTTGGATTTTAATTTTTCTTTTTTTTTGTTTTAGTATCTCAAAGTAGTAACTTAGTTATTGATTTTAGATCTTTTCTTTTTTCTAAATTAAACATTTAATATCATAAATTTCCCTCCCAGTACTGACTTAAGTGCTTTCAACATATTTTGATATGTTGTATTTTTACATATTTTTTTCATGTCCCAGGATATGATCCTTTTTTTTTGTTTAATGTCCCAAGATAGTCTTTTTTGGTGAATAGTCCATGGTGTTCAGAGAAAAGAAAAAAAGTATATTGGGCTGATGTTGTGTGGCATATTCTATATATGTTAATTAGATCCTGATTGTTGATTGTGTTGATCAATTCTTCTATATCCTTGCTGATTTCCTGTCTGGTAGTTCTGTCAGTTTCCGAGGAGGGAGCTTGTGGTGGTTAACTATTTGTCCATTTCTCCTTTCAGCTGTTTCACTTTTTGCCACACGTATAGAGTCTCTGTTTCTTGTTTTTGTTTTTTGGTGCATACATGTTTTAGGATAGTTATATCTTCCTGGTGGGTTGGTCTTTTTATTATTGTATAATGATGCTCTTAGCCTGAAACAATCTTCTTCCCTCTAAAACCTACTTTATCTGATATTAATAGAACCACTGTTGCTTTGTTTTGTTTGCATGCAATATCTTTTTCCATCCTTTTACTTTCAACCTAATCATCCTTGAATTTTAAGAGTTTCTTGTAAACAGCATAAAATTGGGTCATGTTTTGTATCCACTACCAATCTGTCTTTTAATTGATGTAGTAGACCATTTATATTTAAAGTAATTATTGAATGTGTTAAGACATAAGTCTGCCATCTGATTATTTGTTTTCTATTTGTTCCCTCTGTTTCTTAATCTTTGGATTCTCTTCTCTTGCCCTGCTGTGAAATACTTGAACAGTGTTAGAGTTTTATCTTGATTTTATGTGTTGCATTGTATTACTTTGCATAAATTTTTTTTAGTGGTTCTGGGTATTGCAGTATACATATGTGACATCACAGTCTATTGGTATCAACATTTTATTACTTCAAGTGAAGTGTAGAAACTATTTGCTTTTAGGTTCCTCTACCTCCACATTCTTAGATATCATTGTTTATAATATCAGATGATTTTAAAATGTTTGTTTCAAGCATCACATATGATTTAGAAAACTCATAAGGAGATCTTGTTGTGCATACCCATATTTGTGCTCTTTTCATTCTTCTTACTTCCGTCCTGATGCTCCAAGTTTCCTTCTTTTATCATACCCTTTCTGTTTTAAAAACTTCAAAACAGGATATTTTTGTTAGTGACTATTTTTTGTTTGTTTTTCTTTATCTGAGAATGTCATTATTTCCCTTTAATCCTGAATGATGGTTTTGAATTCATTGTTGACAGTTCTTTTCTGATAGCACTTAAAAAATATTATCTCACTTCCAACTGGACTCTTTTTAGATAAGAAATTTGCTGCCATTTGAATATGTTCCCCTAGGTAACATGCCATTTCTCTCTGGCTGTTTTCAAGTCTTTTTCTTTAGCTTTAGTTTATAGAAGTTTAATTTTGATGTGTCTTGGTATAGATATCTCTGGATTTATCCTAGAGTTTTTTCACCTTCTTGAATCTGTGACTGGATTTTTCACCAATTTTGGAAAGTTTATTTATTTATTAGAATGCTCTTTCAGGGCCAATTTTCTTCTCTTCTCCTTCAAAGAAACCAATGATGCAAATATATTGGATCTTTCGTTATTGTCCCACAGGTTTCTGAGGCTTTCTTCATTTTTTTCAGTCTATTTTCACTGTTCAGATTGGATAAATTTCACTGATTGATCCTCAAGTTCACTAACCTTATTCTTTGTCATCTCCACTCCATTATTGAAACTATTCAGAAAAAAACTTTCTATAAATTTGCTATTGTATTTTTGTGGTTCTATAATTTCATTTTTTATAACTTTCTTTTTTTCTTGAGAATTTCTATATTTTCAATTGTTTCAAGATAATTTATAACTGCTTGTTAAGTCATTTTCATAATTGTTGCTTTAAAGTCCTTGCCAGATAAATCCAACATCTGATTCATGTTGGTGTTGTGTCCAGAATTGGTGGGTTCTTGGTCTCGCAGACTTCAAGAATGAAGCTGCGGACCCTCACAGTGAGTGTTATAGTTCTTAAAGATGGTGTGTCCGGAGTTTGTTCCTTCTGATGTTCAGATGTGTTCGGAGTTTGTTCCTTCTCGTGGGTTCGTGGTCTTGCTGGCTTCAGGAGTGAAGCTGCAGCCCTTCGCGGTGATTGTACGGCTCTTAAAGCGGCACCTCTGGAGTTGTTCATTCCTTCCAGTGGGTTTGTGGCCTTGCTGGCCTCAGGAGTGAAGCTGCAGACCTTCACAGTGAGTGTTACAGCACATAAATGCAGCACAGACCCAAACAATGAGCAGCAGCAAGATTTATTGTGAAAAGCAAAAGAACAAAGCTTCCACAGCATGGAAGCGAACCCAAACAGGTTGTCATGGCTGGCTCAGGCAGCCTGCTTTTATTCCCTTATCTGACCCCACCCACATCCTGCTGATTGGTCCATTTTACAGAGAGCTGATTGGCCGATTTTACAGAGAGCTGATTGGTCCATTTTGACAGGGTGCTGATTGGTGCGTTTACAAAACTTGAGCTAGACACAGAGTGCTGATTGGTGCATTTACAATCCTTTAGCTAGACACAAAAGTTCTCCAAGTCCCCATTAGATTAGCTAGACACAGACTACTGATTGGTGCGTTTACAAACCTTGAGCTAGACACAGGGTGCTGATTGGTGCATTTACAAACCTTGAGCTAGACACAAAGTGCTGATTGGTGCATTTACAAACTTTTAGCTAGACATAAAAGTTCTCCAAGTCCCCACCCGACTCAGGAGCCTAGCTGGCTTCACCTAGTGGATCCCACGCCAGGGCTACGGGCGGAGCTGCCCGCCAGTCCGCTGCATGCCTGCACTCCTCAGCCCTTGGGCAGTCTATGGGACTGGGTGCTACAGAGCAGGGGGCCCCGCCCCATGGGGAGGCAGCTGAGGCCCGGTGAGAATTCGAGCACAGTGTGGGCAGGCCGGCAATGCTGGGGGACCCAGCGCACCCTCCACAGCTTCTGGCCCGGGTGATAAGTCCCTCACTGCCCGGGGCTGGCGGCGCTGGCCAGCCACTCTGAGTGCAGGGCCTGTTGAGCCTGCACCCACCCACCCACACCTCTCCCTCTACACCTCCCTGCAAGCAGAGGGAGCTGGCTCCAGCCTCAGCCAGCCCAGAGAAGGGTTCCCACAGTGCAGCGGCTGGCTGAAGGGCTCCTCAAGCGTGGCCAGAGTGGACGCCGAGGATGAGGAGGCACCAAGAACGAGTGAGGGCTGCTAGCACGTTGTCACCTCTCAGTGTCCTGTTAGTGTCAGTTAATTGTCCTTTCACATTCAGGTTGTGATTTTCCTAGTTCTTGGCATGACAGGATTTTTGTATTATGTCCTGGATATTTTAGCTACTAGGGTACTCTCAACCCTATTTAAAAGTTTTGTTTATCAGGTAGTCACCCTATTTAGGTTTGTCATGCAAAGTCCTAGCCTACTTATAAAAGTACAGTCTTTTTTTCTTTGTAGTCTAGGTTCTATTGACAGTCTGATGTTTCAGAGCCTTTGCAGTGTTATTTTGGTTTGCTTGGTTTATCTAGTGTCACTGAGGTTCTCGCTGGTCCCTGCTGGTTTGCTTGAATGGGTAGGAGGAACTTTCCCAGGCCAGGCTATACCCTAGCTGAAGAGTGGAGTCTCTGGCCCAGGGAAATAAAAAGTGCCACCCAGGCAGGTCAAGATCTTGTTATCCTGGGATCCTCCTTGCTGGTGCTCTCAGCTGTGTGGTGTTTCTGGGTTATGGTGAGAAGTCTCAGGCCCAGCAGGAGAGGAGATAACTTTCCAGATGAATGAGGCTGCTTTTTGCAGTGTGATTTTGTACCTTTCTCATTTTATTACCAATGTCCTTCACTGGATTTGAGTTTTAGCTTGAAACAAAGAAATTAGAACTATTCAGCCTAACTTAGGCACCAGAAGTGATCTGAAGGTTTGAGTTTTAGGTTGCAGAAAGATTTTGAAATAGAAAATATATTTTTAGGCATTATAAAAAAAATCCAATACAAATTCTTACAAAGGAGTTATTATAAAATCAATTGTAATTTTAGTCTTTATTATTAATTTACAAGTGATACATTCTTTCAACAAGTCAGCTTTGTTAACATACAAATCAAAGATATTTATGTTTCAAAGCACAGGAGGACAAAATATTTTCTGAGCATTATAAACAGCAATTTATATATATATATATATATATTTGTTTGTTTGTTTTGTTTTTGTTTTTTTTTTTTTTGAGATGGAGTCTCGCTCTGATGCCCAGGCTGGAGTGCAGTGGTGCTATCGCAGCTCACGGCAACCTCTTCCTCCCAGGTTCATGCCATTCTCCTGCCTCAGCCTCCTGAGTAGCTGGGACTACAGGTGCCTGCCACCACATCCAGCTAATTTTTTTGTATTTTTAGTAGAGATGGGGCTTCACCATGTTAGCCAGGATGGTCTCAATCTCCTGACCTCATGATCTGCCTGCCTTGGCCTCCCAAAGTGCTGGGATTACAGGTGTCAGCTACCGCGCCTGGCCTATTTATTTATATTTTTGAGATGAAGTCTTGCTCTTGTCCCCTAGGCTGGAGTGCAATGGCATGATCTTGGCTCACTGCAAACTCCGCCTCCTGGGTTCAAGCAATTCTCCTGCCTCAGCCTCCTGAGTAGCTGAGATTACAGGCGCCTGCCACTCCCGGCTAATTTTTGTATTTTTAGTAGAGATGGGGTTTCACCATGTTGGCCAGGCTGGTCTCGAACTCCTGACCTCAGGTGATCCACCCACCTCGGCCTCCCAAAGTGCTGGGATTACAGGCATGAACCATCACGCCCTGCCAGCAATTTATTAACATTAGATAAAGATTGAAGCTTCTTACCTGACTACAGCAGTGTTGTTAGTTTAAATAAACTATCTCAGGCTTCACACACCCATCCATCTTCCTCCTAAGCAGCTGAGCACTAAATAGATATCAGTCACTGTATTAGATGCTCTGAGAAATTCAAAGGTGAATGAGATTATAGTCCCTTTACATTTCAGAGCCAACCTTTCTAGCTATATCTCCTGCCATTTCTGAAAATATCTATACCTGAGCGATATTATAGTCACTGCACACTGGCTTCCAGTCTTTCCATCTTTTCACAGGTACCGGCTTCCAGTCATCCCATCTTTTCACAATGATACGGTTTGACTGTGTCCCCACCCAAATCTCATCTTGAATTCTCACATGTTGTCAGAGGGACCTGGTGGGAGGTGACTGAATCCTGGGGGCAGGTCTTTCTTGTGCTGTTCTTATGATGGTGAGTAAGTCTCACGAGATCTGATAGTTTTTGGTTTTTTTTTTTATTATACTTTAAGTTTTAGGGTACATATGCACAATGTGCAGGTTAGTTACATATGTATACATGTGCCATGCTGGTGTGCTGCACCCATTAACTCGTCATTTAGCATTAGGTATATCTCCTAATGCTATCCCTCCCCACTCCCCCAACCCCATAACAGTCCCCAGAGTGTGATGTTCCCCTTCCTGTGTCCATGTGTTCTCATTGTTCAATTCCCACCTATGAGTGAGAACATGCGGTATTTGGTTTTTTGTCCTTGCAATAGTTTACTGACAATGATGATTTCCAATTTCATCCATGTCCCTACAAAGGACATGAACTCATCATTTTTTATGGCTGCATAGTATTCCATGGTGTATATTTGCCACATTTTCTTAATCCAGTCTATTATTGTTGGACATTTGGGTTGGTTCCAAGTCTTTGCTATTGTGAATAGTGCTGCAATAAACATATGTGTGCATGTGTGTTTATAGCAGCATGATTTATAGTCTTTTGGGTATATACCCAGTAATGGGATGGCTGGATCAAATGATATTTCTAGTTCTAGATCCCTGAGGATTCGCCACACTGACTTCCACAATAGTTGAACTAGTTTACAGTCCCACCAATAGTATAAAAGTGTTCCTATTTCTCCACATCCTCTCCAGCACCTGTTGTTTCCTGACTTTTTAATGATTGCCATTCTAACTGGTGTGAGATGGTATCTCATTGTGGTTTTGATTTGCATTTCTCTGATGGCCAGTGACGGTGAGCATTTTTTCATGTGTTTTTTGGCTGCATAAATGTCTTCTTTTGAGAAATGTCTGTTCATGTCCTTCGCCCACTTTTTGATGGGGTTGTTTGTTTTTTTCTTGTAAATTTGTTTGAGTTCATTGTAGATTCTGGATATTAGCCCTTTGTCAGATGAGTAGGTTGCGAAAATTTTCTCCCGTTTTGTAGGTTGCCTGTTCACTCTGATGGTAGTTTCTTTTGCTGTGCAGAAACTCTTTAGTTTAATTAGATCCCATTTGTCAATTTTGTCTTTTGTTGCCATTGCTTTTGGTGTTTTAGACATGAAGTCCTTGCCCATGCCTATGTCCTGAATGGTAATACCTAGGTTTCTTCTAGGGTCTTTATGGTTTTAGGTCTAACGTTTAAGTCTTTAATCCATCTTGAATTGATTTTTGTATAAGGTGTAAGGAAGGGATCCAGTTTCAGCTTTCTACATAGGGCTAGCCAGTTTTCCCAGCACCATTTATTAAATAGGGAATCCTTTCCCCATTGTTTGTTTTTCTCAGGTTTGTCAAAGATCAGATAGTTGTAGATATGCGGCGTTATTTCTGAGGGCTCTGTTCTGTTCTGTTGATCTATATCTTTGTATTGGTAGCAGTACCATGCTGTTTTGGTTACTGTAGCCTTGTAGTATAGTTTGAAGTCAGGTAGCGTGATGCCTCCAGCTTTGTTCTTTTGACTTAGGATTGACTTGGCGATGCGGGCTCTTTTTTGATTCCATATGAACTTTAATGTAGTTTTTTCCAGTTCTGTGAAGAAAGTCATTGGTAGCTTGATGGGGATGGCATTGAATCTATAAATTACCTTGGGCAGTATGGCCATTTTCATGATATTGATTCTTCCTACCCATGACCATGGAATGTTCTTCCATTTGTTTGTGTCCTCTTTTATTTCCTTGAGCAGTGGTTTGTAGTTCTCCTTGAAGAGGTCCTTCACATCCCTTGTAAGTTGGATTCCTAGGTATTTTATTCTCTTTGAAGCAATTGTGAATGGGAGTTCACTCATGATTTGGCTCTCTGTTTGTCTGTTATTGGTGTATAAGAATGCTTGTGATTTTTGTACATTGATTTTTTATCCTGAGACTTTGCTGAAATTGCTTATCAGCTAAAGGAGATTTTGGGCTGAGACAATGGGGTTTTCTAGATATAAAATCATGTCATCTGCAAACAGGGACAATTTGACTTCCTCTTTTCCTAATTGAATGCCCTTTATTTCCTTCTCCTGCCTGATTGCCCTGGCCAGAACTTCCAACACTATGTTGAATAGGAGTGGTGAGAGAGGGCATCCCTGTCTTGTGCCAGTTTTCAAAGGAAATGCTTCCAGTTTTTGCCCATTCAGTATGATATTGGCTGTGGGTTTGTCATAGATAGCTCTTATTATTTTGAAATACGTCCCATCAATACCTAATTTATTGAAAGTTTTTAGCATGAAGGGTTGTTGAATTTTGTCAAGGGCCTTTTCTGCATCTATTGAGATAATCATGTGGTTTTTGTCTTTGGTTCTGTTTATATGCTGGATTACATTTATTGATTTGTGTATATGGAACCAGCCTTGCATCCCAGGGATGAAGCCCACTTGATCATGGTGGGTAAGCTTTTTGATATGCTGCTGGATTCGGTTTGCCAGTATTTTATTGAGGATTTTTGCATCAATGTTCATCAAGGATATTGGTCTAAAATTCTCTTTTTTGGTTGTGTCTCTGCCCGGCTTTGGTATCAGGATGATGCTGGCCTCATAAAATGAGTTAGGGAGGATTCCCTCTTTTTCTATTGATTGGAATAGTTTCAGAAGGAATGGTACCAGTTCCTCCTTCTACCTCTGGTAGAATTTGGCTGTGAATCCATCTGGTCCTGGACTCTTTTTGGTTGGTAAGCTATTGATTATTGCCACAATTTCAGAGCCTGTTATTGGTCTATTCAGAGATTCAACTTCTTCCTGGTTTAGTTTGGGAGGGTGTATGTGTCCAGGAATTTATCCATTTCTTCTAGATTTTCTAGTTTATTTGCATAGAGGTGTTTGTAGTATCTTTTGATGATAGTTTGTATTTCTGTGGGATTGGTGGTGATATCTCCTTTAGCATTTTTTATTGAGTCTATTTGATTCTTCTCTCTTTTCTTCTTTATTAGTCTTGCTAGCGGTCTATCAATTTTGTTGATCCTTTCAAAAAACCAGCTCCTGGATTCATTAATTTTTTGAAGGGTTTTTTGTGTCTCTATTTCCTTCAGTTCTGCTCTGATTTTAGTTATTCTTTTTTTTTTTTTTTTTTTTTGAGACGGAGTCTCGCTCTGTCGCCCAGGCTGGAGTGCAGTGGCGCGATCTCGGCTCACTGCAAGCTCCGCCTCCCGGGTTCACGCCATTCTCCTGCCTCAGCCTCCCGAGTAGCTGGGACTACAGGCGCCCGCTACCACGCCCGGCTAATTTTTTGTATTTTTAGTAGAGACGGGGTTTCACCTTGTTAGCCAGGATGGTCTCGATCTCCTGACCTCGTGATCCGCCCGCCTCGGCCTCCCAAAGTGCTGGGATTACAGGCGTGAGCCACCGCGCCCGGCCTGATTTTAGTTATTCTTGCCTTCTGCTAGCTTTTGAATGTGTTTGCTCTTGCTTTTCTAGTTCTTTTAATTGTGATGTTAGGGTGTCAATTTTAGATCTTTCCTGCTTTCTCTTGTGGGCATTTAGTGCTATAAATTTCCCTCTACACACTGCTTTGAATGTGTCCCAGAGATTCTGGTATGTTGTGTCTTTGTTCTCGTTGGTTTCAAAGAACATCTTTATTTCTGCCTTCATTTCGTTCTGTACCCAGTAGTCATTCAGGAGCAGGTTGTTCAGTTTCCAAGTAGTTGAGCGGTTTTGAGTGAGTTTCTTAATCCTGAGTTCTAGTTTGATTGCACTGTGATCTGAGAGACAGTTTGTTATAATTTCTGATCTTTTACATTTGCTGAGGAGAGCTTTACTTCCAACTATGTGGTCAATTTTGAAAGAGGTGTGGTGTGGTGCTGAAAAAAATGTATATTCTGTTGATTTGGGGTGGAGAGTTCTGTAGATGTCTATTAGGTCTGCTTGGTGCAGAGCTGAGTTCAATTCCTGGGTATCCTTGTTAACTTTCTGTCTTGTTGATCTGTCTAATGTTGACAGTGGGGTGTTAAAGTCTCCCATTATTATTGTGTGGGAGTTTAAGTCTCTTTGTAGGTCACTCAGGACTTGCTTTATCAATCTGGGTGCTCCTGTATTGGGTGCATATATATTTAGGGTAGTTAGCTCTTCTTGTTGAATTGATCCCTTTACCATTATGTAATGGTCTTCTTTGTCTCTTTTGATCTTTGTTGGTTTAAAGTCTGTTTTATCAGAGACTAGGATTGCAACCCCTGCCCTTTTTTGTTTTCCATTTGCTTGGTAGATCTTCCTCCATCCTTTTATTTTGAGCTGATGTGTGTCTCTGCACATGAGATGGGTTTCCTGAATACAGCACACTGATGGGTCTTGACTCTGTATGCAATTTGCCAGTCTGTGTCTTTTAATTGGAGCATTTAGTCCATTTACATTTAAAATTAGTATTGTTATGTGTGAATTTGATCCTGTCATTATGATGTTAGCTGGTTATTTTGCTCGTTAGTTGATGCAGTTCCTTCCTAGCCTCGATGGTCTTTACAATTTGGCATGATTTTGCAGTGGCTGGTACTGGTTGTTCTTTTCCATGTTTAGTGCTTCCTTCAGGAGCTCTTTTAGGGCAGGCCTGGTGGTGACAAAATCTCTCAGCATTTGCTTGTCTGCAAAGTATTTTATTTCTCCTTCATTTATGAAGCTTAGTTTGGCTGGATATGAAATTCTGGGTTGAAAATTCTTTTCTTTAAGAATGTTGAATATTGGTTCCCACTCTCTTCTGGCTTGTAGAGTTTCTGCCGAGAGACCCGCTGTTAGTGTGATGGGCTTCCCTTTGTGGGTAACCCAACCTTTCTATCTGGCTGCCCTTAACATTTTTTCCTTCATTCCAACTTTGGTGAATCTGACAATTATGTGTCTTGGAGTTGCTCTTCTCGAAGAGTATCTTTGTGGCGTTCTCTATATCTCCTGAATCTGAATGTTGGCCTGCCTTGCTAGATTGGGGAAGTTCTCCTGGATAATATCCTGCAGAGTGTTTTCCAACTTGGTTCCATTCTACCCGTCACTTTCAGGTACACCAATCAGACGTAGATTTGGTCTTTTCACATAGTCCTATATTTCTTGGAGGCTTTGTTCGTTTCTTTTTATTCTTTTTTCTCTAAACTTCCCTTCTCGCTTTATTTCATTCATTTCTTCTTCCATCACTGATAGCCTTTCTTCCAGTTGATCGCATCGGCTCCTGAGGCTTCTGCATTCTTCACGTAGTTCTCGAGCCTTGGCTTTCAGCTCCATCAGCTCCTTTAAGCACTTCTCTGTCTTGGTTATTCTAGTTATACATTCGTCTAAATGTTTTTCAAAGTTTTTAACTTCTTTGCCTTTGGTTTGAATTTCCTCCTGCAGCTCGGAGTAGTTTGATCGTCTGAAGCCTTCTTCTCTCAGCTCGTCAAAATCATTCTCCATCCAGCTTTGTTCTGTTGCTGGTGAGGAACTGCGCTCCTTTGGAGGAGGAGAGGCGCTCTGCTTTTTAGAGTTTCCAGTTTTTCTGCTCTGTTTTTTCCCCATCTTTGTGGTTTTATCTACTTTTGGTCTTTGATGATGGTGATGTACAGATGGGTTTTTGGTGTGGATGTCCTTTCTGTTTGTTAGTTTTCCTTCTAACGACAGGACCCTCAGCTGCAGGTCTGTTGGAGTTTGCTAGAGGTCCACTCCAGAACCTGTTTGCCTGGGTGTCAGCAGCAGTGGCTGTAGAACAGCGGATTTTCGTGAGCCACGAATGCTGCTGTCTGATCGTTCCTCTGGAAGTTTTGTCGCAGAGGAGTACCCAGCTGTGAGAGGTGTCAGTCTGCCCCTACTGGAGGGTGCTTCCCAGTTAGGCTGCTCGGGGGTCAGGGGTCAGGGACCCACTTGAGGAGGCAGTCTGCCCGTTCTCAGATCTCCAGCTGCGTGCTGGGAGAACCACTGCTGTCTGCAAAGCTGTCAGACAGGGACATTTAAGTCTGCAGAGGTTACTGCTGTCTTTTTGTTTGTCTGTGCCCCGCCCCCAGAGGTGGAGCCTACAGAGGCAGGCAGGCCTCCTTGAGCTGTGGTGGGCTCCACCCAGTTCGAGCTTCCCGGCTGCTTTGTTTACCTAAGCAAGCCTGGGCAATGGCGGGCGCCCCTCCCCCAGCCTCGCTGCTGCCTTGCAGTTTGATCTCAGTCTGCTATGCTAGCAATCAGTGAGACTCCGTGGGCGTAGGACCCTCCGAGCCACGTGCGGGATATAATCTCCTGGTGAGCCGTTTTTTAAGCCTGTCGGAAAAGCGCAGTATTAGGGTGGGAGTGACCCGATTTTCCAGGTGCCATCTGTCACCCCTTTCTTTGACTAGGAAAAGGAACTCCCTGACCCCTTGTGCTTCCCGAGTGAGGATGCCTCGCCTGCTTCGGCTCACGCACAGTGTGCTGCACCCACTGTCCTGCGCCCACTGTCTGGCACTCCCTAGTGAGATGAACCCAGTACCTCAGATGGAAATGCAGAAATCTCCCGTCTTCTGCGTCACTCACGCTGGGAGCCGTAGACCAGAGCTGTTCCTATTCAGCCATCTTGGCAGCCAGAAACAGATCTGATAGTTTTTAAAAGGGGAGTTTCCTTGCACAAGCTTGCTCTCTTTGCCTGCTGCCATCCATGTAAGATGTGACTTTCTCCTCCTTGCCTTCTGCCATGATTGTGAGGCCTCTCCAGCCACGTGGAACTGTAAGGCTATTAAACCTCTTTCTCTTGTAAATTGCCAGTCTTGCGTATGTCTTTATTAGCAGTGTGAAAATGGACTAATACACCCAAGTATCAAGCTGTTCTCTCTTTGTAGAATGTTTTTCCTTCCTGTGTTTGCCAAGCAAAATCCTTTACCCAGTTCAAATCTCAATGCCTCTGGGAAGATTTCTTAACCTCTTTAGACAGATTTAATAATGATCATGGAACTTTTCATATCTCTATATTAGCAGGTATGTCATGGTTAATTTTAGGTGTCAACTTGACTAAAGAATTCCCAGATGACGGATACAGCATTATATCTGGTTATGTCTGGGAGGGTATTTCCAGAAGAGATTGCCATCTAAATCACTGGACTGAGTAAAGAAGATCCACCCTCACCCAATGTGAGCAGTCACTATTTAGTTCTATGAGAACCTGGATAAAACAAAAAGGCAGAGGAAAGGTGAATTTGCCCTCAGTTTTCTGAAGCTGGGGCACTCATTTTCTCCTGCCCCTGGACATCAGAACTCTAGCTTCTCCAGCCTTTGGATGCAAGACTTGGACCAGCAGCCCCTCAGGTTCTCAGGCATTGAGACATGAGCTGAGCCACGCTACTACTGGGTTCCCTGGTTCTCTAGTTTTCAGATGGCATATCATGGGACTTTTCAGCTTTCATAATCATAAGATCCATTTCCTCTAATAAATCTCCTCCCCTCTCTCTCTCTCAAAAGGATATATCCTTTGGTTCTGTTTCTCTGGAGAACCCTAAAACACATGTGTAACATTTTATTATGTTCTATTTTGTTAGTTTCTCTTGGCTAATTAGGGATTAGCTTAAATTGAAGGACTGCTTTATTCCTTTTCCTGTCATTAGTATCTGGATCAGGGGTGACAAATCATAGACTTTCAGCATATTTCATTTATTCATTTAACAAATAATTTTCAGGACCACCAAGTTTGTCCACACAGGTTGATAACAGCATAATTCTAATGGGTGCCATTCACATAAACTGTAGTGTACCTCAGTCTTATACATAGTGAGTGTACTCACATAGTGAGTGTACTTTGGTGTTATCCATAGTGAGAACTGTTTATTGAGCCCCTACAGTGTACTATGTACTGTTCAGGAATGCAGCAGTGAACAAAAACACTAGAGGTAACTTGAATGAATGAGTTGGCCATTGCTTCATCCCTGGGGCATTGAAAGAAAGAGCCTTTTCTAACTTTGTAGTATTCTGAACAGGTGGTACCTACTTGGTGATAATCTGAATAAACTATAGTTTTTGTTCTGGTTTTAAATTTTATTAAGCCAGTGTGAGGCTATTATCTCATGCAAATCAGATATTTTTATCAAGGAAAGGACAATGCCACACTTTCTAGAATTAAAAATAGGATTAATGATTTAGTTTTTCTAGCTACTACATGTAGGTTTCTTCTTATTTTTTATTTCTTAAAAGTCACTTAATTGTAGAGCCCTAAAGAGTGATCTGTTAAGCCCGGGTGCAGCAGCTCATGCCTGTAATCCCAGCACTTTGGGAGGCTGAGACACGTGGATCATGAGGTCAGGAGTTTGAGACCAGCCTGACCAACATGGTGAAACCCTGTCTCTACTAAAAATACAAAAATTAGCCAGGCATGGTGGTGTGCACCTGTGATCCCACCTACTCAGGAAGCTGAGGCAGGAGAATCTCTTAAACCCAGGAGGCCGAGGTTGCAGTGAGCCAGGATTGCACCACTGCACTCCAGCCTGGGCAACAGAGTGAGACTCCGTCTAAAAAAAAAAAAAAAGTGATCTGATAAAACATAAGTAAATAAAGATAGCTGATCAGAACCAACAGAATGCATTGCCTATTTTTGCAGTATGTTCTGTAGGAACAGGTCAATTGCATTTCAAATACATTGCCATTCATTATTTTGAATATGAAATTAAAACTAATTGGTTTCAAAACAGAACTGCAAATAATCACAAATATGCATTTACCTACTACATCTGTGCATGATTTGTGTTCTTAAAAATTATCCTTTGTACCAAATAATACACATACTCACATATCCTCTTGTGTGGTTCTTTTTTCAAGATCAGTAATTAGTTTCCAATTCAAACAGGGGCCATAGACTCTCCTTTTGATTTAATTTATTAATTTCATTTTCTTCAACAGCTACACATTTGAGAGAAATAGGCATCAATTAGCTATTTCCACCAGGCATAAAATAGGAAACAGGCTCCAATCGTAATAGGAGAAATGAAGGTAACTCTTCACTCGGGTTTTTGTCTCTTAGTCAGGGACAGACTTTGTAGACCTAGACTTTGTAGGGTCTGAATTTTATACAATTTAAAGCATTTTCTTTAAGAAAAGCAGCACAAAATTAGACACAAACATGAATATTTAGAATGAGAAAAAGAAATCACAACAAAATACAATTTTTAAAGCTGACAAACACTAAAGCGACAACAGAGCAAAAAGCCCAAAATAATACTAATCTCAACATTTAGCTACAATGTTTCAACATTTTTTGGTCACCTTGTCTTATGACAGTGAATGATATTATAAAATGTATGTTTGGTCTTCGACCTCATTTCCTTGCATAAAATTCCTAAAATCCTTAGAATCTCCAAAGTGTTGTCTTATATGCAAATGTTGACAGCTTCAGGGTGGGGCTGGTTACAAAGGCAGGATTAGAGGGTTGGGACTTTCAGCCACACCCCTAACCTCCAGGGAGGGGAGAGGGGCTGCAGATCAAGTTGATCACCAATGGTAAGTGGTTTAATCAATCATGCCTACGTAATGAAGCTTCTATAGAAAACCAAGAGGAAAAGGTTTGGAGAGCTTCTGGATAGCTGCACACGTGGAGATTCATGGAGGGTGGCACATCTGGGAGTGGGCATGGAAGCTCCATGTCCCCATCCCCCTATGCATCTCTTCATCTGTATCTTTGTAACATCCTTTATAATAAACTCGTAAATGTCCGTTTTCCTGAGTTTTGTGAGCTTTTCCAGCAAATTAACCAAACCCAAAGTGGGGGTCATGGGAATCCCAACTTGAAGCCAGTCTGTCAGAAGTTCCAGAGGCCAAGGGTCTCAAGGGGTAGGAGGGAGTCTTGGGGACTGAACCCCCAACCTGTGGGATCTGACACTACCTCCAGTTAGACAGGGTGAGAATTGAACTGGAGGACACCTAGTTGGTGTTCACCGTAGATGGTGTTCCCTGCCACTTGCTGGTGGGGAGAACACCCTCCCCTACGTTTTGTCATTGAAGTCATCTTCACTGTTGATGATTTTTGTTGCTGTGGTGTGAGAGCAGAGGAAAAACTGGTTTGAGCATTTTCCACATCACAGTGACTCTGTGACATTTTTATCAGATAATAGAAATATAATTCAATTTTTCCATTGAAAGGTTATTTAAAGTTTGTCTTTTAGATTATTGATAGTCAAGATGCCTAGATATGTAACCTCCCACACAGGTGTATTCACTTTTTGTAGGGTTGCTCCGGTTGGTTTCTTACAAACAAATGAATTTTGATCAATTGTATTTCATGAAATTTCTATCAAAAAAATCTTATGTTTTGATGCTACGTTACTGTATATATTCCTAATAGGACAGAGCTTCCATTCTTACTAGGTGTCAGGGAGAATCTCTTTACAATTTTCCGTATATGATCATTGAAGTAATTTTTCATAGATTAGTTTTTGACTCATCTGCTTCAAACCTTGTTTCTCCTCCCTACCCATGTACTCTTGATGTTGTATAGCACAATATTTTCCCGACAAAACCTAACTCCACATTTCCGTCACATGATGCCAGGTAAGGGGGCAGGGTAGGAGCACTGCTTGAAATAACAACCTCCCCATGCATAGAGTGATTATGACCCACGTAAACATGTCTCACCATAGACAAACTAAATGTACTATCAACTCAGCTTCTCCCAGTTGGATACTAAAAGTGCCCATGACCACCTTGGTGCCACATGATACTAGGGGAGCTAAAGCTCGAAGATTAGTCAGAGTAGAAAGAGAAAGCAGCTATAAGTAAATTCAGTTAAAATAATACACAGTTACAAATTTTACGGAAACATTTGACTGTATGAATACATTGAAAGGACCCCTCTCAGAGCCTTGAAGATGTCTATGTAAATTTAGAGCCCTGAACGTCAGCTTAATTTGTTTCAGAGTAAAACTCGCTTGTTTTCATGGCTTCTCCAAGGGAAATACAACCCTCATGGAAATTCAGACAAACAGTTCCTGCTAAATTGTCCTAGAGTCCTTAGTTTATGAGCTTGCCTTCTCCTTTAATGTCCAAATAAAATAACTTGCATCCCTATTACATGTTATTGCAGCGTATGGGATCTGCTTTCCAGGGATTTAGGGGATTCCTAATGAAGAGAGAATGCATGCTTTAAATTTTTTCTAGCTCAATTTAATTTCTGGTCACCTTCTATCAACTTGACACTGCTCTCTGATCCAGTTGTGAATACAGAGTCTTCCATTTTCATTTTTTAGCAATAACAACAAAAAGCACTACTGCAATTGGCAAAGGGAAATAGGAACTTTTGCATCTTGCAACAGAGAATATATTGATTAAAGCATTTTTGATGTATAATTTTGTAGTATCTCTCTTTAAGGGTATAAAATTTCCAAAGTCACAGAAGTTGTAAAACTAAAGTATATTAGTCTGTGTGGACTGCTATAACAAAATACCATAGACTGGGTGGCTTAAACAACAGACATTTGTTTATCATAGCTTTGGAGGCTGGGAAGTCCAAGATCAAGGTGCCAACTGATTCAGTTCCTGGTGAGGGCTCTCTTTCTGGATTTCAGATGGCTGCCTTCTAGCCATCTTCTAGCCTTCTAGCCTTGCCCTTGCATGGTGGAGAGAGAGCTCTGGTCTCTTTGCCTCTTCTTATAAGGGCACTAATCCCATCATGCAGACCCCATCCTCATTACCTCATCTAAACCTAATTATCTCTCACAGATTCCATCTCTGAATACCAATAGCATCATATTGGGGATTAGGACTTCAACATATGAATTTGTTGGGGGAGGGAGGACACAATTTAGTTCACAATTCACAGTAAATATTTTGTCTATGGCTGGAATTAATGCAGTTCCTGGGCTCATTTCTGCTGATGCCAGAAAAGTTCACACTTTACTTTTTTAAGAAAACTTTTTGTAGAGAGAAGGTCTTGCTATGTTGCCCAGGTTGTTCTAGAACTCCTGGCCTCAAGTGATCCTCCCACCTCAGCCTCCCAAAAGCACTGAGATTACAGGCGTGAGCTATCATGCCTAGCCAGAAAAGTTTATTCTGACAAGTTAATGTAATTCAATGACTTCTGTTTTCAAACTCCATTTCCTTTGGGCAAATGCGAGCAAGTGCCCAGCCCAAAATCAAGATTGTGCCTCAGCCTTCACCTTATCCTGGGGGTGATCTAAGTTAGTGGAGTCAGTAGAGGGAGGAAATGGAGTCTTATCATTAAGCCATCATGGATAAGTCAATCCGTGCCCAGTAGTCACCAGCATCTGCTGACCTCTGCTGAGGTGTTGTTTGCTCTTGTTTTGTGTTGATGTTTATGGCTGAGGCCGCCAGGCCCTATTTATCAGGTTTGTGAGACCCAACTGAAGGCAGTCTTCTGTCTACAGGCCCCTTTCTGCCTTTCTGAGCTCTTTTTTTTTTTTTGCAGGATTCTGGAACTCATGGCTGTTTTCTCTTCACTGTGCTGGGGTTTATAAGACTCACTGAGACTTCTCCTAGCCTCATCCAGCCAGATAACATTTTTGGCTATTTCTTCTCTGCTACTCAGGATCCATGTTAGTAAAGAGGCTTCTCTTTGAGTTTGCGATCTCCCAGCAGTGCTTTTTCCCTGTGACTTTACTAAAACTTACCTAGGTATTCTCCTCATTGCCTCCCCACTGGAGTCCATTCCAGAGGGGAGGATAAGTAGACGGATGATAGGATTCTGAGACCTACATCTTAAGCCTTATTCACAACTTTTGAATTCCCCTCCCCCATCTAATCAGGCACTCCATACTTCTTGAGTGAGAAACACAGCCAAAGTCATCAAGCCTTCTACTGCCTCAGTAATCACCACACAGACACTATGTTCTTAGGCCTCTGAGCTCTGCATGTAATATGAAAAGCCAAGCTGCTGGGATCCCCAACATCTTTTCTCTCTCAAAAGCCTGGCTTTTGCAATTAATGCTAAAAATTATTCCTCCCTCCACATTCCTTCTTATGAATATAACCTAAAGTTTGTTTAGATTTTCACACTTCCCTTCATGTACTCCATGCCCTGGATAAGGGTAACTCAATTATAGCAGCAGGGATGGTAGTGATTGGCCCCACAGTTGCTTCAGACCTATTTTATGTAATAAATCTCTTATTCTCTACCCGGTGTAGTGGTTCTGCTCTCCTGATTGGACTATCACTGAAAAAGGGGTGCTTGCTCTTCCCTTTTATTTCCCATGTGGAAACAGACTTTATTCACATTGAAATATAAATTGCTAACAACTTTTAAGGTGTTACTCATTCTAAAAGTATTGGGTATTTTAGCAATATGTTAAACACATAATTTTTAAAAATCTATTGAATGAAGAATCTACATCTAAATGGAGTTTTACCTAAGCCTGAGTCTGACCAAGATCACACAGTCATCTTCCTCATGACTCTTAACCTCTTTAAACTGGATTTTAAAGTTATATATGACTCATATATAAAATGAGAATAGCATAGCGTGTTGGAAAGAACAACTTGGGAAATAGGAAACCTAAGTTCTAGTCCCAGTTCTTCCACAAAGCAATTGTGTAGTGCTGGACAAGTCATTTAATTTCTATGGCTTCTGGTTCTTCATTTTTAAAACGTGAAAGTTGGACTGGACTAGTGGTTAACAAATTGATGTATGCACAATTCTGCAGGTATACAAAGACTTTCTGAGGTATATGTGGGCTCTGTAGTTTTAAGGAAACACATTTTCTTGTCTTCAACTTCCATTTGTATACTTTCCCAGCTTCATGTAGATTGTACCTTTCTACTTCCTATCACAATTAGATTTCTCTCTATATTAAAAAAAAAGCATACTCTACTTTTATCCTAAATCTTACTATGGTGTGTTGTCCTGGTTACCCAGGAAACCCAGGGCCTTTAAAAAAATAAAAGGTTATATTGAAATATTTTTATTGTTTTGGAAACCTCATTTAATGACTTATAAACCTGTCACAGATCATCTTGGTTTTGCTAGCCTTATGGTTTTCTGGTAATACTGAAAAATAACATTAGAGTTGGGGTATTTTGATCCTTGTTAGGAGGTTCCAAAATCAAATATATTGTAGAATTTGGGCCGAGAGGGTAATGGAACACTTACTTAATTACCTTACCTCTGTGACCTCTTGACCACTGTGACAGAATGCAGTACTTTAGGCAATGTCTAGTAAGAATAAATAAAGGAGAGCATAGTAAGATATATTGAATTCTAGAAATGAATTTTTGCATGTATTTAAATGTGAACAGTTTTATTTCAGCTTTTATGTTCATCTCTTGCTTCATTAGCTGGAAAGAAAAGCAACTTCTTCTGGTTTGGATGTTTTGTCCCCTCCAAATCTCGTGTTGAAATGCAACCTCCAGTATTGGAGGAGGGCCCGTGGGAGGTGTTTGGGTCAAGGGAGTGGATCCCTCATGAATGGCTTGGTGCTGTTTTCACTCTGAGTTCACATGAGATCTGGTTGTTTAAGAGCCTAGCACTTCCTTCCTCTCTCTCCCTTGCTCCCTCTCTTGCCATTTGACATGTTGGCTCTCCTTTACCTTCTGCCGTGTTTATAAGTTTCCTGAGGCCCTCACCAGAAGCAGATGCTAGCACTATGCTTCATGCACAGCCTGTAGAACCATGAGCCAAATGAACCTCTGTTCTTTATAGATTACCCAGTCTCATGTATTCCTTTATAACAACACAGATGGACTAACATAAATAGCCAAAGTGGTATAGGTTAATGATGTTACTTCTTTAATTGCAATTGCAATGCTTAATGCTTATCAGATTTTTCAAATTACATTGGATAAAGCCACAGATAAAAGTTGTAGAGATTTCGTATACCCATAGTATGAGTTATTCAATAAGGTACTTAAAACCTATTTTATCAAAATATGTCATAAAATATTTATAGCAATTATAGTCAATCCTCTTAAATTGCCTTATAAAAATGTTTAATAATTTCTACTTCCTGTTAACATAAAATACTTGTAGAACTGATTAGTTTCTAGTGTCTTGCTTTTTAAATACATATATAGGTAACATTTGATCATTAGTATCTAAAAAATTGAGTCATTTCAGAATTATTTTCAAAAATGGAACTCATGCGTATGTATTTACTAAAGGAAAATCATGCTCTTTATCATACATTTTGCTTCATAATAACTTAGATACCCAACATTTGCACTGTAATGAAATGAAAAATTAAAGATATTATTTCAAAGACTCTGTTTCCCAGGCAACATATAAAGAGCTTAGAAATTCTTTTTTTTTTTTTTTTTTTTTTGTCTTTTTTGCGACAGAGTCTCACTCTGTCGCCCAGACTGGAGTGCAGTGGCATGATCTCTGCTCACTGCAAGCTCCCCTTCCAGGTTCACACCATTCTCCTGCCTCAGCCTCCCGAGTAGCTGGGACTACAGGCGCCTGCCATGACGCCCGGCTAATTTTTTGTATTTTTAGTAGAGACGGGCTTTCACCGTGTTAGCCAGGATGATCTCCATCTCCTGACCTCGTGATCTGCCCGCCTTGGCCTCCCAAAGTGCTGGGATTACAGGCGTGAGCCAGGGCGCCTGGCCAAGAGCTTAGAAATTCTTACAAGAAAACACCTGAGCAAAATAAGAACCAACTGCTCTTTTTAGATCCATCAGAGAATTGAGGTCCAAAGCAAACTACTGCCCCTAAAACTGGACAGACAGACAGGTAGATACAGAGAATTACAGATTACTTGGAGCAGAAGTCTAGGAGCAGAAGCTCTCAGCTTAAGCCAGTATTGGTAGGTACACTTTAGTAATTGACGAATGGCTAGAGGCTCAGTGTGAATTAGCTGAAAGTTAAAAAAACTCCGAGGAGGACCAGTCTTAAAAGGGTCCCCAAATTTTTGTGAGTTTTGTCTCCAGGAGCCCTACAAGTTTCTCTTAGTGAAGATCCAAAAGGGGAGCAGTAGCTATTTTGAAATATACCCAGAACTCCCAATTCTCCTTAACGAGGCCTTCTGTCAAGTGAAACTATTTTACTAGAGTACAGCAGACTGATGTTTTACCAAAGCCTAACCAACCTAGGGGAAGGGAAATGTCCAACTCAAGCTCCTTGAAAGATAAGACCTAATCATGGAACTCATCCCTTCCTCAACAACTTACCACCATATCAACAGGGCTCCTGTATGGTAACAGGGGATTACGGCTAAAGAATTGCAAACCTCACACCCAATTTAATGAGTCTCCAGAGATACACAAAGTTGATGGGAGACAAAAACAAAAATACTAGAGGAGATTGTAGCCTTTGACATCACAGTTACAACAAACAAACATAACTCACTCTAAGCCAGATTCACATAAAACCTCATACTAAAGGCCTGTTTCAGTTTTCTACCCATGATATATCATGTCTGGTTTTAAACAAAAAATTATAAGATACACCTTTAAAAAGCACAGTTGGAAGAGACAGCGAAAATCAAAACTTTACTGAGATATTACAGAGATGTTGGAATTTTCAGACTGGAAATGTAATATAGCTATGATTAATGTGTTAAAGTTTCTAATGGAAAGAGTGAACAACATGCAAGAACAGATAGGTAAAATAAGCAGAGAGAGAATCTCTAAGGTTTAAAAGGAAAGGTTAGAAATAAAAAACACTGTGATAGAAATGAAAGATGCTTTGAGTTCATCAATAGACTGGATAATGGCTGGGGAAAGAATCGGTTTGTTTGCAGAAGCAGAGAAGGGTGATGCCAGGGATGAGGGAATGAGAAGATGTTAGTCAGAGAGTAAAAACTTTAAGTCATAAGACGAACAAGTTCTGTGCCTCTAATGTACAGCATGGTGATTGTAGCTAATAATGTTCTATTGTTACTTTGAGTTTGCTAAGACTATAGATCTTACCACACACACAAATGGTAAAAATGTGAGGTAATTAATGTGCTAAGTATCTTGATGTGGTAATTATTTCACAATGTATATTAAATCATGTTGTATATCTTTAAATGTATATAATTTTTATCTGTCATTTATACTGCCATAAAACTAGAATCAGGGAGTTTGAAGAAATGTTAAGGTAAATGTCCAAGCTGAAATGCAAAGAGGAAAAAGGATAAAAAAGATGGAATAGAATATCCAAGCACTGTGGGAAAATTATAAAAGCTGTAACATACAGATAATGAGAATACCAGAAGGAAAAGAAAGAAAGGAACAGAAAAATTACTTGAAGTAATAATGGCTGAGAATTTTTCAAAATTAATGACAGACACAAAAACCACAGATACAGAATGCTCAAAGAACACCAAGCAGGATAAATACAAAAAAAAAAAAAATCTACATCTAGGCCTATTATATTCAAACTGCAGAAGGTCAATGACAAAGAGAAAATCTCGACAGAAGCCTGGTAGAGAGGAGTGTGGGATACATTACCTACAGAGAAACAAAAATAAGAATTACATTGAATTTCTCTTTGGACACCATGAAAGCAAGAAGAGAAGAGTGAAATATTGGAAGTGTGGAAAGGATATTCTTATTTTTTTTCTTTCTTTGAGACAGAGTCTTACTGTCACCCAGGCTGGAGTGCAATGATGCCATCATGGCTCACTGCAGCCTCAACCTCCTGGGCTCAAACAATCCTCCTGCCTCAGCTTCCCCTCCAAGTAGCTAGGACTATAGGATTGCCACTATGCCAGGCCAATTTTTGTATTTTTTGTAGAGTCCGGGTTTGGCTGACTGTAATATATATATATATATATTTGTCATTTCATAAGTCTTCGAAAAGTCTTCTTAGTAATCTTCCCAGAAATTGAGAAAATGAATGACTCAAATGACTAACAGGATCCTTTTAAAGTCAGGTGGGGCTGGGTGTGGTGGCTCACACCTGTAATCCCAACACTTTGGGAGGCCAAGGCAGGCAGATCACTTGAGGTCAGGAGTTTGAGACCAGCCTGGCCAACATGGTGAGACCCCCATCTCTACTAATAATACAAAAATTAGTTGTGTGTAATGGTGCATCCCTTTAAACCCACCTACTTGGGAGGCTGAGACATGAGAATCTCTGGAACCTGGTAGGGGGAGGTTGCGGTGAGCTGAGATCGCGCCACTGCACTCTAGCCTGGGCGACAAACTGTGTCTCAAAATAAATAAATAAATAAATAAATAAAATAAGTCAGATGGCTCCTAATTCTTTGTTTTCGTTAAAACTGAAGGAAGATGGGGTTAATTTGTTTCTGGAGAGCAGGCAATTTTGTGATTTCTAGCATTTAATTCACTAAATTGAACATCTATTAACAAATGTTAGCCTTTCTTGACTTATTTATAAAAACAAAAATAGAAATAGCTGATTCTGAATTGTGTATTATTCTGGCAATAAATGATATTTATTGATAGCCATATGAGCTGCATGGGGGAAAGCTTTATCTTAATTTATTTCTAAAAATTTTGCTTTGATCAATTTTATTTTGTTTTGGTCAATTATATCCTAATGAGTTTTAGTGATAACTCAGTCTGGTAAAATATGATACTATTTAGATGGTTTTTTTCTTTGGTCACAGAAAAAATTTATTTCAGTTTACAAACACATTTTGGAAGGAAATGTGACAAGTGATCAATTAAACATTTTCAATTAGAAAACTACTATTTTAAGACAAATTTTTGCAGCAAAACAAAAAAGAAACACAAATTAAGGAAAAAATATGGAAAATTTCCTGACTTAATGAAAAGCTTGCTCAAGTATTTTTAATTTTTTGCCCCAATTTCTTTTATTATTTTGTTTTATTTTATCTTACTTATTTTTATTTATTTTTTTGAGATGGAGTCTTGCTGTGTTGCCCAGGCTGGAGTGCAGTGTCATGATCTCAGCTCACTGCAACCTCTGCCTCCGGGGTTCAAGCAATTCTCCCTGCCTCAGCCTCCCAAGTAGCTGGGATTACAGGTGCCCGCCACCACGCCTGGGCATACATGCACACATAAGAAGAAAGCAAAAAGCAAGCGCAGCAAAAGTTTAACAGTTGGTGTATTTAAGAGGCTAATTGTACTATTTAAAAAACCTTTCTGGAGGTTTAGACCTTACAAATTAAGAAATTGGGGCAGCCGGCAGTGGCTCATGCCTGTAATCCTAGCACTTTGGGAGGCAAAGGCGGGTGGATCACCAGAGGTCAGGAGTTCAAGACCAGCCTGGCCAACATGGTTAAACCCTGTCTCTACTAAAAATACAAAAATTAGCTGGGCATGGTGGTGGGCGCCTGTAATCCCAGCTACTCAGGAGGCTGAGGCAGGAGAATCACTTGAACTCAGGCAGCAGAGGTTGCAGTGAGCCAAGATTGTGCCATTGCCCTCCAGCCTGGGCAACAGAGTGAGACTCTGCCTCAAAAAAAAAAAAAAAAAAAAAAAAAGATGATAGGTATTAAAATGATGTAGCATTTAGATTTCTTTGGATATATATAGAAGTACAATTCAATATTTTATTTTTAAATGTCAATATTCTAACTATGACAAAGTATATCTTCGCGACTATTTAACAATCTTCAGTTCAATTGGAAAAACGTTAGATGACAACTTCATATGAATGAAGTAGTACAATGTTTTTTAAAGTACTTTTAGGGAATAGAAAGCAAAGAAATATTTGAAAGCCATTGCATGAGATGATTCCGAGATTATTTCCAACTCTAAAACTCGGGTATTTAACTTATATAAACTCACATGAAGCTCTGTGTACAGTTGTTAACTCATTTCATAAATGGAGATCTTCTGTTCAAGATGTCCATTAATGAAATGAGTTAAATAAGTTAAATTATTTAACTTTACAGTTTGTAGAGTTAACTGTATAGTTTGTTACACAGTTCGAAAGTGCCAGAGCCAAGACCTGGACTGGCTCTACTTATCTCCAAATTCCCTGCTCAGTCCTCACTGCCATTCATCCCTAGAAGGTCTAGGGATCAGACCGTGAGATTGGACCTCTTTACAAAATTTTTCAGTGTACAGTACAGTATTGTTAACTATGAATACAATGCTGTATAGCAAATTTCTGGAACTTTCTCATCTTGAGATTTTTCATCTCACTCTTGCATGACTGAATCTTTATACTAATTGAATAGCAACTCTCAATTTTTCCTTCTCCAACCCCTAGTAACCATCATCTTTATAGTCGTTCAATAGCAACTCTATTTTTCCTTCTTCAATCCCTAGTAACCAGCATCTTTATACTCATTGAATAGCAATTCTCCATTTTTCCCTTCCCCAACCCCTAGTAACCACCATTCTACTTTCTGCTTATATGAGACTGATCTCAACTTTTTCTGTGGATACATCTTTTTTGAACCTGTGAGTGTACATTCCTAATGTAAGATTTTACATTTTTTTTCTTTCAGGAGCTTGTAATCTCTTGTTCCCCTGGCATCTGTCTTCTATGGTATGGGTCTTCTGGAAAAGAAACACTTTGCCTAGTTCCTTTTTATTCTTAGCAACCCCCAAAGATCTAGAGTATGGTGAGTCCTGTCAGTGCTTCAAGACTGTTGAGACAGAAGCCTGTCCCTTGAGATGTTCCTCTGTCCCACAAAGTCTAAATGCTGAATAAACACTCTGATCTTCTTTTCTCCTCCCCGAGAGAATCCAGAAACTGAGATTTTCCTTCTAATTTGTATGATATTTTGGCAGCGGAGGGATAATGGTGAGAGAGTGCCCCAAATTTTCCCGTTGGCTTTGATGTGGCTGCTTTTGCTCTTATTTGGGGTACGGGATCCTTTTTAGTGTTTTCTGGTTTCTCACAAAAGAAATTACCTCATGTCTTATTGTTGAATCATTATGTCCATTGAGGGAAGAAAGTCTGGGGCTCCCTATTCTGCCATTTGCAATGTCATGCCCTAGACTTACTTCTTATAAAAATATCTATGTTCTAGTTTATGAGATTTCCTTAAGGGAAAGATTGACTTTAATGGTGGTGACCTGCATGTGACATTAGATAGGAGATATTCAGGACAGGGTAAAGCCCTCAAGCCACATTACACAGGCTAGTCTTGTACCACTGGATTGATCCCCATCTTCATAGTCTGCAAGGAGAGCCGGTTGAGCATCTTAACAGTGACAACCAGATTCTAAAACATTTATAGGAATGAATGAGTAACCTGTGAATCTAAAAGTTTAATAATCCCCAGACTAACATCTATTTTTTTAAACTATTACAATGTATGTCTTCTCAGTAGAGCACTAAAGGTAATCCAGAAATAGAGTAAAAAATATCTTTCAGCAATGAAAGGAGGGAGACCTTCAAAGTTGGGAATAATGCTGGCACTATTATAAAGTCCCAGCTATTCCAGAGTTGTAGTATTCATATACTTTTGGGAAAACCTTCTCCAGTGAGCCCATAATGTAATCCTTCATTCCATTTAGATGTTACTAAATTTTAACCCTGCACGTAACTTTTATCCTTAGGCACATCAGGCTGTCAAGAGAGATACTCTGGATTGAGCTGTAGCAATACTTTATGACTTTAATTTAAGCATGTTATAATTAGAAGCTGCTTGCTTATACCCCTATGACTAGTGTAATATTTTTTCCTATAAGGACACAGATTCTAGCTTATCAATCATCCTCCCCTTTGCACTAATCCTGCTACCCTTTATTTTTACACAAATTCAAAATCTCTTAACAGATTCATGCTTTGAGCGTATTTGTAAAATTAATCCCTTAGGATTCATTTTTCTATGTCCGTATTTAAAAATGTTTTCTTCTTTTTTGGCTTGGGGTAATCTTTTTTAGGACAGTAATGCAGTATTATGTCTTTTAGCACCTTAAACAGTGCTATGCAGAGGGTGGGAGCTCTATAAATGTTTGAAAAATGAAATTGTTCTGTTATTATGAAGACAACTGTGCTGGCTCACTTGTCCTTAGTCAGAGACACAGAGAGAAGCCTCTTTAACCAGCAAAGATGCGTGTTACTGAGACAAGAAAGACCATTCCTGTTTTTTTTTTCTTTATCAAAATTAGCTATGACAAGTCTATATACATTGTGCTGCATGTTCTACAATACGAGAAACATAGATTCCATTTAAAGAACAGCAACACAATTATATGAAACATATATTCTGGAATATATAGAACCTGTAGTTTTAGGACTTTATTGCTTGAGCCACTCATAGCACTAACTGTTGGGGATAGCTGGCAGGAAATCCAGTAGACAAGGATAATTAACAAACAACACTGGAGAACTGTCTACAAATGTTCCTACTCTCCCAGCAACCCAATGATCAATAAGAACAGACTTTATTATGGGCTGCAAGAGTGAAACCAAGCTTTTAGAGTAGCAATTGCTGTTGTTTTGCAGTATCTAAGTCTCAAATACTTATTTATTTTTGTATTCTCCTAAAAATCTCTTCCATTCTTTCCGTTTCTTATGCCTGCAGCTATTGCTATGGGAGAATATTATGGTAATCGATCAATATCTGATTAAAAGTATGAAGCTTTTTCATTATCTCCACAAGGTGATTGAATTTCTTCTGCCCGAACAGCAAGATTCTCCTTTGAATTGCTGCAGCAGAGACTGGCACTGTGAGCAAATTTTGGGCTGCATTTATTTAGTGTGAGTGAGCAAGTTCTCTGTTTTCTTAGTATCAAAATGCAGGCAAGAAGCTACTTAGTACTTGTCAGGAAGAGGAGTTACTGTAAAATGAGTATGGGTTATTTGATCTTTACACAGAATGCTTGATATCTTATGTCCCACTTCCATTCTCCCAAAACACACACACCTACTTGCTTTAATGCCTAGTTTCATGGGAAATAATTAATCAACCATTTATGTACATTTGATAGCTAAGATGTTTTCTTTTCTAAATGTTTCTGAAAGACCACACTGCTAAATAAGCAGGAAAAAAAGCACATGCTTTGTATGGTGTAATAAATAACTGTCTTTTAGGCAAGGTTGCCTTCCAATTGTCGGTGGTAAAAGATATGTGAATAACAAGAAGAATTGGAAATGTCAAATAATAGAAGAGTTTCCTATTGAAAATCAGTAGATTATATTAACATATCTTCTTCTCTCAGTTTTTCAGCAGAATTAATAAGTAATACATTTACCTCATTGACCTTATGTATACTTTCTGGTGGACAAGCTTATAACCTGTCAGTGAAGACAGCCAGAAATAAAATAGGCAGGGAAACTGACAAATACAGCACATGGATAATTTGCCATTGAATAATAAGCAATTAACTATTAATTGAAGCTTTTAACCTAAATGCAAGAAAGCCACTTTGCAAGGCTGGTCTTTTTGCATAATGAAGAAAAAGAGAAGTCAGATATAAAGATAAGCTGCTTTCTATTCAATTTTTTTGAAATCTAAATGAATGTCTTTGACTATTGAGGGTTGGGAACATTTTTAGAAGTCTGATGGAAGCTATATCCCCACTTCCTATAAAAATGCAGAATTATAGGACCACTACATCAATGGCATGGTATCCGTATGATTGGTGCGCCCCTGGAGTTGCACAATGCTGACATATGCGTATCTTCTATCTTAGGGACTCCAGATAAGGAAGCACTTTCCCCACTGTGATCTTTGGCAGAACTTAGCTTGAAGAAAGCACAATTCTATTGGTACCTAGCCTAGTATATCCACTGCTGGTGTGGGAAGGAGGTTACTTTGAGCCTGTCTAAATTAATAGAGTGGCAGTATTTGCAGGTGACACTAATCCTAGGAGAAATTCAGTGACTTTACTCAGAATATCACATCATTTACTTACAGAAAAAGCAATGAGGGATACATAATTAAATAGATGCTGTTGCCATAGGTGACCATTCTAAGCAAAATAAATCTCTTGCATCTCGATATGGCTTTGAGCTGACTTTCAGTTTTCTGCAGCTGGCTTTATTGCATGTTCTAAATTTTCATGCATATGAAATATTTTGAAAATGTAATTCAATTGTCACTTGCACAGGAATGAAAAGAAGCAAGGAAATGACTCTTCATTGAGTTTTGGCTTTTTCTTGATTAGATGAGCAGCTGTTGAGCAATAAGTCTACCAAAATGGCAATTTGACTGAGCCAAATAAAACCCAACTAAATAAGACCACTAACTCCAGTCAGGCTTCTTAGAGTACTTTAGACTCAGTGTTAGGCACAAGAGGGCATCCTAATGGTGTCATTGCTTCTTGGTGAATAATTCCTTTTTCTCTTTTTTTATTTCCAAGCTAATCTTATCTGCTCACATTTTTTCACATCTTTGAAATGACTTATATGTATTGATGTAAAAATGCAGGAAGTATTGAAGGTAATGATCCTTTTTGGAGGTTGTTGACATGCAGGTAGAAAAAAGCCTAAAAGTTTTTATTCCAGTTTATATGCTTCTTTCATTAAAAATCTTTTGAAAGCCTATTATAAACAAGTTATACTATTTAGTATCTATATTTGCATCTGACTGCTTATGTTTCTTTAGAGCCTCAGAGTAACCTGTTGAGTTTGATGGGACACTTTACAATTAAGGAGGCAAAGCAAAGTGACTTATCAATAGTAGAAAGATGGCTTTGAACATAAATTGCTTGGTTCTCATTACAACGCACCTTTCCCACTATAACATGGAGCCTGCTTCAAGGACTCGGGGACTTCTGTTGGGAGATACACAATGATGCCTGCAATGGATTTGAAGGGAAAAATATTTTAATATTACTAAGCTTGTGAAGGCAGAGCTTTTGAATTCCATTTCTCACCAATGCAGCAAATAATATGAAGAGATTGTATTTTTAATAGAATCTCCAAATTTTCCATCTGGATGAATTACAATCATTTAGATTTATGACTCCTTATGGACTCCTCCTCTTTATTCCATGATACCCATAAGCATTTCCTTTCTCTTTCCCACAATGTCATGAGGAAGAAACAAAGCCATGCAGAGAATGCCCTTGGTTTTGCTTATCCCCACTGCAGAGACCAATGATTTATTTATAGATCAGCTTTGCCGAAGTGTTTTGGAGAACCTAGCATTTCTTAAAGGGAACATCACAGATGGAATTAGGTTGTGGGCTATGTATATTTCATTTAAAACAGCAGGATCTATTTTTTTTCTGCTTATTATTACATTGCCCCATGTAGTTTTATCAGTTTTTTTCTTTAACCTTGAACTAGAAAATACATGAGTATTTGGGTTGGAAAAACACTTCTGTAGATTAACAACTCATTTGATATAATTGTCCAGTCAATCAAATCTATTGAAAAATACATAATACATGCACAGAATGCACAGAAGGGGCATGGCCACTATTTTGAAGGTATGGAAAGATTCAGAAAATGGACTACTATAAGCCCAGTGCATTGATTCAAGTTTGTTGGTCTGAGGCTGTCCACAGCCACTAGTGAGCCAGGGTCTGTCCCATTTTAAGGAAATAGCTAGTTGCTTCATTATTATATTTGTGTTTGTGTACAATCACAAAGAAACAGCGCACAATCATAACTCTTTATATACTCAGATATTACTTTTCTTTCAACGAAGATGTGGCTTTGTCTATAATCCATTTTGTTTCCCTGAAACAAAATTTCAGTCCACTGGGTGGAAGGAAGAAAACAAACATTTAACACTTGCTATAAGCTGAATTGTGTCCCTACAAAATGTATTTGTTCAACTTTAATTCCCCATGTGACTGTATTTGGAGTTAGGGGTTATGAGGAAGTGAAAAATGTTAAATGAGCTCATAAGTGTGGGGCCCAAATCTGACAGGGCTGGTGCAGAGAGAACAGAGCTTCCCTGTTCCACCATGTGAGTACATGGTGAGAAGGCAGCCATCTGCAATCAAGAAAGAGAGCCCTCACCAGGAACTGAACCAGCTGGCATCTTAATGTTGGAGTTCCTAGCCTTCAGAACTGTGAGAAATAAATTTCTGTTGTTTAAGCCTGCTAGTATATGGCATTTTGCTATGGCAGCCTGAGCAGACTAATATCATCCTGTCAGTTTAAGTTACTTAAACCATTAGTTTAGGATATGCTCAGACTCACCAAGAAAAAAAAAAACGATGTAGGTTTTTATTTCTTCCACCCCCTCCAAGCAGTGCTTGGGTGAGTGTGAGGGTGTGCTGCAATGCAACCTTGTGGTGAAGGAAAAGAATTTAGGTCCACGGGGTGGGTGTCTGCTGGCATCTTGGGGCTCCAGTACAATCCCTTCTGCCCCCTTGTCAGGGGCTGGTCCTGCTTACATGTGCAGTTGACATCTGTGACTAGCATGACTCAATATCTGATTTCTGTTTGTCCCTCCCTTGTTGACTCAGCGTCACCTCAGTTCTATCTGGTGCTATAGGCTCTCTGCATTCTACTACATCCTCACCATGGTGGGCTCTATAACATCCCTAGAACTCTCAACCCTGTGGCCAACTGCTTCTATACTGGAGCTACAAGAACACCTGGGTCTCATCCCTGCTACCCACAAACCCTGAGTGGATCAGGAAAGCCAAATATCAAAGTCTCCTTTTGTCTGACAAACTATACTGTACCACTTGGCTTACTGTGATCCGATTTGTTGCTGCTTGACCAACTCCCTCTTAAATCCCACAGGGAAAGCCAGGACAAGAGGTTTCCACTGTCCTTAGCTTTTCCTCACTCTGAGGACACATGACTCATCATTTTCTCTTATCTCTTCCCAGCTTATCTTCTTTTTCTAAATTCCCTCAAACTCCCAGAAAAAAGAAAAAAAGCAAACTTGCTCTCTCTCTCCAAGTCATTATTTCCTTTTTATCAGACAAAAACAAGTTTTATGCCCTAGGAGAGTGAGAGAGAGCTTCTTTGCATTCTGGGCAGTGTATGAGCTGAGTCCTGAATCTTGGTATGCTAAAGGAGTTTATAAAGGTATTTAGGAAGTCTGTTCTCTCTCACTTCTCCCACAATGTCCTTTTCTCTGAGGTCATAAACTTTAGACATAAAAAGTTTCAGATGGACAAAAATTTACAGGAAGAATGAAAATGATTGGCTTATATTCACAAAGATATTATTCCTCCCTGTGAATAGGATTGTCTATTTTACCATGGCTGTATGCTTACATTCTGTGTATTAATGCACAGTTTCATATATAAACCTTACTCCTTGAGGCAGGTATCCCAGGTGTGAACAAACACCACTAGTGTTCACAATGAATACACAGTGCATAAGACTTCAGGCATTCAAAACATTCTCTCAATCCTCCAAGATATCTTCCACCAGCTTGTCCAAACTGTTCATTTGTTTTACATTTTCTTTTGTAAAATAAGCATATAGGCAAGCCACTCCACTCAGATATTGTGTGAATAATTGGTTCCTTGCACTTTTGAAAGAATAATTTAATTAGCTCATCAAAGTACTCTTCAGTTATATCCTATATTTTGTCCATCCAGGACACTGCATATTTAATTATTCTGGGTCAATGAGCATCCTGCTGGGTATCTCTTAAATGAGTATTCCTGTCATATTGCATTTTTACTTCTTATTGGCATGCAAGAGGGGAGAGCTACTGTTTACAAAGCTCCAGTTTGACTGCTATTTTTGACCCTGGTGTACCACTTCTGTGGCAAGCTCAATCATAGGCTCTGAGAAGAGTTCTTAGGTCCACAGCCATTTATGCATGCAAGATTTCAGATGTTTAAATAATCATCATTTTGGTGATTTATAACTTGGAAGAACTAGGAATATCTTTTGTCTTATATTTCTTGCCTTCTGTTTGTTTAACTTAAAGTTTCTTTCAAGCTTAGTATAAACTGAGAAAGTGAGACACAAAAATTGTGTTAAAATGCATATTCTTTAATATGTCAATAAAACAGTTTCACTTATCCAGATGTTTATGTTTAAGTTTTTTCTTAAAAATCAAATTTTCCATCAATGAGCACATTGATGTAAAGCAGTGATATATCGACATGTACTTCTAGACAATAATTTGGGGTTCTATCATATAGCAGTGACAGAAAATCCCATATAAAGATATAAATGGAAAATGATACCTGACTGATGGATTAGATTGATTGGCACTGTAAAGATAAGACTATTTTGTTCCTTGATGGGAGATTAGTACAGAAATAGATGTGTGAGTCAAACTTCAGCACAGTAATGATTTCCTGACAAGCACTCTTTCCAAACCCAAAATACATTAAGTTTAAATGCAAAGAACCCTTACACTTTAAATATTTCTCTCAATTTTTCTATAAACTGGTAGAAAAAAGAATTTGCACTTTATGTCAAGACCACAATAATTTGTTTGTGTATAGCATATTACCTGCTAAAGACCATGATGGAAGTTAAATAATGATGAGCCAATTGCTGGGCTTATGGTAGAGTGCTATATGATTGACTCAGATAACAATATATCAGGGCCACACATTAGTTTCTGAATGGTTGAGATTGAGTGCTAATGCAATTTGGAAGAATTCCCAGTACAAATAAAGAGATATACACTGTCCCTTTAATGACTCAGGGAAACAGAAACAATTTTTCACGCATTAAACATTTTACCAAGTTTGAATATTTTGTCTTTTTTAATTTGAAGAAAAAACTTTTTTGACTCTAACAGCCTTCAAGCTGTTGAAGTAGAATGAAATGAACTGATTTCAAGGTATATTAATAATTAACAACCACCAGAGCCACGTAAACAATGTCAACCAGGGCCTAGATATTGTCTAGGTGGCATCTAACTATATCTGAGCCCCTTCTCCTAAGGAAAGGACAGGAATTGCTATTAATTGAGTATCCAATAAGTGCAAAACAATGTTCTTGGCACTTTTATATCTGACTCAATCCTTACAGCTTCTCTGTGAAGTGTGATGCATATTAAAGATAAAGTGAAATTTATGAGAGTTAAATTGCCCTCTCTCCTACAATTGAAAATTGGAAAATTCAATTCTTGAGATCTGTCAAAATCTATTTCAGATGTACACTATCTGATATGGTTTGGCTGTGTCCCCACCCAAATCGTATCTTGAATTATGCTCCCATAATTCCCATGTGTTGTGGGAGGGACTCGATGGGAGGTAATTTGAATCTTGGGGGCGGTTTTTCCCATAGTGTTCTCATGGTAGCAAATAAGTCTCATGAGATCTGATGTTTTTTTCAGGGGTTTCTGCTTTTGCATCTTCCTCATTTTCTCTTGCTGCCACCATGTAAGAAGTACCTTTTGCCTCTCTCCATGATTCTGCGGCCTCCCCAGTCATGTGGAACTGTAAGTCCTATTAAACTTCTTTTTCTTCCCAGTCTCAGGTACGTCTTTATCAGCAGTGTGAAAATGGACTAATACACTATCATTCTTCTTTTGTGAGTGACTTTTCCAGAAACTTCTATGTGCCTACTTCTTAACAATGGGTCCTGTTAGCACTTGTCAGACCCACTGCTTAACCCACTTAGGTAACAAAAAAAAAGCATTATACCATTTCTTCCTGAGCTTTGTATGGTCCTCCCCCTTCACAATCCAGCAAAGAATCCCAAGTGTTGCCACAGAGGGTAACTACAATGCTTACAATGCCGGTTTTTATTTTGGGTTTTAATTACATAGTTCCGACTTGTATATCAAGGAATGCTTACTCTTCTGGTGGGGTTTGTACCTACTTTAAGTTGAATTGATATAAATAGATCTAGTTGCGGGAGGCTTCTTACTCCTGCCTAAAGATAGACTACCTACTTTTGTATAGAAATGAACATAAATCATCCATATGAGAATAAGAGATCAGAGCTCGACAGTAGGACAAAGAAGTGGGTCAGTCAGATGAAGTGTGTCCTTCTCTAACCCAAGAGGAGAGAGAAACTGATTAGGGCTTGTCAGGTTATCCTGGAAGCCTGGAGGAGTGAGCAGCAGGAGGGTAGTGGCCAAGAGAGGCAGGGAGAGACAACTGAAACGCCTAGGAGGCATATAATTGGCAGTCTAGATCCAGCCATGGAGAAGGGTTTTTGACACAGGACTCCCAGTGCTGAAAGGACTGGTCATGATTAAAACTGAAAAACCATAAAGAGGACAATAATTATAACAGCTAATGACTGTTGCACACCTACTGTGTGCCAGGAATATAGGGTTGTACATCCATATCCTCTGGGGGCTTTACAAGTGCTTACGTGGCCTCTATGATCTTTCTTCCATGCTACATAGTCTCATGACCAAAGGTTTACCCTTCTTCCCACTGCAAGTTCCTCTCTACCTTCTTTCATTTGAGTAGCCACTGAGCCCTCTCATTCTCCATCCCTTGAGGCTTAGACTTATCTGGTTTCTGGGAAGAACATCTAAGAATCTTCATCTGGCTGATAGGTCAGGAATTCTTCAAACTTGATTTCTGCTTTCACATGACCAGGAGGAAGAAAATCAGCATTCTTGGTACCATGAGAGAGATTGGGGAGACAGATGGGGTAGAGAGATAAATATACTATGGAAAAAAATGGAAACTTCAGCATATAATACAGCAACAGAGATTATTGTCCATTTCTTGAAACTGGAATGTGAACTCAAGAGCAGACACTTTTCCTCACATGCTCACAACTCCAGTGCTAGCATAGGCAACTAATAAATATTTGTTCAATAAATAAATGAGGTATATGAAAATTTGAACAGGTAAGAAAATAAAGATGAGAGTTCTCTCTGGCCATTTGTTGTGCTTAACTTCCTGGGCTACTTTCATGTATATTTTTGCTCAAAATCATAGGCATGGGAGGGAGGGACTATTAAGCGTCTTTGCTTGATATAGTTTTATCCCACAACAGAACCTCCTACACTTATCCAAAGACATAAAGGATGAAGATAAGACCTGTGAGATATCAGATTTCTTATACCTCCATTTCTTTAGATGTGTTCTCACAAACCAGCAGAGGCCACATAATATCTTTTGTATTGAACTGAAGCAAATTATTTGAAACGTAAATTCAAGGATTTTTCTAGTTTTCTTTTTCTTTTTCTTTCTTTTTTTTTTTTGACAGAGTCTCGCTCTGTTGCCCAGGCTGGAGTGCAGTGGCACGATCTCAGCTCACTGCCAGCTCCGCCTCGCGGGTTCACGCCATTCTCCTGCCTCAGCCTCCCGACTAGCTGGGTCTACAGGCGCCCGCCACCACGCCCAGCTAATTTTTTGTATTTTTAGTAGAGACGGGGTTTCACCGTGTTAGCCAGGATGGTCTCCATCTCCTACCTCGTGATCTGCCTGCCTCGGCCTCCCAAAGTGCTGGGATTACAGGTGTGAGCCACCGCGCCCAACCTAGCACACATCTTTACGAAGGTCTTTTTTCTTCCACTTCATATATTACATGACTGGTAGTATACCAGCCACCTTAGTAAGTACACTTTCCTTGAACACTAAGCAAAGGACTCTTCAGTAACAGCCAAAAACTTGCTCTTTTGTGTGCTAGGCTCTATTCTCTATTTTAAGTACTTTACATATATAGCTCATTTAATTTTCCCAGCACACTATGATCCTTGTTTTGTGGATGACAACACGGGATGGGAAAGGTTAAACAACTTGCCAAGATCCAGTAAGCTGGCAAGTTGGGAAACTGAAATTCCAAATCAGTTGTCTGGATACAGAATCTGTGCTCTGATTTTACAAGCAAAGCTCACAAGATCTTGTCCAAAGATCTTCACATCTTTTGTTGAGCTTAATGAACCCGGGAGGCGGAGCTTGCAGTGAGCCAAGATCGCACCACTGCACTCCAGCCTGGGTGACAGAGTGAGACTCCGTCTCAAAAAAAAAAAAAAAAAAAAAAAAAAAAAAAAAAAAAAAAAAAAAGTGTGCTAGTGCTCAGCTAGTTATTTTATATGCATTATCTCATTTAATCTTCACATCATTTCAATTTACAAAACAAGAGCCAAGACAACACAATCTTAGGTTAAATACGTTTGTTAAATTCCCATTTCTAGGAAATGACAGAGCCAGATTTTAAACCTGGATTTGTCAGATTCTAAGGCCTATCTTGTTCGAGTGGTTTAAGTGCAGAACTACTTAGAGAAACAAAGTTTAGAGCATGTTCAACTTAGGGTTCTGTGCTAAAAATGTTAAAGTGGCTGTAGAACACGTAATTTAGGTTCCTAAAATAAGTGGATTATCTCTCTGGAGAAAAGACTAATTTCAAACCTTGTAGGAGATTGTAAAATCTTACCAATTTTCACTGAGGCAGATAAAGACATTAAAATATGGACTTAAAAATACAATTTTGGTTTTAAAGACATTTTTAGAATTAGGATGAGTACTGGTTTAGGGGTCTAGAATCATATCAATTATGATTTACCTTTAAATAGCTTGCTGTATGTATTTGTGCCTACAGTGAAAAACAAAAACCGAAACCTGATTTTTTGAGTCTAGTGGGCGTGTACCAGAAGATAAGGTCACTATTACCCGTGATCTTGGTGTGTATTTCCTGGTTTCAATGTGCCATCTTCTCTGCTACATTTCACTCATGTGAGAGTCTTAGATGTGGGATGTGTTTTAATGTGTAGGCATATGTGTATGCATGGGTATGTAAGTTTTTTCTCTCTTGTGCCTAAATCTGTATTAATATCACTATCTTTCTCTCTTAACTTTCACTTTGTTTCTCATAGTCCTTTCTTTTTTGGATTACAATAATAGATCTGGAGTCTATTTTTCATATACCTGATAAAGTTATATATTCTCCTTTCTTAACCTATGGAAAAAATAATTGATATTTCTCTTTAAAAGACTGACTCATGTGGCCTTATGTTGATTTTTTTCTTAATAGCATAAAGGGTTCCCATCTCAATTTAAATAGGAATTAAATAAATTTGATAAATCATATAAAGTAGCAGAATTTAAAGTATGATCTATCTACCTAAAATAAAGGTTATAGCTTATCTTTTAAGCTGTAAAGATGGGAAATTGCCCTTGTGGAGAGTACAGGCTATTTAAATATTCTAGGGCAGATATTGGAATTGATTCTTGCAGAAAACGCTCATTGTTAAGCTGTTCTAGTTATGCAGACATGAGGAAGTATCTACCCATTGTTCTTGAGAATTAACCTAAAAGGAGATGCTTCAGACTGGCATTCAGCATTCTGTGTAGTAATGAAGTTGAGTTAATAGTGAAAATGGGCCCATGTAGACTCAGAAATTGCCCTGTGCCTGAAATACACTCTATGTTCTTGGAAAATGTGAATGAGTTTTGTTCAAGTATTTTCCCTCAAGAGGTCTAGGAGATGGGATAGACAGTTCTTATCTTCTTTTTCATTCATGCTATGGAAAATACTGTGAAAAAGAGTGAACTGGGTTGTCACAGCACTACCTACATTCGGCTGTTGGTGTCCCTTCTCATTTAAGGTTGGATGAGCCACAATATGGGCCATGACCCTTTGTGTTAGACATGGGATGAGATTACACCTTATTTTTGAGTTAATATTTTCCCTGGAAGAGAATGGATATTCCCAATGTCAATCAGCCTAGAACAGGAAATAAGATGAGCCTTAGGAATAAAGGAGCTCCCCTTATCTTTGGCAGAGGAGGCAGTCAGGCAGGCCTAGACTCTTGGGTGAAGAAATACCTAACTCTTCTTTTCGGTGAGAAGGGAGTTGACAGCTCTACCACACAGAGGCCTGCCAGGAAACAGCAGGGACACTCATGGTCTCTTAGAGACTTCCAGCAGCCGTCTGTTAAGTTTCTCTAGTCTCTGAGCTTTCAGTAAGTTCTTTTTAACAGTATGGTTTAGTCTCAGTTGTGTGTGGGAATTGAGGGAATTGAAACTATTTTTGGTAGTATCAGGGGAAGACAATGGCCAAGAAGTGAGATGATGACACAGGGGTCATCTGCCCCAGAAAAGATGGCCTGACAGCAAGAAGAGAAATCAGAGCATAGGAAAAATGAGGAATTTTAAGGCAATGACCTGGGAAACTTCTGGAAATCAGTGGGTGAAGAGATGAACTGAAAGAGGCTAATCCCTGCCGGAAAGTCAATGAGGGTTTGTGCCAAGATGGTTTGCATATACAAAGGAAACTTAACCTCATTTGGGAGTCACAGGCTTAGCAGATCAGTAATATACAAGGTTTATAAGAAAATGATTACAAATTCTTGCTAAACTAAGGGCTCAGAGAAATATAAATTAACATAAACAGAAAATTTCAGCTCATTCAGTAAAATGAGTTATATTAATGTGTTATTTAATGAGAAGCAGTAGATTATTTTTGTTTGAGGGCTGCCACCCTTTTCTGACAAATTATTTTAATGTTGTAATTATTTGATTTGATTAATCAGCCAGTCAGCAAAGCAAATATTTTCCACCTAAATTAAATGTGTTGGCAGAATGATTTTTTTAACACATTTGATATAAGTCTAGTTTATATTTTTATGAATAAATGTATTAGAATCATGTTATCTTGTCTCTGGGTCAGAATTCTGCCCCGGAGGCTTCTGTTTTGTGCCAAAAAAATTGACAAGGTCTTTCTGAATGTTGACTAGGAGGAGAAAAAAACCTTTAAAACTTCAAAACTAGGTGAAACTCATGTGATTCAGTAAAAATGTAATTTAAAAATCACTGAAAAAATATCTGTGTTTGAGTTCCTGGCTCTGCCACTAAATGTGGAAGCTGATCAATTATCTGATTCCTCTGAGTCTCAGCTTCTGTCTGTAACCCCACAGGATCATATAGAAAATTCAGTGATAAAATAAATGTACATGGGAAATGCTATAAAGTTAAGGTAGTACATAAAATCTGTCATGTTTTCTTCCAGTTCTTAGATTCCAGTGGGAAAATACAGAGGCAGGGGGCATAAAGGAAATAAATTAGAGCATGAAGGAAAGAAATCCAAGCAAAGTTCAAACTAAAATGTTTGAGGTTTTTTGTTTTTTTGTTTTTTTTTTTTTTGAGAGAGTTTCGCTCTTGTTGCCCAGGCTGGAGTGCAGTGGCACAATCTCAGCTCACTGCAACCTCCACCTCCTGGGTTCAAGCTATTCTCCTGCCTCAGCCTCCGGACTAGCTGGGACTATAGGCATGTGCCACCACACCCAGCTAATTTTGTATTTTTAGTAGAGGTGGGGTTTCTCCATGTTGATCAGGCTGGTCTCCAACTCTCGACCTCAGGTGATCCACCCACCTGGGCCTCCCAAAGCGCTGGGGTTACAGGTGTGAACTACCACACGTGGCTAAAATGTTTGAATTTTAAAATTATTTTTAATCTTACTGATTTTTGAGCTTCTTAAGTAGTTTGTTGAATCAAAATTTTCAATCCTGGCTGTGATTCAGAATAATATCATACAAAATTCAGAACCCCGAGCCCTACCTGTCACTGGAGATGTTGGTTCAAAAGCTCAGGAATGGGTTTTTAAATTTTATTATTCAGTTTATTCCTACCAATGTTATGGAGCCTGACTGTCTGAAATTTTGAGACTCCAAAGCTGGCTGCTGGGAATTGCTGAGCAAACTTTACTATGTCAATAAACTTCTTTGGATCAATGTAGGGCAGTTTTGTACGTTTCAAACTTGGGTACAGTTGAGGATATCCTGGGAAGTTGTGGTTAACAGGATAAACTAAAAAGTTTCTAGTCAGGCATTAGATTCTCATAAGGAGCATGCAACCTAGATCCCTCAAATGTGCAGTTCACAATAGGGTTTGCGCTCCTATGGGAATCTAATTCCACCACTGATGTGACAGAAGGCGGAGCTCCAGCAGTAATGCTTGCTTGCCCGCCACTCACCACCTGCTATGTGGCCCAGTTCTTAACAGGCCACAGACCGGGACCACTTCATGGCCCAGGGGTTGGGGACCCCTGGTTTGGCACCGGCAGATGGTGCTATTCTTGTGATAGTGAGTTCTCCTGAGACCTGGTTGCTCAAAAGTGTGTGGCACCTTCCCCCTCCTCGGTCCTGCTCCTGCCATGTAAGATGCCTGATCTCCCTTTGCCTTCCGCCATAAGTAAAAAGCTCCCTGAGGCCTCCCCGGAAGCAGATGCTGCCATGCTTCCTGCACAGCCTGCAGAACTGTGAGCCAATTAAACCTCTTTTCTTTATAAATTACCTGGTCTCAGGTATTTTTTTTTTATAGCAGTGTGAGAACAGAATAATACAACTTTCAACCTATAATTCTCTGGATGACATTAGCACTGTTTCATCTGAATAAGTATTTGAGGGAAAATAGTTCTGCTTCATAAAGTAGAAGAAAGGAACTAATGTTTATTGGCTGGCTGTTCTGTGCCAGGCACTGTGCTTGGCATTGAACTAGGGACTTATACTGGTTATCTCATATACTTCACATCAGAATTCCATGAAGAAGCCATTAATATTACTATTTTACAGATGCAAAAATTGAGGCTTCAGTAAATGAATAACTGGTAAGAGCATACAATTAATAATGGTGGAACAGGGACTTTGACTCAAATCTGTCTAGCCCAGAATTTCATGATCTACATATCATCCTATACTGCCTTTCCTTGTATCCAGCACTTGAGGTAGAACAAGTGTTTGGTGCTGTAGGGACTATTAATATCTCTCATTCTGATAGTGATCTTATATTTATTATCATTGCATGGAAGTTACAGGCATAATGAATGGGCTGAATTTCACTGACACTAGTTGCAACAGATGCATTTTGCACCTATATCCCATTTCAGCCCACCTCTGGTTTCAGTGGCAGCCATGGTAGATGGTTCTGAGCTCCGTCTGCTAGCATTTGCACTGGAGTCACTCCCCTTTTCTTCCTCAGGGCTTTCTCCAAAGCTACAGGAGGTTGCTGAGCTTGAGCACACAGCCAACTGGTTGGACAACCTTCAACCAGTGAAGGACAAGAGTCAGAGGATAAACGTCTCTGCCTCCTGTCCTTCAGAGGGACAATTCTAAGGTGCTTCCACATGCCTTTTTCAAAGGCCCCAGTGGGATTGAGTCCCAGGGATCCAGCTCAACAATGCACCTAGTGGTTCTCCTTCCTTGTCTTACTACCTCTCACTCTAGTGGGGTTTTTTTTTGTTTGTTTGTTTTTGTTTTCCAGTTCTAAAGGCATTGTATTTTTTCATTTATTTGAGCAATAGACTCTTTGGTCTGAACTGATGTGCATCACCGTTTCCTGTTTGGGGTAAGGGAGAGACAGAAGGCAAAGAAAGAGAGCAGGGTGATATGAACTGAGAACAAGAGCTCCAGAGAGCCTCTTTCTCTTCTACCTTGCTTCCAATCCCATGGGTCACAAGCAGAGAGATCAGCAGCATGATTGAAATGGTTTCTAAGTACATGAGAGAGACTGTCACTCTGTAAATACTCTAAAATACTTGAGGAAGGGAAATTTCACAAGTGCCTGTGTGTATTAGGTGAATCCTGTGCTGTATTAAAAAATGTGCGTATTGATGCAGACGTAACCTCATATGCCAGTGAAATCTGGAAGTGTTTTTGTGCCAATCTAGTTCTCAATATCTTACTCACTGTCTCCATTGGCTTGCATAATTTGCATGCATTAGGAATATCATAGCAAAATAGAGAGTATTCATTTGTAGGAAATTCCAACCAGAAAAACACCACTGGATGAATTTGGCTTTGTTTCCTAATCTATGGCATAAGGAAAAATTGTTAGCTTTTATGTGATTTTGGCCAGAAATGAAGTAAATAAAGAAATCAGGACAAAGATGACATGCTAGGAAAACATGTCACCTTAAGAAAAGTTTAGAGTAGCTATTACTTGAATATTTTTACACTTACAATATATGAACTTCACATATGAAACTTAAGAGTGCACTCTCTATTACAGAAGTGGGTGGAAATTAGGTGACTCTAGAAAGGTAGGCGAACGAATGTATGGCTTGATGCAGATATGAATGTGGATATAGCCCTTTACAAAGTGCTGTTATATAATTTCACATTCCATTTTTATACAACTTATGAAATCTTAATTTTCCTATTTTACAGGTGAAGTTCAAGGGAGTTAAATAAAATCTTTGAGATAACCCAGCTAGTAAGTGAGAGAGATGGACCATCTCTGTCTCAAATCCCTGTGTCCTTTCTCCTTCATCCCATTGCCTTCACCTGGTCAGTTCCTGAAATCCACCAGGACATAGACCTGGTGCCCACTTTGCCTTATGACCTGCCTCATTTCTCAGAGACCAGGGATTGGCCATGGCATCTACAATAAGGAAGAAAAACAAATGGGTCCCTTAATCGCTGCAGTTGCACACTGACCAAAGGATATTTGGCAAATATTTCTTGACTGATTTCACATAGAAAATTTCACTAGTGTCACTGCAGGCCAGTGTGTGTGGATCAATGCTACAAACTTAGATTCAATTAAGATAATTTATCTAGAGCCTCAATGGAACTATAAAGCCTAGAAACTTCTATGAGTGTAATCTGAAAAAGCTCTTACTTTGAACATTTTGAATAGACTTTGATGTTCATTCATTTTTCATGCACATATACATAATCCCAGTTTTATGTAAAAAGATGAATCTTTTAAAAGAGGCATATCGAATTGAGTTTTAAAGCATCAAACCTGGACTCTCAAATTTTAGGATAAAAATCTTTCAAAGTGAAGACTGCATTGACTATTCTGGCTTTCAAATGTATATATACACACACATATATTTATATATACATACAAATGCATATGTATATACACATAGAAATTCTTTTTATTGCTAAAGAGATTCTCTTATTGCTGTTTGCTTCATATTTAAAAATTATCTTCACTCCATACAAAATTATGTTCTTTGTTATATATGGTTTATCTCAAAGAGATTTAGAGAATAAGCAATGAGAAGAACTGGGAGTAATTATAGAAAATGTGCTTAGGCATGTGGATAAATTAAAGTATTCCGTCACAGGCTGGGCACAGTGGCTCACGCCTGTGATCCCAGCAATTTGGGAGTCTGAGGCGGGTGGATCACTTGAGGTCAGGAGTTTGAGACCAGCCTGGCCAACATGGTGAAACCCCACCTCTGCTAAAAAGACAAAAATTAGCCGGCCGTGGTGGTGCATTTCTGTAATCCTAGCCACTTGGGAGGCTGAGGCAGGAGAATCCCTTGAACTTGGGAGGCAGAGGTTGCAGTGAGCAGAGATAGCGCCACTGCACTCCAGCCTGGGTGACAGAGTGAGTTTAGACTCCATCCATCTAAAAAAAAAAAAAAAGATAAAAATAAAGTATTCAGTCACAGGGTCACTTGTGAAGGAAAGAAATGAAAAGATACAAGTAAAAAGATATTTCATTATTGAGTTTTAAAGAGAAGTCAGGAGGAAGGAATACAAGAGTTGTCAGAGAGACTGTAGAAGTTTAGACAAGAATTAAGGTGCATTTTGCAGAGATGCTAGGTACATCAGATTGTAAATAACACATCAGGCAGATTAGGCCAAGAGTAGAGAGTAGGTGGGGTGGGGAAGCCATCATCAAATTGTATTCATGGTGTGGTATGGCAATGATATTTAAAGCCAGATGAGATCACCTGGAAGTTCATATACATGGAGAACAGTAGATATTCCATATCAGAAACTAGGGTATTTCGGAGCACTGAAGGAGATGGATGCAGCAAACAAGAAGTTAGAAGGGGAGGAGAGCAAGCAAAGAAGAGAAACATATGAGGGTGGAAATCACTCATATCAAACGCTGCTGGGAGGGCAAGTAAGATGATAACCAGGAATGAGCCATAGAGTTGGCGACATGGAGGTGGTGGTGACCCAGTGCAAGAGAAGGTAGAGATGGGAAGGGAAGTCCGGAAGTGAAGACAGGAAGTCAAATATTTCTAGCTATTTTGCTATAAAGGAGAAAAAAAAGAACAAAATCATGTGGGGCCAGAGGTGGTTTCTTTTTCAAGATAGAAGCTTTTTTACCGCATTTATTTAGTGGATGGTGAGGACCTATTAGAGAAGAATAATGTAGAGTCCTAGAAAGAGCTAACAACTTCTAAGAGGATTCTAGCAGAAAACTTGACCAGCACTCCCCCTGATGGCCAGCAGATGAACAAATCCCAGCTTCTTACCCCAATCCACCACCCTCCCCAATCTGGTTTTCCCTGCTCACAAATATATAATTATCCAGACAAGTATGTAGGTACTAGGAATAATATGACTGAAATTCAGTGATGTACAGACTACACATCAGGGAAAGGACATATCAGGGAAAAACAAAAGAATCAAATGGGATAACTTCTGTAACATATAGTTCTCAAAGATTCCCAGACCAGCAGCATCAACAACACCTATGAACTTGTTAGAAATGCAAATTCTCAGGCCCCAACTCAAACCTACTGGATGAGAAGCCTGGAGGTGGGGCTCAGCAATCTATTTAACAAGCTCTTCCAATGATTCTGATGCACTTTCAAGTTTGCTACTGATTTCAAATAAGTATTTGAGGGAAACTTTAAGTTTTATGCAAACTTTGTGGAGCCAGAGTTTCATTCAATTTCACATTGTCCATCTGTTATTGAGCCATTTTTCTGGTGTTTCAATGATTTCTTTAAATTTTTTTAAGTGTTTAATTATTTTCGATATATCATATTTACACATATTTATGGTGTACATGAGATATTTTGATACAAGCATATAATGCATAATGATCAAATCAGGGTAATTGAAGTATCTGTCACCTCAACACTTATTTCTTTGTGTTAGGAACATTCCAATTTCACTCTTTTAGTTATTTTGAAATACATAAGAAATTATTAACTATAGTCACCTTACTGTGCTACAGAACACTAAATCTTACTCCTTTTAAAATCTAACTGTATTTTTGTACCCATTAACCATCTACTCTTTACCCCAACCTCCCGGCTCCCCTTCTCATGGTACCCCTCTGGTACCATCATTCTGCTCTCCATCTCCATGAGTTCAATTGTTTTTTAGCTCTTACATATTAGTGAGAGCATGCAATATTTATCTTTCCGTGTCTAGCTTATTTCACTTAACACAGTGTCTTTTAGTTATATCCATGTTGTTGCAAATAACAGGATTTCATTCTTTTTATGGATGATTAATGTATGTATGTACCACATTTTCTTTATCAATTCACTGATGGACATTGTATTAGTCCATTTCATACTGCTATTAAAAATACTACCTGAGACTGGGTAATTTAAAAAGGAAAGAGGTTTAATTGACTCACAGTTCTGCAGGCTTAACAGGAAGCATGGCTAGGAGGCCTCAGGAAACTTACAATCATGGTGGAAAGCAAAGGGGAATCAAGTATGTCTTAATGGCAGAAGGTGAGAGAGAGCAGGGGAAACTGCCTCTTATAACACTATGGGATCTCATGAGAACTCACTTTCATGAGAACAGCATGGTGAAAACCGCCCCCATGATCCAATCACCTCCCACCAGGTCTTTCCCTCAACACATGTGGATTACAATTTGGATTACAATTGTTGATGAGATTTGGGTGGGGACACATCTAAACCATATCAGACATTTAGGTTGATTCCTTATTTAGGCTACTGTGAATAGTGCTGCAATATACATGATAGTGAAGACATCTCTTTGATATACTGATTTCCTTTCTTTTAGATATATACCCAGTAGTGAGATTGCTAGCCCATATGGTAGTTCTATTTTTAGTTTTTTGGACTGTTCTCCCTAGCAATTGTACTAATTTACATTCACACCAATAGTGTACAAGGTCTCCCCTTTCTCTACATCCTCGCCAGTATTTGTTATTGTCTGTCTTTTGCATAAAAGCCATTTTAACTGGGGTGAGATGCTATCTCATTGTAGTTTTAATTTGCATTTCTCTGATTAGTGATGATGAGCATTTTTTCATATACCTGTTGGCCATTTGTATGTCTTCTTTTGAGAAATGTCTATTCAGATCTTTTGCCCATTTTAAAAACAGATTATTTTTTTCCTAAGTTATTTGTACTTTTTATATATTCTTGTTATTAATCTCATGCCAGATGGGTAGCTTGCAAATGTTTTCTTGCATTCTATAGATTGCCTCTTCACTTTGTTGTTTCCTTTGCTGTGCATATTTTTTTTTTAGCTTCATCTAATCTCATTTGTCCATTTTTGCATTGGTTGACTATGCTTTTGAGATCTTATTCAAGAAATCTTTGCCAAGACCAATATCCTACAGTGTTTTTCCAATGCTCCTCTAGTAGTTTCACAGTTTCAGGTCATAGGTTTAAGTCTTTAATCCATTTTTATTTTGTTTTTGTAAATGGCCAGAGATAGGGTCTAGTTTCTTTCTTTGGCATATAGAGATCCAGTTTTCCCAGCACTATTTATAGAAGAGAGTGTCTTTTCCACAATGTATGTTTTTTGGTACTTTTGTCAAGGATGAGTTCACTGTAAATGTACAGATTTATTTCTGATGTACAGATTTATTTCTCAATACAAATGTAAAGATTTATTTCTCAATATAAATTTTTTATTAAGCAGTTTTAAGCCTACTTTCCTCAAGTATTTTATACCATACTCAGTATAAGGACAAAAATAGTTTGTGTTTTTGTAGTAAATTTCTTTCTATAAGATAATTGTCACTTTTTGTCCTTTTAGTTTCCATGATTCTAGGTCTGAGGCAGAGAAAATAGGTGAGCTTGGAAAAATTTGTGCCAGGAAGCAAGAAAGTAACCAAAGTCTAACATGATATTATGAAAAGGACACAGCAGTTGGCTTGAAGGGGCCAGCTCTGGCCAAACTAGAGACAAGCATCAGAGTAATGACAACAATTAAATCACATTCAGGGGGAAAAAACTATTACATATGTGTGTGTAAATATACATATATACATGCATATGTGTGTATATGTATGTATACACATGTGTGTATATCCATATAGCCATATGGCATTATAGCCATATGGATATACACACATATACATACAGCTATATATATATATGTATGGCATTTATAGCCATATGGATATACACACACATATACATACAGATATATATATAGCTATATGTGTATATGTGCATATATACATATATATATGTCCGTAGCAATATTGAAGGCCGAGGAAAGAATACTCTTCTTAACAGAATATCAGCTAATAAATAGAAGAAAAGTTAGAGTAGAATATTACAATTTTGTGTCCAATTATATCAATAAATATAGCAAGGATCATTAATGACTTCTAAAACAATTGAGTCAAATATTAGGAGAGAAGACATTCACAGGGTCCCAAATTATTGCCACACAGAATACTTATTAATTAGAGACATAAAAAAGTTCTTTTACAAAGGAGCAATCTGGTGGATACTACCTTGTGTGAGCAAATGAACACTTGGAGGTACACCATTGCTGGCAAATTCTACTTTCTTATGCAGATATTTACTGAACATCTGCAATGAGTGAGCAAGAGACTTTGAGACTTTGAGATACAACGCCACAGTGGGAATTCAGATTTGATGGAGGCTTTTCTGAGAAAGTAGCAATCGTAAAGCACAGAGAGAGAGAAACCTTCTTCGCAAAGGCTGTGGAGGTGGTGGGATCTGAGACAAGGTATACCCGTTAGATACAAAAATGCATGCAAAGACTCTGGGGCAGGAGGGTGTATGATTCATTGGAAGAATTGAAAGAACCAAAGTGCCTAAAATATACAAGTATTAGTTTTCTATTTCTGCTATAACAAATTACCACAAACTTTGCATCATAAACACACTTTTACTATCTTACAGTTCTGTAGGTCAGAAGTCCAGTACAGATTTCACCAGGATACCATTACGTTGCCTAGGGCTGCATTTCCTTATGGCAGCTCTAGGGGAGAATCTGTTTCCTGCTCATCGAGTGGTTGGCATAATTCAATTCCTTGCAGTTTCAGGACTGAGATCCCCCTTTTCAAGTGTATAGTCCACTGAGGACTGTTCCCAGTTCTGGAGGTCACTTCATTTCTTAATTCATGATTCCCATCCTCATTTTCAAAGCCAGCAATAAAGAAGGAGTCCTTCTCAAATTGTATCTCTCTCTGACAGACGGGAAAGGTTCTCTGCTTTGAGAAACTCGGGTAATTATACTGGACCCACCCTGATGATCCAGGACTATCTCCCCTTCAGAAGGCCCTTGACCTTACCCGCATCTGCAAAGGTAACATATTCACAGGTTCTGAAAACTAGCGCACAGATGCCTTGGGGGGTCATTATTCTGTCTAGCACAAAAGGAGATAATGAGGATAGCTCAAGATGGAATACTTTCACTTGTCTGATGGTTCTAGTTAGGTTGCTCGTTTTATTTATTTATTTTTTATTTTTTTGAGACGGAGTTTCGCTCTGTCGCCCAGGCTGGAGTGCAGTGTCGCGATCTCGGCTCACTGCAAGCTCCGCCCCCCGGGTTCGCGCCATTCTCCTGCCTCAGCCTCCCGAGTAGCTGGGACTACAGGCGCCTGCCACCATACCCGGCTAATTTTTTGTATTTTTTAGTAGAGACGGGGTTTTACCATGTTAGCCAGGATGGTCTCGATCTCCTGACCTCGTGATCCAGCTGCCTTGGCCTCCCAAAGTGCTGGGCTTACAGGCATGAGCCACCGCGCCCGGCCTGGTTGCTCGTTTTAAATCAAGAAACCTTCAGTGACTCACTATTACCTAAATAATTAAATTCAAACACATTTGCTTGTTTTGCAGACTTTACATGATCTAGGCAAAATCCTGATGTATGTTTTTTATACACCCGTTTTCCTGCCACCTTGGGCTATCTATTCTGGATTCTCTGGTAAAGATTCCCATAATTTCTTGCCTTCACACTTTTTCTCAGGCTGTCCTTTCTCTTTGGAATGTCCTTTTCTCCGTCTCTTGATGTTTCATCCCTTCTTTGAGGTTCATCTCCTCCATACTCAAACTTACCCAGCATGAGCACATGCACACACACACACACACACACACAAATACACACACCCAGCCCTTTATAGTATTCTGTGACAATGACGTTCTGCATTGCATGGCAGTGAATACATTTTCTTATTGTCCTATTACATTACCCAGCTTCTTAAGGGTGAGGGCCGTGATGGGGATGGGAGTACTTGTTGGTTTTTTGCCTTCTTTCTGATTGCTTAATGCTATTGTCATACTAGAGGCTAAATATTTTTATATCATCCCTGGCAGTGACTACTTCTCATTTATCTTTGTAACCTCCACAGAGCACATAAATATGCCCCACCCACCCCCACACACAACAAAGTGAATGAATCATCCTTGATAAATTGTATTTTGTTGGTTTCCAGCTTGTCAAGATATTTGCAAATTTTGATCCTGACACATTACGCATTAATTATGACTTCCAGATTTTTTTATGCAACTTTAACTGGAGTTTCAAAAGCTCAACTTTATTTCTGTTTCCTGTGAATATCATACTAGATTCTATACACTAAGCATATTTCTTCTTTGCTCTTCCTTTTCCAATATAGAAAACACACACACACTAAATAGAAAGGCAAACCACCAGACTGACTTTGTTGTCTTAAACATATCTGTTTAATGCCATGCCAGGTACATTCTTGGTACCAATTTTCCTAATACCAGAACCTTTATGATATTCTCCTCTTTTGTATTCCTCCAGTGTGTGCACATCCTGAAACCCAACAGATGTGAGCTTTGAAAATATAAGCCATCATTTTTTGTACTTTTTTCCCTTACATTCTTTCCTTTGTTTCTTCCTTTTCCTGCTTATTCTTTCTTATTTGGGTTGTATTTCTTTTTGTATTTGGAAATTCGAAAATCACAGAATAAGGAAGCACATAATCATCACCTATAATCCAATAACACAGAATAAATTATAAGTATTTGAATTAATTCTCACCTTATGTTAATGTTTTTTAAAATTACATGCGTAATATGTGAATTTTCCTTTTTTCAAATACATACATTAGTGGTTAAAATGGTTTCTCCCTTCAGTTTTACTAATCCTATTTGGTTTGCATCTGTTTGGTTCTTTTATTGATAGATTAAGATATGTATTATTCCATCAAAAGTTTATTTTAGAAAAGTAAAATATTGTTTAAAACTTTCCATTGAAAATTTACCTTGAAAAAGTAAAATGTTATTTTAAAAGTAAAATATTTCATTACAAACTTCATGGTAACTTGGCCATACCTTCCCCCACCCCAAGTTTCCATTAGGCAGACAGCTTTTTTATAAGTTGTATTAAAAAAAAACCCTTTCTTATCATACTATTTTTTTTTAGATCTGTCCATGTATTAATTCATCCTTTAATCACAAACAGTATTCAGACCTATTTCATTTTTCTAATACCCTCTTCGAAGACATTTATTTTGCTTCCAATTTTGCTCACTGCTGTAAAATATGTTGGCCCTCATAACTTTGTGTACATGAGATAGTGTTGTCCTAGAAAGGCAGCATGTGGTGAGTGGTTGAAATCAGGCTCAGGAGCCAGACAGCCGCATGTCAAAGACTGGTTCTGCCAGGTGACCTTGGCCAAGGTTTTCATCTGTCTGCACCTCAGTTTCCCCACCCAAAAAGTGAGAATAACAATAGCTTCTACACCACACAGTTGTTATGGGAATCGGATGAATTCATATACAAAAAGGTCTTAGAATAGTCACCTTTACTAAGTAGGCACTCCAGGCATGTAAGCTGTCATGATTATTGTTGTCCTATGGCTGGCTTAAGGAAGACAGTAATCAGTCAAACCTGTTTTTCAGGTTTATTAACTGATATTGCCAAATTGCTCCTAAGGGGGGCTGCAACAATATTATATCCACTTCCTAACAATCTTTCCAGTATTTGATATTGTCTGATGTTTTAATGTTTTTGTTATTTAAAAGGATGAAAAGATAATAACATCTCTCATATGGTTTGGCTGTGTCCCCACCCAAATCTCATCTTGAATTGTATCTCCCAGAATTCCCCTGTGTTGTGGGAGGGACCCAGGGGGAGGTAATTGAATAATAGGGGTAATCTTTCCCATGGTATTCTGGGAATAGTGAATAAGTCTCATGAGATATGATGGGTTTATCAGGAGTTTCCACTTTTGCTTCTTCCTCATATTCTCTTACTGCCAGCACGTAAGAAGTGCCTTTCACCTCCTGCCATGATTCTGATGCCTCCCCAGCCATGTGGAACTGTAAGTCTAATTAAACCTCTTTTTCTTCCCAGTCTCAGGTATGTCTTTATCAGCAGTGTGAATACAGACTAATACAATCTCTTTATTGTAATTAGAATTTTTCTGATTACTGGTGAAATTGATTTCCTTTTAAATGTTTATTGGTCATTTGCATTTTATCTTTTCTAACTTGTCTATTCATATTATCTGCTTATTTTTCTACCAGGTTGTCTTTTTTTGTGGTTGTTAATAGGAGTTCTTTGACTATTTTGGATTCTAAACTCTAGCCGCTTGTACATGTTGCAGATGTGAGGAAAATCAACATCTTTACAATACCAGCCATTCTATTAACATACATATCACATTGCCCATTAATACTAAAGTGTTCTCTTATTCCTTTAGTAAAGCTATATAAAAGCTTATTCATGAAGATCTTACTCCCCTTCTCCCCCCTTTTTGTTTTCTTTTTTGTTTTAAAGTTTTTGGTCTTTTTGAAGCAAAAAATGTCTTTTTAGGGCAACTTTAATATCATTTGTTTAGTGCGCTAAGGTAAGGGAAAGTATTCTGTTTATTTGAAATGGATGAAGACTTCCTTTCTGAGATCAGTTTTCACAAATGTTCCATGTGCTTGAAAATTATGTGTATTATTTAGTTTTAATTATGTGTATTTATTATTTAATTTCTTAAGTAGATATTTAATGAGATGCTCTGCTTTTTGAGAGTTAAACTTCTTTTACAAAATCTATAAATTACATGGAAGAAGCATGTTATTTGGTATATGGATGAGAAGAATAGAGAGACAAAAATAATTTTATTAAAATGTAGACACTCCCCAACTTACACATATAAGTTGTGCTCTAAGATTTTAATTGTAAACTGATTATCTGGAATTTAGAGGATGCTTGTTCTCTCAAGCCACAAATACGTCATTTGCCCAATACTTTTTTTTTTTTTTTTTTTTTGAGATGTAGTTTCACTCTTGTTGCCCAGGCTGGAGTGCAGTGGCACTATCTTGGCTCACTGTAACCTTCACCTCCCGGATTCAAGTGATTCTCCTGCTTCAACCTCACAAGTATCTAGGATTACAGGCATGCACCACCACATCTGGATAATTTTGTATTTTTCGTAGGGACAGTGTTTCACCATGTTGGCCAGGCTGGTCTCAAACTCCGGACCTCAGGTTATCCACCCACCTCAGCCTCCCAAACTGCTGGGATTACAGGCGTGAGCCACCATGCCCAGCCCAACTATTTTTGATTGACATGATGAAGTCCTCTCCTTTGTGTTATTACTTGTTCCTTGGCACCTATTTTCCAGAATGTTATTCTTTCATCTCCCATTAATTGTTCAGAGATTGGTAATGATGAATTTATTTTAAAGCAGAGTGAAACAGGAAAATTTCCCTTGTCCCTCTCGCAGGGCATGTGATGGGATTGCGGCTTACTTCTTGAGTGCCCCACTCTTCAAACTTCTAGGGGAGTATACAGGCAGGCTGTGGGGCTCTGACCCCATGGCAGTGTCTAGGCGTGAATATTTACAGCTGAAGCCCCTGTGGGCGTGTGTTACAGGGTGCTCTTTTAGTTTAGCTATTCCTAGGTGGCTTGTGTTAGCTCAATTAGACCCCGGCCTTACCACCAGAACAGAGGCCTTTCTGTATCCTGGCGCTCTTGCCTTTGTGTACCGGAAGAATCGGATCATACGTAGGCTTGGAGAATGAGTGCAAGGTTTTATTCAGTGGAAGTAGCTCTCAGCAGATGCGGGAGCCAGAAGGGAGATGGTTTTCCCCGGGAGTCAGGCCACTCAGCAGCCAGGGCTCTCTTCCAACCGCATGAGCCAAACTGCACCTTGTTCCCGCCCTGCACCTGGTTGATGGCCTGCCAGTGTGCCTACATCTGTCCTTTGCTGATGTGTTCCTCTCAATGTCCAGCCGCTTGTGTGTCTGCCTGTTAGGGTCTCAGGGTTTTTGTAGGCACAGGATGGGGGCGTGACAGGCCAGGGTGGTCTTGGAAAATGAAACATTTGGGCAGGAAAAAAAAATACCTGTCCTCACCTAGGTCTGTGGGCGCAGGCCCAGGGGTGGTGTCCTAGCCAGGGACCATGCCCTCCTCTACACAGCATTTCCCTTACCCCTTTCTGTATCACTAGGTTGCAGAGCTCATAGCTGAGCACATTTTTCCTCATTCGATTTCCTCTGCCCTTGTTAGAAGTCCATTGTTTTTACATAATCCAAATTTAGGCCATCACCTCAGCCTTTTCAATACCAATAAAATTGATAGCTGGTCATTTCCAATCCTTTTCTCTTTTTCAAAGCAAAACTGAAAAAGTTATTGTATTTATCTGAAAGATGAATGTTGAGTCTTAAGAAATAATAAAAGTTCCCACTCAAATGGAATGATAATTTCTTGTATTCTGATGATTAGAGGGCAAACTCCTAATAACTTAGAAATTGAACACAAATACTTGAGAATTTGGTCATCAGCCTCTAAAGAAACAGTTTTCTTCACATACTTTTCATATCGTGGTTTTTGATAATTCACAGTAGTTCTAGAGGTAATTCACCATAAGACATTGATAAAAATAAAGATGACAAAGGTAAATTGCGGGAAAAATATTTCTTAATTAGTTACTTGTACTTGGCTCATTTGTATTTGTATGGGTTCATTTGCTTTTCAAATATATTTTCTCTTTTTAAAACAAGTATTTCAGGCCACCTTATTTTTACCCATAGATGCCCATTTCCTCCAACAAGAATGTTATTTCCTTTATCCCAGTGTACAAAGACAAAAGGCTTCATATTCATAGTTATGTATTTGTATTAATGTCTCTTTCTCCCTAAATATATATATAAATATATATGTAATTAACATTCCAAACCTACTGTTCAAGACAAAACTAAAGAAAATTTTAAGATTTTAAGGTGAACTGTTTTATTTATAATCTCCAGAAAATGAAATAATCCAAATATCAGTTTACTAATGAATGGATAAACAGATGATGGTATAAACATACAATGAAATCCTACTCAGTAATAAAAAGAGACTATTAATACACACAATGAGGATGAGTCTTCAAACTTTATACTACATAAAATAAGCCAGGAAGAAAATACTATACATTGTGTTATTCCACTTATATGACGCTATGGGAAAGGCCAAAACAGGAGTTGGTGGTGGGGGAGAGTAGGGATCGATTGAAAAGGATACAAAGTTTTCAGGCTAATAGAAATATTCTATAATTCAATTGTGGTAGTAATTAAATAAATGTGTACATTTTTTGAGATTCATAGAACTGTACTCCTAAAAGGGATACACTTTATATAAACTATAGCTCAAAAAACTGATTAAAAATAATTTAAGAAAAACCATTAAGTTCATGTTCATGGATAAGATTCCACTCAGAGCTCTGAATCTTTAAACACAGCCAATTGATAGAATGTTCTTGTGCCTCCAGAATGGTTTTGACATTGGAGCATTTTGGCTCTTTTTTTCACTACTGGGTATTTGATGAGCCCTGTGTATATATGTAGCCCTGGATAATAAGCCTTAAAGGATCTCTAGAGAGCCTCACAAATGCTAACAGTGTGAGATGAGGAAAGAGTGTGATATCATAGAGTGAAAGACGAAAACATTTCTCTCTTCTGCCCCCAACCCAGTTATTCTTTTATACTCAATCTGTAGACCTCCTGCTGTTGGGCCAATCCATATCATTTTCTGGACACTGTTGCAAAATGCAAAGACTTTCTGTCCCTTACAGTCCAAAAAACAGGGTCAGTTCAATAATTAAGGGTACCAGTACAGCTTAATTACCAAAACTCCAAACTTGCTTCAAAGGGAAACCTTTCTCCCTGTCATCTTGGTGCTGCTTCAGACTGGGGTGTCTAAAGTGGGGAAGAGGAAAGGCCGGCCTCCCTATCCTCCCTGCAACTGCTGGGGCAGCTCCTCCCCTCCTCCTATCCCACGCCACCTTTGACTCCTCTCAGATTTTGGGGGGAAGCACATGGGGAGTGGAGAATAGGAGTAGAATGCCACAAATGAAATCTGCATCTGTGCCCTGTGGATCTGGCAGATTCCCAGTGAGAGGTGTTAAGTATTTCCCTAAAGTTCCCTCAAAAAGGAAGATGTGGCTATGAGTTCTTTAATAAGGGGAAGGTCCCTTCTCTGGCAACTCACAAAGCTGAACGCCAGTTTCTGCTTCTGATAGTATATCTTCCATCTTGTTCTACCTATCCCTCCTACGGAGGCTAAGGGAAGAAAATTTCTCTTGCCCTATATGGTCAATCCATTCATACCCTTGAAGAAGATGAAGACTAAAAATGATCTAGTTTCAAAATATCCTATTATGTCTTGGGTAGCACTTTACTTTGAGATGTAAGTACCTGGCACTTGTTGCTTTATTCCATTTGCTAAAATGTACCTCTTCTTGTCAGTTTCCCAGCTGAAATAGAAAGCCCATATTTACCCAAACAAATGGCATACAGATATAGCAAAAATTATGGAGGTGGAATACAAATGACCAAAATTGAGAATCAGGTTAAAAAGAAAGAGGAGACTTTACAGGAGACATTTGAGGGTACCAAGAATTTGTTTCCAAAGCATTCAGTGGAAATGTTTAGAGGGAAGTTAGTAATGACATGCAGAATGGCAGGTTCCAGGAGGGAGATGGACAGAGCAGTGAGGGGCTAAGAAACAGAAGCCCAGTGGCCTGAGCAGTCTCATGTAGGTCATCTGTTGAAAGGAGGGGAAGCATTCTTGGGGTGAAGAGGGGAAAGCAGCACCCGAGTATATAGTTCAGTCTTGCCATAGGACTGCCCAGGTTTGCCTCATTCTATGGGGAGTGTTTGGCAGAAAGAGAAACTTGTATTTTGGTCTAGTGACAGAGAGGGTAATGAAAAAAGGCAGATAATGAAGAGGGATCAGCACTGCAAACAGGATTGGCTCAAAATGATTTTCAGGCCAGAGAGTTGTCTTGAAGACTGGCAGTTTTAGAAATTGATTTGCAAGTTTGGTTAAAGCTCCCATTATCTTCTGAAACCCAGTAAAGAAATCAGTGCAAGACTGCCTTAAAAAAAGTGGTGGAGGCCATCACTTAAATTCTATAGGTTGGACTGAGCAGAATAAATGTGGTACCTTCTTGGCAAGAAGAAGGATGGACCAACCCAATAGGTCTTTTCTGCTCTTAATTCCTATGATTAAAACACTCTTGCTCCCATCCTCTTGTAATTTCTAACAATTTTAAAAATCTCTGCTAGTGGAAAAACATTTATGAGGAAATTGAAAGTAATTACAGCGTGTTTTTTTTTTTGTCTAGAATATATAATCAATTTCATTTATTTCCCAAGTAAAACATTCACTGCAGGTTCAGTCATTGAAAGACAACTTGATTATCTGTTCCACAGAGCAAGTCAGGAGATATCATTCTCAGTCCTCAATCATAACTTCCTCTTATGAAATGTTTATGCCCTAATCATTTTCATATTGAACAGGGGTCTGTTTAACACATAACATTTAATGTATGTGTTTCTTGAAAAACACTCTGAATAGGCAGCATGTAATGTCATTGGAAGTAATTGCTGTATTTAGCTCCTTTGCTTTTTTAAAAAATCTATTTTTCTCTCCTCTAGAGCTACATAATGTCCTGAACATTTTAAATAAAGTGTATTGTTCCACACTTCAGAACCAAATTATACATGTTCTTAAAGGCAGGTTAAATAACGTCCCACATATAGTAATGTCAGGATACTATTGGAGAAAGAAAAGACAGGGGGACTAAGGAGAGGAAATAAAAATGTACCTTCCTGTCTAAAAGTCACCTTAAATTAACTGTACACTAAAAAACACTAAGTTTTTTATATATTAAAATGATTTTGTAAAAGTACAAATAAAAACTTTTAACTAAATGAAAATCTATGTACGTGACCTACATTTACCCAGGCCTCCTCAGTCTGGGCTTAAACTGGGGGAATAGTAATAGCTAGCAAACCTGAAATGTCTATAACTACAGCAATGGATCTACCACTGTCATGCTTTGAATATTTGTCCCCTTCAAAACTCATGTTGAAACTTAATCCCTGATTGTGGCAGTATTGAGAGGTGAGGGCCTTTAAGAGGTAATCAGGTCAAGAGGACTTTGCCCTCATGAATAGACTAATTCATTCATGGATTAATGGATTGATTGGTTAACATGGGAATGGGACTGGTGGATTTATAACAACAAGAAAAGAGACCTGGGCTAGCACACTCATCCTCCTCACCATGGGATGCCCTGCACTGACTCAGAATTCTGCAGAGTCCCCACCAGCAAGAAAACCCTCACCAGATGCGGCCCTTTGACCTTGGACTTCTTAGCCTCCATAACTGTAAGAACTTTTGTTCTTTATAAATCACCTAATTTCAGACATTTTGCCATAAGCAACAGAAGATGAACTAAGACATTGTCCCACCAGCAAAACTACTCGTATACAGCCCCCAGATCCCTTAATTCTGATTGAAAGGTACACATGAAAGATCATGAAACCACCAGTGTCTCTTCTATCTCATTTGACATCTTGGCGCAAATTAGGAAAAGGTACCCTTCCTCTAGGCAGATGCAGTCTGCCTAGAAGAATTCAAAAATGAAACTAGAGCTGGATTTCAGCCCAACTGGCCCAACTGTAGGCAGCAGTCCTGCTAACTCACCTCTTCAACTGGAGGCATCCAGTAAACCCTCACTCTTGTAGGCCTGTCTCCTTACTGCTGAGCGACTGTGGGTGGTGACTGCCCCTGTAAAACCTCTTCCTGCTATCTCCTACTGTGGACATCATAGTTGATCTCTGATTCGATGTCAACAATTTTTGTGTTAAAAGTGTGGAAGAATAAGTCCCCCTCAAATCATGTGATACATGTTTTCAAACATACACACCAGAGCAAAACTATGTCCTACATATTTAGTAGACTTTCAGTGACATAGCTCTATTTGAGGCATTAGTGCATTTGTTTTGTAAGAAATTGCAAAATTGTCTTCCAAAATGGCTATTCCAGTTTGCATTTCTGCCAGCAGTGAATGAGAGTTCCTCTTACTATATATCATCACCAGCATTTGGTGTTGTCAGTGTTTTGGATTTTGGCCATCATAATAGGTGTTTAATGTTATCTCGTTGTTTTAATGTGTAATTCCCTAATGATGTATGATGTTAAACATCTCTTCATATGCATATTTCCCATCTGTATATTTCCTTTGGTGAGGTGTCCATTCAGGTCTTTTGCACATTTAAAAAAATTAGGTTGTTCATGTTCTTGTTGAGTTTTTTTGTTTGTTTGTTTTTTGTTTTGAGATGGAGTTTCACTCTCATTGCCCAGGCTGGAGTGCAATGGTGCAACCTCGGCTCACCACAATCTCTGCCCCCTGGGTTCAAGCGATTCTCCTGCCTCAGCCTCCTGAGTAGCTGGGATTACAGGTATGCACCACCACACCCGGCTAATTTTGTATTTTTAGTAGAGATGAGGTGTCTCTACTCATGTTGGTCAAGCTGGTCTGGAACTCCCGACCTCAGGTGATCTGCCCGCCTCAGCCTCCCAAAGTGCTGGGATTACAGGCGTGAGCCACCACACCTGGCCTATGTTCTTGTTGAGTTTTAAGAGTTCTTTGTATGTTTTAGATTATAATCCTTTATCAGATATGTCTTTTGTGAGGGGGGATCTTGCATGATACTACTACACCAGCAGTGCCACTAGATATGTCTTTTGTAAATATTTTTACCCAGTCTGCAGCTTGTCTTTTCATTATCTTGATCAGTGTGTTTTGTATAGCTCTATCTCCTTAAGAAACGGATATGTGTTCCGTAAGCCCAATAAAGAGACAATCTGAGTGAGGGCAACTGTTTAACTCAACTCCGTCCCCACTTGGGAAGCTAAGGGCCTGTTTTTCCTTCTCAGTGATTTGAAGTTCCTAGCCCAGGGGATGAGGATTTCCAACTTGTCCAGTCATTATCTCGCTCAGTAAGTTCATGAGGTTCTCAAAGAGAGAATTTTTTCCTTCCTTTTATGCCAGCTGTCAGGACGTTGCCAGATACATCAAAATCAAAAGAAAAATGTAATTTAGCCCTCTGCTTAAGGAGCCTAACTATGCACTTTGATAAGACTTAGAGGCAAAACAAGTAAACAAAACTGTGTAACACAAGGATATACATTACTCAATTATGAAGTGAGGCCACAGTGGACTTGAACAAGATAAAATTGCTTCCATCCTCCAATTGAATGGTTTGAATTGATCCAAAGTTTTCCCACTGTATTTTGTTAATTTGGAGGGATTATGTTCTTGTGGCCCCTCTGTCTCCTGAATTCCGAGTCTAATGTGTTCTGTGTGCTGTATGTTTTGCTCCCCATCAACCTAGACAAAAATTAACATTTCACTGGTTTTCAGGCCCCAAATAAAACCACTCATTTAAAGTTTTCATTTTTGCTGTTACACTTGTAATTTCCAAGCGTTTTTCTTCCCTGAATTTTCCTTTTTTTCAGTATTTTTAATTATATTCTTGGGTTGATGCATATTCTCTCATCGCTCAGAATATTGAGTGTTTTTTTGTTTATTTTCCAGCCTTGCCTCTCTGCTCATTTTCAAGTTTTAGCACTTAAAAGTGAATCGAAGTCTATGTGGTTATTCTCCACATGTCTCTCCAGACTCATTCTCCACCCTGTCAATGCCCCAGAGGCTGAGTGCTATGAACCACATCATCTGGGATACATAGCTCTGTGGCTTCCTGTTAGGTTCAACCAATGGAGGCACTGGCAAGAAATCAAAATATAGCCGGACAGGGAGACGGAGTCATCAATTCTCCCTTACTCTCTACCCAGTCATTGTTCAGCCAGTGGCTCTCTTCCTCCATTTCAGGGTTTCTTAACCTCAGTCCTATTGATATTTAGAGATGGAGAGTTCTTTGTTATAGGGTCTGTACTATGCATAGTAGGGAGTTTAGTGGCATCTCTGGTTTGTATCTTCTAGATTCCAGTAGCATCTTCTTTCCCCAGTGTATTGATAACTAAAAATATTTCTAGACATTGCCAATGTCTCATATGGGGAAAATTGCCCCAGGTTGAGAATCACTGTTCTATTGCTGTGACAGAAACAACCCCTCTTCCATAGCTGCAGCTCTGACTGAACTCTGGTGGTAACATTCTCTCCCATGCTCTTTCAGGTCTTCCCATTCATGCTCATCCCTGAATTGGTCACCATTTTTAAAAAATTCCTTTAAATTTTTCCACCTTTATATAAGTAATCCCTTCATTAAAGTCTCTTCAGTTAATCCTTTTAGTGTGTACCACCTATTTTCTGCTGAGACCTCATTGCTCTAGAAGTTCTGTGCAAATGGGTGTGTTGTGTTGAGTGTGGTCATCGCTGGAGGGTGATCTGGATGAGCTGCGGCCTTGAGAACCCACATCTCAGTACCTTTAGGTACTTTCGGTGGACTGGGTCCTCAAATACCTTTTGATCTCCTTCTTGGAAGAAATATGATTGGCTGCCAGTGTTCTGGGAACCTAGTGGGAAAAGAAGGTTGAAGGTCTCAATATTCAGTATGAAACCTTTCACTTAATCTTTTTGTTTATAGTATCCTCAGTGTGAACTGGGCCTAGTGTTTTCAAGTCCAGAGACACTGTTTGCACTCTCACCAAAAACAAAACAAAAAAAAACAAAAAAAAGCAAACAAAAAAACCCCCAAACAAACAAAACAAAAAATGAGATTCAAAGTCTTCTGTCCAAATCTTTTTTACTTGAGTCCTACCTTTATCACTTCAGAGATACCTGGGATTACCAATTCTGGCTAGCTCCTTGTAGGTCTCTAACTAGAGATCTGTTCCTCTAAGAGCTTTTTCTGACCATCTAAGACAGTGCTAGGAACCACCTTAGGGGCTATCAGAACACCTTCTGCTTACCCTTTCTGTATGTTCTTTCCTCTCCCAACCAGTATTGCATGCATTCTAAAACACAGGAGTGTGTCAGATTTCTCAGGCTTTTGGAAAGAAAAGTAATTGATCTCAGGTTTCATGTAGCACTTAGAACAATATATTTCTACGACTCTTTACTCTATCTCCTTCAATAAAATGGGGCTCGTTGGGAGCAGGGATCATGTCCTGGTCATCACTCAATCTCCAGCATTTAGAACAGTGCCTGTCACATAAATATATGTGACTGAATGTCCAATTACTACTGGCTTTATGTTGATTACACACTCATTAGCACACACAGCAGGTTCTGATTAGATGATGAGTCTTACCAAGAAGTCAGATTTTTTATGAGCTGATCTGATGACTTAGGGTCAAAATTGAGGGCATTCCTCATATGCAAGCCCAGAGTCAAATGGGTCCCCAGAGGTTGGAGTTTCTTTTTGAGTCTGTCACTTTTCCCTTTGTTTTCGGAACTGCTCCATGCATTTGAGATAATTGCTTGAATATCTGGATCAACAGATAAGAAAATAATGTTTATACAATAGGTAATAAAGAAGTAATTTGACCAAAGTTTTAGCTAAATTTTGCTAATGAACAATTATGATAAACCAGTTTTGAAACAGTTTTGAGTGTCTTGCTAGTTAGGAGTAAATCAAGGCCTACATAGATTATATCTTTTTTCTGCAGATTCCTGTCAACAAGGTGATCAGGAGAGATTTGTCAATTGGTATTCCCAAAATGTTGGACAAGAAGTGTGAAGCCAGGATTTATTCAACATAAATCCACATTCCAGTTGACTCTTCTAGGTAGAAAGTGGTATTTTTAGCATTTAATTGATGCAACTGACTTTAGAAAGAGGAACTTAGAGACTTTTACATAAAGCTCACAACTTTTGAGGCCAATGTCACATATCACTTTCCAGACTGCAGATTTCTCAAATCCATTACCCCAAACACATTGTTTTTTCAAATGAAAGGTTTCACCCTCTGCTTTCTAACACTGGAAATTCTGTACTTATGCCAGGTGTAAACCCAACCCCAATTATTGCCCTCACACACTCTGACCCCACACAGGGCAATCTTATCCACATTTGCAGGTGGGATCCAGGGAGCTCTTCCCTTTAGCCAGAAGTAGTTCTATGATGTCTTCATGGCTGTGGCTCAGCCTCTTTGATTGCATTTGTCACTGTGTCTGTGTGAATATATGCCAGAGCCTTCCAGAGAGAAGCCTAACAAAAGATGTCTTGTGTTCAAAATATAATCCTCTCAACCATGTTGGAAGGATTTCCCCCAACAGATGGTCCATTCATGAGATATTTATGTCCCACTTCCATATCCATGCTTGTCACAGTCAAGAAGCCTATATTGGATCTTCAGTGCACTTTCTCCTTGTTGCCCTGCTACGTATCTCATCTGAGTCACTAGTATTTCCTATTTTCCATACCATGCTATTACTGTACACTTGCTGCCTCTTGAGAGAAACCACAGCAACACAGCCAGCTCAAGGCTGCTGTTGCTCTGGTTGTGACAAGCTGCCGTCATGTGAGCTCCATATGGCTTCTCTCTCTGCTCTGCCTCATCCGGACAGAACAGGCTGATGGTACAAGGGCCCCACAGACTGCACAGCTGGCAAAACCCATTTTAGGAACACCAATCTCTTTGAAAGCTTGGATATGAATTTAAAATGAAGCAAATTAAGAAATGTAATTATCTTTGGCCATAAAGTCTCTAAAAATTACTGAGAAAAGAAAGAAAGAAAATTAAAGAACTTATTTTAACTAAAAATGACCAAGATCCACAACAAACACTTAAATGAGTCCTATTTCAGCATTTTTGGCTCCAGGACAGGATGGCAAAACAATATTTCCAGAGCCAGAAAATTCCCCCAGATATTCAAACTTAATTTCTTTGCAGAAAGATTGGGATTCACCACTCTGAAGAACGCCTTTAGTGTGAGGCTTCAAAAACTGGATGAAGAGCTGAAGTCTAGCATTCTCAGGATTTACTAAATGTGAGACTCCTTAATGGGCTAACTACCACTAAATCCCTCTAATCCCTAGGGTTTACTTCACAGCAAGAACATGTAAGCATTGCTCTTTGTCATGGTGCTGCCCAGTCACAACTCAGAGAGGCAGGCTAAATTGCCAATGAGAATACAAGAAATGTATCCTCTGGAGAAGCAGGTGATTTAATTTTAGTCTTTCATCAGTGAAAACAGCAACATCTTAAAGGAGGAACTTTTTGCAACTCAGGAATAAATGTAAAAATAGACCCTATTTTTAAAAGATAATGTGGTTTATTAATTGTGCTGTTAACGTTCTCTTGTTCTGCAGTGTTCTTATGTCAAATGCCACCCCCACAGCCAAGTGAAAGCAACTGTCAGTGGCAACCTGTGAGGTCACACAGAATCCCTTCTGAGCAGCAAGCCAAGAGGCACTTGGTTCCAATCAGCAAGATAAGCCATCTCTTCCTGACCAACGTTAATGCCAGTAATCTTCAGAGCAGCCTTCAATAATCCTCCGGGTTTCTCAGAGCACAGTGCTGGGAACTCGTGATTGATTGAGCCTCTCCCTTGCTCCTATTATCGTAGAAGGACAGATGCGATTGTCATGTTTAATATCCTGTTAGGGGAAAGGTCCTAGCCAAGAATTACATTGGAAAAAGGCACTGGCTCCCATGAAATTAAGATAGTCCTAAGGAAAACCATCACTTGAACTTAATGACAAAGCAGATGTTTTGTGTTTTTCATTTGCCTTTGCTTGTATTTTCCTGGAATTCTTTAATAGAGAATTGGGAAGCTCAGTGCTTTTGGCCAATGTTATCGCTCTTAGAAGAAGAGATGGCTGGGAGGAAACTGACATTGATATCACTGGTGCTGTAGCTCAAATACTACTGGAAAAATATTATTCACAAGAAAAGGATTCATATTAGCCCCTTTTTTCAAGTTTCCAGGTTAGCCCTCCTCCTCTAGAAAGCCTATTTACTTCTCACAAGTACCAATAAATTTTACTCCTGAAATGTTTAAGTTATTGGGTTTTGCTGCTATGAGTAAGTCTCTTTTGAAGTGCAAAGGACATGAGTGGTACTGAAGAGCCACTGCAGGAGCGGTTGGGAGGGCAGGCCCTTGAGCCAACCCCTCTGCATTTAATATCACCACGGTGCTTTCTATTTACCTATGTGACTTTTAACAACCTCTTGAAGGTTGTATTTTCTCATCTATAATATGGAGAAAAAATATTATCTATCTTTTGGGTTGTGCAGATTAATTTTTTTCCTTCAAATATTCATGTCTTTCTCATTTGTCTTCATCTTAGCAAATGGCATCCCATCCATGAAACTGTCCAAGCTAGAAGTCAGGGAGTCACCCTTGATCATTCTATCATCATTCACATTCCCTAGCCAATTGTAATTAAGCCCATCAATTCTACCCCATAGCAAACTCACTGACTCCCCACAGCTCTTGCATGTGAGCCAATGGTGCTTGTGTTTTATTGCTCTAGATCCTCTGTAGCTTCTCTCCGGCAGCCTTGTCAGGCTTTGTTACCTCTGGACTGGTCTATGCAGGAGCCACCCTCACATGTCTTCCTGCCTCTAATCTTGCCCACTGTAAGCTAGCATCATAAAACAGTCTGGGTGATAGTTTAGAAGTGGAAATCATGTCACTCTTCTGTGTAGAACCTGGTAACGACTCCTACCATACTGAAAATACATGCCAAGTTCCTCACGTCACCCTTGTATCCCCTCTAGCCTTATCTTGCACACATCAGTTATCTTCTTGCCCTGCCTTGGATGTAGGTCCCTCAGACCTCACAGGACACTGCCTAACTCGGACCTCAGTTTGAATACCATCTTCCGAGAGAAGCCCTCTCTGACCATACTATCTAAACTAGAGCATCATAATTTCACTTGCTCTATTTGCTTCATGGTATTTATCAGAATCTAAATTCTTGTTTATTTACTCCATTATCCATTACCTGCTTCCCTAGTAGAAGCTGGTGCTCCATGAGAAGAGCAACCCCATGGGTATTGTTCAATAGAACCCCTTTGAGAGTTCAGAACAGTGCCTGGAGGCTCCCAGTAAATTCCTGCTGAATGAGTGGATAGAAATGGTCTGTGTTCAAGAAGTACTTAACAAATGTGAGCTTCTTTTATGATGATTAAAAACAAAGAATACCTCTTCCATCCTGGTCATTTGTGTTGGCAAAGTTTTAAATTTAAAATTGCTTTTGTGTTTTTTCTAACAATAATGTGAGTTGTTTCAGGGGAGGAGAGACAAGATGAAGCCCATGGAGAGAGGTGAAGCCTTTGCAGCCGGTTCCACAGGATCCGGTGTCCTAGTTTTCTCAAAGAGTATTTTAGAGAGACCTGTCACTTGAGAAACAGGGCTTGGGTAAGGGTCAGACCAGAAGTCTTAACCAACAGCATTATCATTTATAACTCTTCATCTAGATGAGTGATTCATTGATATGCATCTGTTTTCTTGGCTACCAGCTCAAAAATTTTCCTAATTTTGGCAGTTCAAGCCACTTAAATGCCCCTTCAATTTCTATCCTGTCCTTGGCTCTTGGATCTTAGGAGGAAGCAATTCAAATAATTTTTGTTCGCTTTTTACCAGGCAAGCATCATGTCAGCCTTGTTCCTGACCCCACCTCATTTTCCCTGTAAGTGTGTGGAACTCTTTGGCCACGGCTCCTTCTGGCACTGCAAGTGCCTTGAGGGACAGGCTTTCTCTTTTGAACTTATATTCCCAGGGGGATCCCTGTCTTACCACTGGATACTCCAGGCTTTGTATACCTTTATGGACTATGTCTATTATATTTGGCCTGATTGGCTTGCATAGGTGTCTAAGATCTTGAATGGAGCTTGGCCTTTTGCTTAGTGGTGCTTGAATCTCATCATTCTGCACTATGCCTGGAACATCACTCATGTCCAACAATGGCTGCCATTTGAGAAGCAGCTCTTGCATCAAGCACTGTGCTGTGTGCTTTCTTTGTATCATTATTAATCCTCCAAACAACATTCCAGGCTGTTTATTCCCTGTCCCTTTGCTACAAGAGGCTCAGCCCTGCTCCTTTTCTGGCATTTGCTAATTTTCCCCCAATTCTATCTCTCCTTAGATTTGGTCCTTGCCTTTCCCTTCCAGGAAAGATTGTACTTCAAAGCCTTACTTGAAGACCCTAGAAACTTCACTTTCTTTAAAATCCAGTGAGATAAGAATCATTAACCACTTTTTGCAGGCAAAATAAAATGAGGCTTAATTTTCAGGTTAACCAAACAAGTTCTTTAATTTCTATATTTGATTCACTTAAAAAAATCTTTATTATTTCAATATACCTTTTCTTTATAAAGATTAAAGACAAGAAAGTTGAATTCCTCAAAACTACTATTATGTAATCATTTGTTTACATCCTTCCAGGTTTTTTCCTATACATATAGAATGGAGATTTTAATATTTAAGTAGTATGGCATATTGTATTGAAATATGATTATATTTTTTAGGTCCTTCCATGTGAATTTCAAATTTCTTTGAAATAAGAAAGTCACACAGAAGCAAGCACAGGAGAAAGGATTCAAACCTTTATCTTCTGCTTTCAGCTCCTCATCTGTTTATACCATTTCGTCTATGTCGTACAATGACAAGGAAAGGCCAACAGGAGGCAAATTCTCTGGTGATTATGGGAGGTAGCATTTGTAATCAGGTGCCCTACATTCTTCTGCATTATCTGATAATTTATTTTTTACTCTAAGAGAAACTCTTCATATCTCCAAGAATCTTGTGTTCCACTTTCTGAATGTATCTAGGCACAAAAATACAACATAGAATAGACAGGTTACTGTCTTGCAAGAAAATTTGGAATGGGTAATAAAATTTAGCTTTTAGAATCAGCTTTGTCTTCAAATCCTGTATTTGTCATTTTCCAGTGATGTAATCTTGCATGAGTTATGTCCTCTTCTGAGCATCATTTCTACTATGTAAAATGGAGGTAATAGTTCCCCTCTTGAAGGTGGTTCCTGGAGATTAAGTGAGAAGTATAAATGAGGCATCTAGCAGAGTGCCAGACTCATGAGAGGCCTCCAGTGAAAGACAACTATTATTATTTTCATACAATTCTATTTATTTCAAATTAAGATAAAGAGCAAATCCAACTTTAAAAGTGGTATTCGGCATGATTCAGTCATTCAAGCACTTAATTCTAAATTATGGATATGTTCAAGTTAAATTTCTTAATATAAAGAAAATCAGCAATTTCCAGTATATATTTTGACTCTTATCAAAGTTGGCCACCATCATTCTTTGGAGTCAGGACTTTAGCCAAGCTTTCTTGGTGAGCAAAGCTTATATTTACATTAATAAGTTAAACTCAGTGGTTCTCCATAAATAGGAAGGCAATTAGAATAAATGGAACAGAGGATTGAACCCTACTAATTATTTTACCTGGAAACTTTTTCTGATGGTTTTCTTTGCACGATTGCTACATAACATTGTGTTTATGGCACAGAACTTGTCTCTCTAGTTGAAATCCTTGTGATCTAGCCAATGACCCTATGTCAATGTGATCTTGTTGAAAAGAATTACAATGTACAATATATATAATTCTACCCTGTCTTTAGAATCCAAGATTAATATTTAATATGTGACTAGGCAGCCTATTGGAAGAATTGTACCTTACTAATGCTAAAGATAGTGTTTTAATCTGTTCAGGCTGCTATAACAAATAATCATAGATAGGGTAGCTTAAAAACAACAGAAATTTCTTTCTTACAGTTCTAGAGGCTTGGAAGTTCAAGATCAAGGTTCTAGAAGATTTGGTGTCAGGTGAGGGCTAATTCCTCATAGATAGCACCTTCTCACTGCTTGTGGAAGGGATACACAAGCTACCTTGAGCCTATTTTGTAAAGGCACTAATTCCATTCAGGACAGTTCTATCACATGATCTAATTACCTCCCCAAGAACCGCACCTCCTAATACCATCACCCTGGGAGCTAATATTTCAACATAGAAATTGGGGGGAGGTGGCATACAAGCATTCATACCATTGCATAAAGCAATCCATTTTAATAGAATTCCAAGAAAAGAGATTTAGAATATTTCCATTGCCATAACTCCTCTTCTGACTTTCACCTTCTTGCTTCCCTCTTACAGAGACTCTTGTGATTACACTGGGCCCATGCAGATAGTGATAATCCAGGATAACCTTCCCATCTGAAGATCGTTAACTCAATCACATTTGCAAAAGTCCCCTATACCGTGTAAGGTAACATATTCAGAGCTTCTGGTATTAGGATGTAAACATCTTATGGGGATATTATTCTGTCTACCATGCCACCCTACACAGGTAGAATCATATTTTAATGATCCACAGATTTCGTATTGTATTACAATTTAATTATATCAATGTAACTTGAAGTAAATAAATGCATTGTCTGGGACTTAAGTATTGTTAAAGAGATAGTTTTAGTTTCATCAGTATTTATTTCTTTTCCCTTCACTTTTTACATTGCCTCTGCTGTTTACATGTGACCCTGAAAAAGTCGGACTTCTGAGCGCCTCGGTTTCCTCATTTAGAAGAGTTGAACTGGCAGATCTCTAAAGTCCCATTCAGCTAGAATCTTACCCATTACTCTTTTCTATCATTCTACTTTACATTCAGAATTGCAAGGCAGCAGAGGTGCTGGTTTCTCCCCAGAGCAGCAAAAGCCAGAAGACTTGTTTTTATTTGGCTTTGCTCTGTTCTGCATGCCTAAAGCAGCCTAGTAGAGTTTGTGGTTTGGGACTAGAAAAACAATGAATAACTCAGTTTTACCTTTATACTCTCAGAAATAATTGGTACAACCTTTATAACTAGCCTAATAAATAATAGCTCACTGGGAGTTTTGTTCACAGCAAATAATGTAAAACTTATCACAGTGGGTGATAAGAGGTGCTGTATTTACACAAGCCCTAAGGGCATCAGTCATCATCCAAAATGTTGTATTGCATTCTGGTTTTCTATAATGTCATATTTTATTGGAAACATTGTTTTAAATGAATATTCACAATCTTACACTTCCTGGAAATCATTTAAAATGAAATACTAAGGGAGTTAAACTTTTTGTTTTGTTTTGTTTTTAGATGACATTTCGGCTCTTGTCACCCAGGTGGGAGTGCAGTAGTGGGATCTCAGCCCACTGTACCCTCCACCTCCCAGGTTCAAGCAATTCTCCCACCTCAACCTCCTGAGTAGCTGAGATTACAGGCGCATGCCACCACACCTGGCTAATTTTTTTTATTTTTTATTTTTAGTAGAGACGGGGTTTCACCATGTTGGTCAGGCTGGTCTTGAGCTCCTGACTTCAGGTGATCTGCTGGTCTCAGCCTCCCAAAGTGCTGGGATTACAGGCATGCCACCGCACCTTGCCAGGAGGTAAACTTTTAAAATGTAGTTGTTGTTTTCACTGGGCAAGTAAAAACTTGACTATATGAAGAAAAATCCCATTATGAAGCACTTCCTATGTGAAATCTCTAAGCTATTAGTCTAAAGCTGGTAAGTAGACATCAGAATTCATTACATGCTCTAAATTTATTTTTGTTGTTGTTTTATTGTGCATTATTCTTCAATATAACATTATTTGGAATATGTCTAACATGCTCTGATCATATAACGCACAAAAAATCTGATGATGAATTTCAGCAAGTGGTCTGAGCACTGGCTGGTGTGAAGATACTGGTACTCTATTGCACTTTTTCTCATTTATACTATTTTTCTCATTTGTACTATTTCTTGTTGGCAGCCATGGGCCATTAACCTCCTTCTAAGAAAAGTTAGTATGTTCGCTTAGAAGTCACAATTTAAAAAAAACAAAATTGTGGCAATTCTTGTCTCTCTCTAGCAAGATCAATATCAGGTATCTTGTTTGCACTGCTTTCTATGGAAGGGGGAAGGGAGGAGTGGAGAGGAAAAGCGGAGCACATGGCTGAATGATCAATGCTCAGAAATCATTACAAGTTCCTTCAGAGCATGACTTCCTTATAAATTATTAGTTTAAATTAATGTAATAGCTAAATATCTTTAATATTTATTGGATGTGATCTCCTTCTTAGGTTCTCATCATATTTAACAAATTGCTATTGAATATCTACCTTGTGTCAAGTACTGTGCTAAGCTCTGAGAATATAATGGCAGGCAAACTGGGTAAAGCCCTGTTCATAGTTCTTACATTCTAGGGGGAGAGACAGAGATATTAATCCTGAAATCAGACAACTGCATTTAAAATTGCACTATTATGCTAAGAACAATGTGTTGAACCAAGACAACAACTAAAGAGACAGGATTTTTAAAATATATCAGTTTATATCAGTAATAGAACACTTTATAAAACATCAAGCCTTGTGTGGGTATCCATGTGATTTCACTGAGAGTTTTTTTTTCTCTAAATTATTTAATTGCAAAGGGAATTTGGCATAACAGGGAGAATTCAACAGCTTTAGAAGCAGCAAAAGAAAATAATGATTAGTCAAGTGACCTTTGCCCAAGATTTCAGATCCATTAAGTAGTGATATGTGGCACAGCCTAATTAACATCCTGAAACTGAAACTTCTATCAGGTATAATAGAAGAAGAAATGTTAAATGCCACCAGACATTCTATTGCACATACAAGGCAAGTATGGAGAAATTTCCATGGCTAATTTTGATAAGAATCAAGATACATTATATCGTGGAGATTACTGATTTTTTTTTATATTCTAGGAATTTAAATGTAATATAACATCCAGAATGAGATCCTAGAACAGGGAAAGGACATTAGGCAAAAACTAAGGAAATCTGAATAAAGTATAGGCTTTAGTTGATGATAATGTGTCAATATAGGTTCATTAATTGTGACAAATGTACTAATGCAAGATGTTAACAATAGAGAAAACTGGGTGTGGGGTATATGGGAATTCTCTGTACCATCTTTGCAACATTTCTATAAATCTAAAGCTATTTCTACAATGAAAAGCTTATTTTAAAGATCTGGTGCTGCTTTGAAAGTCGTGGAAAGTAAAATTTTTAAGTGGTAGGTGTTTCTGCTTCAGTTTTAATCCAATGCTGTTATACCAATGGTTCTGAAAACGGAGACTTTATTATATTCAACTGCAAGGCTTATAAACCAGATTGCTGAACCTCCGCCGTACCCCCTAGGGCTCTGATTCAGTAGGTCTTGGGTGGGGCTTGAGGATTTGCATTTCTAGCAAGTTACCGGGTGATGCTGATGGTGCTGGTCCACAGACCAAACCCATTGTTACATACAGTAAGTCTTGGAATTCAAACAGAAGCTTTTACTTATCCATCTTCATTAGCAAATGAGGTAAATCGGCTTTATTTGAATGCATTTACTCCTATGGTAGCCAAAGAGTTGATGTCATAATAACTAGTATGTAATAATTTTATCATAATTCCAGCTGATTGAGTTTTATTTTATTGTCCTGTGCACATTATTGGCAATCAGCAAATGCTGTTGTTAATACCTAGCTTAACTTTTGGAAAAGTTATTTACAACAGATAAGTGGAAACTTTGCGATGAAATATAGCTTTACCTGTAAGTCTGCAAGAATGTAATAAAAATCACAGTGGGAATTTGGAATTTGCCTTGGAACTTCTCACCTGACAAATGCATGCCTTTAAACTAAAAGACAAGAGGAAGTCCATGTTTGGATGTTTTTGCCCACAGTTTTTGTCTGTCAGGATAAACGTAGAAAGAGAAGTGTAGGAGGGCTTATTAGTTTGACAGAAGTCAGAGGGTTCTCAGAAAAGACTTGGATTTGTCTCATTAGTCATTGGGCTTTTGCGGGGGTTGGAATGAGGACCTGGGAGAGAGAGCCAACCATGAAGCATCGATGCCCTGATTTGAAGCATCCTCCAGAGCTACATACTAAGACTTAGCTGGGAACAATGACATCCACAGCATTATCATTTCTTCAAGTGGATGGTACAGCTGTGGGGAGATCAGTTCAAAAGTGAATGTGTCAGGTTAGATAAAAATAAATCTGGGCTTATCATGTTTCAAAATAAACTGGGTTCAGAAAAGGTAGTTTATTGAAAACTTTTGACAGACCCATAAGTAAGTTTGTGTGCAGTGTCAATTCATTTTAGATCTTTTCTAAAATGTTTTGAAATTTAGTGACTTTAGTAATTACAGGGTAAAACTCCGTGTCACTGTTATTACACTGATCTAGATCCTCTAAAATAATCACCTAAAACGTTTAAGACCACAAAGCAGATGATAGCCCTTGCCCTCAGAAATCAGGGTAACAGAGACCTCCCATACTGTTCATTTGATTCTAGGGTTTGTTGCCAATTTCTGCCATCAATATCTGTATTCAAACTTCATATTACTCTGGACTCCAGCCTGCCAGTGCCACTCATGCTATGTGAAGACTCTGTTGACCCCAGCCTCTCTTTCTGCAGAAAGTATGGTTTCCTCCCAAGGAATCGCAGCTCAGGGGTGAAGAGAGAGAAGCATGCACTGCGGGGGTGGAACCGCTCAGCTCAGTCACCTACCAGATGAAGGGAGAAGTTGGGAAGGAATGAAATAGCAATAGGAAAAAATAGCAACTGTCGGCAGAGGGACTGACAGCTAGGATTGTCAAAAGTCCTCCCCCAGCCCTTCATACTCAAGTTTATTTAATAATAATAACACCGAAAGCAATGGAGAAATATGCCTCATCATTCAAAAGAGTGTCTCCTTCATACTGAACACTTTGTGTCTTTTCCTGAGCTTCCAGGATTCAACTCTCCTCTTTATTCCTCTTGTCCCTCTGCTCCATGTTACTTCTTTTCCTCTTTGGTGACATATCCCCAAGCCAGGAGAATAACAGGATAATATAATGGTATGCATTTAGTGACTTATTTTCTTCTCTTGTACATTGTTGCCTGTGATTAATGATTCAGATTCAATTTTTGCTTTCTATCTATTTTTGGTTCCTTCTGTTTTCTTTTTTATTTCACAAGCATTTGTGCTTGTCTACACTCTTATTTATGCTTTCTGGTTCTTCTGTGATTTTCTCAATGACACTAGTCAATATAAACATATCATTATACTGCTGTCCAGGGATTTTGGCTAAGCCCTCTGTCCCCACTCTTAACTTTAAAAAAAAATTCACGATGCTGTTTCTATTTTTTTAATTATTATAGCATAGAGTTATAGACTTTAACTGGTATAATATAGTCAAGATTTCCCACTTTTTGTTTAACTTTAGCAATTAAATCAAACTACTGCTTGCTAATGAAGACCAGTTTTATTCTGATGTTTTGAGGGTGTGCTAATTCCCCTGAGACTAGGACTATGGCACTGGTAAATGCCATCTCTCAGGAACTAGAGGGGGAAACAATGTATGCGGGGAGAAGTTTGTTCACAGTTCTATTAAGCAACAAATACACAGAACAGAAGCTTCCTAATATTAGGGAGAAAACTGGGGCTCAGAACTGGAAAATGAAGTTTCTAATCCTGGTTTTTCCATTTACTAGTCATGTAACCTTAAGTGTATTTTCTAACCTGTTAGAAACTTCATGATTTTTCATCTGAAAAATGGAAATGGTGTTTGCTCTGCTATCCTCCTGAGGTTGCTATGCAGATCGAGTGAGACTTTGCAAATGAAAACAAATTGCAAATACTTTCATTAGTGTAAATTATAAAGATGCAAACTTAATTCTTTTCCAGTTAAGACTTAGCTTGCACATATTTGATTGTTATGAGATTTCTAACACTTCTTCATGACACCTGCTTTCTCCACTGCTATGATACCAGGGCACTTGGCTGTGTCTCTATGGGTGTATACACATTGAAACTTCCCCCTTCCTGGGAGGAAAATCTGCAGTTACTGAGCAGACTCCTCAGGGCCTGTTGACCCATGTCTAGATAAGAGCACAGGCTATGGGGCCAGACACACCTGGGTTTAAATACCAACCTGCCATAGCTGTGTGTTTTTGGGCAAATGTTGCAACTTCTCAAAGTTGGAGGTCTCTCATCTGTAAAACTGGGACAACTGTTTCATTTAGGATTCTTGAGCGACACTGTCCAACTCATAATTGTTCCGTAGTTACAACACTGAACAAATAATAATAATGTTGCCATGTTACATACATGGCAGCAACAAGGCAAATGTTATTGAGAAAGGAGGCTGGGAATAAGATCAGAAGACAGGCAGGAAGAATTGCTTGCTGCAGATCTTGTCCAATTAATCAGATAAGGTATCTCAAGCCCCGGTGTTTGAGCTTCTGACCCCTTACTCTCCTGGGCTGACTGTGTATCATGGTTCTCTGACCTCTCTTGAGATGGGCATTCCTGGGCCTTAAGCTTGTGGTACCCCCCTAAAGACAAGGGAAAGACAACATGTGGTATTGTGGTGTTGAACAGTACTTGGGTTGTAAGCTGGGATTTTTGATGTCTTTCAGCAGAGGTAACTCTGAAAGCTTAAGATAATGCCTACAACTACTGTTACCATAGAGAGCTCTAACCCCACTTTCTAACAGTGGAGTGGAGATGTGAATTATTACTCAGAGAAACAAAGGAATGGTTTGAGGTGACAAATGTAGAAAAAAACTGTGCTCCACACTGCTCTTGATCAACAGGGACTGAAGGCCGAATGATGGAAATCCTCTTAGGGAGAGACTGACAGTGCCAAATAATCATCTTTGACAAGCCTTGCTCTGTCAGTTTTAGGCAAATTAGCAAATTCAAATAGATGGCAACTGCGCCTTGTCTTTCCAGCTATGGTGATTCTCAGGCTCAGTGTGATACTTTTAACTGCTTGCCTGATCAAAATGCCTGAAAGCTATGTCCATGTCTCTACAGTATCATTAAAAGGAAATGGAAGCTTATCCACTGGTGCCTGCCAATCTTTCCCATCACATGCTATGTTTGATTGACATGTGACACTCTCCTTCATAGTACGTGGGGAGCCCAGAACTAGCCTGTGGTCCTTAAAGGAAATGTAAAGAGCCCAAGTCATTTTAAAAAGAAGTTATTTTTCTAAAGGAAAGAGCCTGCTATTTGCTCACTCTTCTCACCTTATGATCCTGAAATACTTTGTGTTAGATAGCTTCCGAAACTTTTGAGTTACTGTTGGAGAAATAGCAACCTATGTTTCCTCTGTGTTAGATCTCCCTGCATCTGAGATGACAAAGAAAACATAGAGAATTGACTTCCTTTATTCCAACCTTGGCTCTTCTCTTATTGCTGGTAACTTGATGGCTGAGGCATATTCTTGAGTTTATCCATGACCTTATGTTTCATCTTTGGGTCCAAGCCAATGCTTGATTGCTTGTCTCCTGTTCACAGTGTTTGGATTGCTGTGCAGATGACACTAAAGTGGGTTTTGTAGTGAGACCTGTGAGTAGAAATAAGAAGAAACTCTTCTTTTTGAACTTTACAGTGGTAAGTTCTTGTCAATACAATGTAATATGCAATGGCTTGATCTTCTTTGTATCCCCTAAGTTATGCAACAGATACCAAAAATGATTGAGAACTAGCCAAGTCTCAGATTGAACAATGCTTTTGTAGACTTTCTCCTTTCTGGTTCTAGAGTTGTTGATTGGCCCCATTAAGAATTCAAAATGCTGCTTTGGGTGTTTTCATTCCTGGTTAACCTCATGATGGCTGTTATAAGATGTCTTCATTTCCTTCTGTCCTCCATGTACATTTCTTAACAGATAACCTACTCTCCTTTTTTAACTGTAAAGTCAAAGAAAGCTTTTAATTAATTTTATCTCTGTTGAATATCTTAGTACATTTATTTTTCTTCCTTGCTAATTCTCTAAGGAAAAGGGTAAACAATGGCCCGTGGACCATATCTGGCCTGCTAGCCATTTTTTAAATCAAGTTTTACTGGAATACATTCATGCTCATTCATTTATTTATGTCTGCTTTCACAATACAGTGGCAGTGTTGAATAGTTGAGACAGAGAACATGTGGCCTTGAAAGCCTAAAATGTTTACCATCTGGCTACTGACAGGAACAGTTTGCTTACCCCTCCTCTTAAAAAAAAAAAATAGTGATGGTTTTCCTTATAGGAACCCCTACCCCAGTCCATGGATCCCACCTCCTCCTGACCCCTCCATTATGTCGCCATCAATCTCTGTTCTTCCTCACATCATCAATTTCTTCTCTAGTCACTCTTCTTCCTTTGTTCAACTTAGGTGGCTTTAATTAAAGATGGTTCAATTTCTTATGAGTGACATAACAATTCCTGGAGGAACGATGCCTGCAGAATGAAGAATAATAACAGCCGGTCTCTAAGGGCCTGTTCTCTGCACAGCACCTCCAATTCAGTATTCAGTCATCATGCTGGGGTGTTCGAATGCTCCCTCCTTCAAGCCAAGTGGGATAATGCTCCAACCCCCTCTATGCGTTTACTGATGCAGTCACCTGAGATAGCCTTTTCCCATTCACTTGCTTGCTATCCTAATCCTACCTATTTTTCAAAATTCAGCTGAAATAACACTTTTTTCCACACAAAATGTTTTATTTCCACAAACCTAATCTTTCTCTCTTTTCAAACACAAGCACTTCAAAGCATTTTGTTGGTGCCTTCTATAATATTTATCACAGTCTGCTTTATAGTTCAGTTATGTGTCTATTTTCTCCTCCCACTTCTCACTACAGCAATGGTAGAATCTTTGCCATATTTATTTTTTATGTCTATACAGTACCTAGTGTTGTTTAGACTCTACCTAGATTCCATTGAATTGGTTTGGATTTCTCTTACCAGAAATGTGAAACCTTTGTGAATAAAGGATTTCGGGTTCTCTAAGCCATTTGTCTGAAATCATATGTATGTAATCCTGAGGAATAGCTGTCATGTACACCTCAGGTTTTGCCTTTGGAATATTATGTCAGCTTTGGTGAATTTTAGTCTCCATTTGTGGCATTTTAAATAACATGTTAGTCTTGTTTATTTTTCATAAATCTGTCCTGTTATTCTAAAAATCCTATCTTACATGGAAATGCCAAGCTGGTTATAAACAACTGAACATTTTTACAACTGGAAAGCTTAAGATGGAATTTGCATGATAATGTCTACAGAATTTCATTTATTCTTCCTGGTGAGTGCACCAGTTTAAATTTTGAATTGATAATGAGCACTGCCTCTTCAAGGGAATTAGCTGGAGAAAATATCAATGTATGTCAGGTTTCTTTATGGTTTCAGAAAGACGGTTATGAATGCCCTTTAGAGACTATTCTTGAAGGCATATTTTTGTATACAATTTAGTTCATCATCTTAAATCTTTTCTTAGCTCTACCATCCCTGCTGTTGTTAAGTAATTTAACTCCTCTTAATGTTTGGGCACTAGCTCGGCAGGCAGCACCCTGGGTCAGCATGCTCCTGTTTCATGGCCACAGCCCACAGCCATAACCCTGACCAGCTGTCTGGAAACGTGGGCAGTAAGGAACAAGGGAAACTGGTCAGCAGTGTGGCTTTGCCTTTACAAATTCTTTTCTGGGGAGAAAAATCCCACTCAGGACATATTTATCACTATAAACATTATTAAAGAAGATGGAAGACAAAGATCTGTTATCTTAAGATAAATATTTATCACATTCTACCTTAGTGTCAGTTTGTCTTTTTTTTTTGCTCAGGTGTCTGGGGACAGGTCTTAGATGTTCTGGTTTTTAATCTATTATATCTTATAAGTATGATTAAATTATTAAATCAGATAAGCCTATTAACATTTAAATAGATAATTCAAATGATTTAAATAAGGTGATTTAAATAAGAGAAGATTGAAATAAGATGATTTAAATAAGAGGAGAATGGAAGCACAGGGGTCCAGACTGGTAATTCTTTTTTGAACCTTAATATGCATCTAATCAAAGAAACAGTGATTTAAGTGTTACTTGGCATCGTATCATAGTTTTAAGCTAGAAGCAACCCACAGAGATTAACTTTCCTTATAAGCCCAAAGGGATGAGTTGCAGGATCCCAGGCCACAGCGCTGGTGACAACTTAGGACTTAACCCTCCACGTCTTTCCTCCAAGTCTTATGTTCTTTCTATGATGCCATACAATTCTTTCTTCAGTCATTTGAGACATACTGTTTTATTAAAATGAGTTCTAACCCAGAAATTAAAGGCTAATTTTTTACCACATTTCTCTGGAATCTTTCTGTAAATTTCTTTTAAACACCATTCCAAAATCATCGTTGTTCTTGTGTGTTTACTCCACACCCCTCAATTCAAAATAGCTAACATTTACTGAATGCTGACAATGGGGCAGGAAGCCCTGTTCTAAGGGCTTACACATACTAAATCATTTTAATATCACAAAAGCCAACGCCACAGGCACTGTTATCATCTGTCTTATAAATAAAGCAGGTTTGACAGACTCTAGTAATCTGACCAAAAGCCCATGCTCTGAACACTATATCCATACTGCCTCTTACATGAAACTATAGCATGTACTCGTCAGGAGCTACACAGAACTGCGTGGGTAATCGCACCCACTGGGTGGCTGCAGACTAAGCCCTTACTCTTTCTCAAGGGTCTTTAAAACTGTTGCTTTGAGCCTGTCACTTCCTTTCTTACACATGGAAGCTCAAAGTATCTCAAAGCACAGTTGCTGATGACCACCAGATTAGAACTGTCTCACCTTAAAGAGGAAATCTCTTTGCCTATTGATTCAAGGTGGCATGAATATGCTCAGGTGTCCTCCAAACACCTGTGCTGCTATAAGTTGTATCAATAGCACAGTAGGATTATTCTCCATCTGATTATTCTCCATCAGTGGCCTTTGTGTGAGAGCTTCATTGTAAGCAGTGCAAAGCTATGATATTCAATAATCTGGAGAATATCCTTCTCTATCAGTCCCTGTACTGAACTCTCAGGAAAATTTACCTGCTTCACAATTATTTCTGTCCAGATTGTCTAGAGTCAAATGAATGCTCTGGGCATTTAAGATACATTGAATTTCTCCAAAGAATTCTGCCATTACTTAAACTGATGCCATGCCTGAATATTAGGAAGGTGCTCTTTGGTTGTTTTTGACTATGCTATACAGTCTTAGGGGAGGGCCTCGGAGCAGTAATAGGAGATAGCTGTGGCGATATGTGCTCAGGAAAGTCATTGAGAGTCCTTGTAACTAAAGGTGATCTGTAGGGTAGGAGAAACAGCAGAAGTGTAAGTAAGTGACAGAGGCAGGCTACAGACCTTCCAATGGACATGATAAAACTGGAAGGCTGTCGGGCGTGGTGGCTCACGCCTGTAATCCCAACATTTTGGGAGGCCAAGGCAGGTGGGTCACCTGAGGTCAGGAGTTCGAAACTAGCCCGGCCAACATGGCGAAGCCGCATCTCTACTAAAAATACAAAAAAATTAGCCAGGCCTGATGGTGGACACCCGTAACCCCAGCTACTTGAGAGGCTGAGGCAGGAGAATTGCTTGAACCCGGGAGACAGAGGCTGCAGTGAGCTGAGATCATGCCACTGCACTCCAGCTTTGGGGGACAGAGTGAGACTCCATCTCAAATAAATAAATAAATAAAATACAAAAAGCAGCCGGGCATGGTGGCACATGTCTCTAGTCCCAGCTACTTGGGAGGCTGAGATGGAAGAATCGCTTGAACCCGGGAGGCAGAGGTAGCAGTGAGCCGAGATCACGCCACTGCACTGCAGCCTGGGCGACAGACTGAGACTCTGTCTCAAAAAACAAAACAAAAACAAAAAAGTAGAAGGCCCCTACTACTGAGGGCATGCTGTCAGTGGGACACTAGAGCAGAAACCCCTAAGCTGAGATGATGAGATACAATGTTTTATAGCTTAGGCTCATACAATCTGAGTTGTGAGTTTCACAGAGGTTGATAAAATGTTTTAATTTTCTCCACATCACATCTGTTTAATTCCTAAGTCAAGTACGATTTGTGTGCTTCTTCTAGGCTGAAAATGTGTTTCAAGACCAAGTCAAGTTAATTATCCTGTACCACCCCTATTTCCAGAAAACAAATGTAATCTCACTTGGGTGAATGTTTTGGTCTTAAACCCGCTTGTTGGCATTCTCACCTCATCAGCTCTTTGCAGTAATTCCCATTCAGTCAGTAGACTATTCTTAAATGCTTTTTCTCCCTTCCTCCTCTGACAAACTCAAAATGTCCCAGTTAAAGGAAAATTCAACAACTATAGCTGGTGTGGAAGGGATTGAGGGATATCAAAAAGATGAACCAATTTGAGAGAAGATCGCTTTCTGACAGCAAAGCTTGTAAGGATCGTGATGATGGTTTATATTAGTGATCAGTAGAAGTAGCCCACCCTGGGGAAAGGTTAACAACTATGTTCCTGATTCTATTAACAATACTTCTCAAATTTATTAAGAGATAAACCCTACCTATGCATATTGTGGGTAGGGGATGAATGAATGAATGAATGAATACAGAAAATTGTTTTTCATGGCAGTTAGAATAGGATTCCTCCGTTTTCCTGGAAAAGACCCATCTTTGTTGATTGTTTTTGTAAACCCATTTGATTAGAGGCTGAGGCCTCAGGGTCGGTAGGATGTGCTGGTTCTCATACTAAGACAGTTTAGCTGAGCTCACTGCATATGAAAGAAAACAGATTAAAAGTTGTACTGAGGCGGGGAGCAGTAGCTCACGCTTGTAATCCTAGCACTTTGGGAGGCCGAGGCAGGCAGATCACAAGATCAAGAGATCAAAAACATCCTGGCCAACATGGTGAAACCCTGTCTCTACTAAAAATACAAAAATTAGCTGGGTGTGGTGGCATGCACCTGTGGTCTCAGCTACTCAGGAGGCTGAGGCAGGAGAATCACTTGAACCCAGGAGGCAGAGGTTGCAGTGAGCCGAGATCACGCCACTGTACTCAAGCCTGGTGACAGAGCGAGACTCCATCTCAAGAAAAAAAAAAAAAAAAAAAAAAGTTGTACTGAGAGGAGTAGATCCCGTGAGAGGGAGCAGTGGTGAAAGACGGGAGAGAAGTGAAAGTCCAAAGGAAGTGCAGAGAGAAATAATTGAAACTGCCTTTGTAAAAGTTATGACAGAGAGAGAAAACTAATGTAGCTGACTCCATCTTGCTTCTAACCTCACAAACTATCTTTGCTCATTCCTGGGTGTAGGTGAAACTAAGTATGAGAGCCGTTTACTTTACAGTTTGACTTTAAAATAAAGATGATAATAGTTCCTTCCTCCAACTAACCCCCTACTTGTTCAGGGACTGAAATCGCCTTTGTAAAACTAATAAAAGGCCACAAGGTTAGAATTATGGTAAAGACCTGAATTCTGCTAAGACCTATGCATAGTTAAATGATAACTAGTTATTGTCTCCTAAATTGCTTGATGCTCAGGAGTCACAAGATTTGTAAGTTCTCTAATTGGTCCTATAGACAACACTATTTTAAAATGTCAGACTGGTGTTGGAAATATTTTTTTCAGACTTTGCATTGTGGTGGAACAACTGACACCACCTGAACCAATGACCCCCACCTAGGAACTGACTCAGCACACAAAGACAATTTCAATACTCCTATGATTTCATTCCCAACCAATCAGCAGCACCATTCTCTAGCTCCTTACCCACCAAATTATCTTTAAAAACCCTAGCCTCCAAATTCTTAGGGAGGTTGATTTGAGACATATCTCTCATCCTTCTGCTCAATTGCCTTACCATAAACTCTTTCTCTGCTGCAACACTTCTGTCTCACTGTGTTGGCCTTATTTGTGCAGTGGGTGACAAGAATCCAGTGGGTTATAACAGAAGTGGGCAAAGAGAGGTGTCTATTGGGGATTCTACAATTACTTTTTTAAGAAAAATTTTCAACTATATACTAGACAATAGCTTAATGTACCCCCATGTAACTATCACCTGGCTTCAACAATTATCAATTACATGGCCAATCTAAACTCTAACTTATTCCCCTCACCTCCCTTACTTTTTTTTTTTCCAGACAGAGTCTCACTCCGTTGCTCAGGCTGGAGTGCAGTGGCGCAATCTCAGCTCACTGCAAGCTCCACTTCCCGGGTTCACGCCATTCTCCTGCCTCAGCCTCAGAGTAGCTGGGACTACAGTTGCCTGCCACCATGCCCGGCCAAATTTTTTGTATTTTTAGTAGAGACGGGGTTTCACTGTGTTAGCCAGGATGGTCTTGATCTCCTGACCTTGTGATCCACCCACCTCAGCCTCCCAAAGTGCTGGGATTATAGCGGTGAGCCACTGCGCCTGGCCACCTCCCTTACTTTTTAAAGCAAACCTCGAGCATCACATTTTACCTAGATAAAGTTGTGTGTCTTTCTGAACCATAAGACTTTTTTATGACAAAACTCCAATACCATCAACAAAAAAACCCTGGCAATTCCTAGGTATCATCAAATATCAGTGTTCCAATTGCCTCATGAGTGTAAGAAAACATTTTATTTTGCAACATAAAGAAAAGTACATAAACCATAGGTTTACAGTGTAATGTGTGATACGGTTTGGATCTGTGTTCCCAATCAAATCTCATGTTCAATTGTAGTCCCCAGTGTTGAGGGTGGGCCTGGTGGGAGTGTAACCGCCCAGTGGGTTCACCTTGCCTGCTGCCTAGACAAAGCTGATTTATCAAGACAGGGGAATTGTAATAGAGAAAGAGTAATTCACACAGAGCAGGCTGTGCAGGAGACCGATGTTTTATTATTACTGAAATCAGTCTCCCTGAGCATCCAGAGATCAGAGTTTTTAAGGACAATTTGGTGGGTTGGGGGAAGCCGTGAGCCAGGAGTACTGATTGGTTAGGTAGCAGATGAAATCATGGAAAGTCAAAGCTGTCCTCTTGTGCTGAGTCAGTTCCTGGGTGGGGTCACAAGATCAGATGAGCCAGTTTTTTCCATCTGAGTGGTGCCAGCTGATCCATCAAGCTCAGGATCTGCAAAATATCTCAAGCACTGATCTTAGAAGCAGTTTAGGGAGGATCAGAATCTTGTAGCCTTCAGCCACATGACTCCTAAACCATAATTTCTAATCTTTGGCTAACTTGTTAGTCCTACAAAGGCAGTCTAGTCCCCAGACAAGAAGGAGGTTTGTTTTGGGAAAGGGCTTATGTTAGTCTATTTTCACACTGCTAATAAAGACATAACCAAGACTGGGTAATTTATAAAGATAGAGGGCTAATGGACTCACAGTTCCACGTGGCTGAGAAGGCCTCACAATCATGGTGGAAGGCAAAAGGTATGTCTTACATAACGGCAAGCAAGACAGAATGAGAGACAATCGAAAAGGGAAACCCCTTGTAAAACCATCAGATCTCGTGAGACTTATTCACTACCACGAGAACAGTATGGGGGAACCACCCCCGTGATTCAATTATCTCCCACTGGATTCCTCCCACAATACGTGAGACTTGTGGGAGCTAAAATTAAAGATGAGATTTGGGTGGGGAAGCAGCCAAACCATGTCAGGGCTGTTATCATCTTTGTTTTAAATGATAAACTATAAACTAAGTTTCTCCCAAAGTTAGTTCAGCCTACACCCAGGAAGGAACAAGGACAGCGTAAAGGTTAGAGCCAAGATGGATTTGATTAGGTTAGCTCTCTCTCACTGTCTCAGTCATAATTTTGCAGAGGCAGTTCAGGAGGTGATTGGATCATGGGGTCAGTTACTCATTATGGTTTAGTACCATCCCCCTTGGTACTGTCCTTATGACAGTAAGGTCTCGTGAGATCTGGTCATTTAAAAGTGTGTAACACCTCCCCGCTCTCTCTCTCGTTCCTGCTTTTGCCATGTGACATGCCTGCTCCCCCTTTGCCATGATTGGATGCTTCCAGAGGCCTCCCCAGAAGCACATGTCACTATGTTTTCTGTACAGCCTGTAGAAATGTGAGCCAATGAAACCTCTTGTCTTATAAATTACTCAGTCTCCGGTATTTCTTTATGGCAATGTGAGAACAAACTAATACAATGTATTTTCATAAATAAATGTATCAATATAACAAGGACCCCAATAAAGATGCAGAGTATCACCAGCACCCCAGAAATCACACCCCCTTCAGTGATTATTCCATACACAGGTAACCAATATCTGGATTTGGAATGGTTTGTAGACTCAAAAGTATGCATTCTTTGTGTTTGGCTGAACATTATGGTGGTAAGATATACATTTAAAAGTATATTCTAAATAATATTTGTGGGCCAGGCGCAGTGGCTCACTCCTGTAATCCTAACACTTTGAGAGGCCGAGGCAGGCAGATCACGAAGTCAGGAGATTGAGACCATCTTGGCCAACATGGTGAAACTCCGTCTCTACTAAAATATAAAAAATTAGCCAGGCATGGTGGCACATGCCTGTAATCCCAGCTACTTGGGAGGCTGAGGCAGGGGAATTGCTTGAATCCGGGAGGTGGAAGTTGCAGTGAGCTGAGACCACCACTGCACTCCAGCCTGGTGACACAGCAAGACTCCATCCCTCCCCCACCCCCCAACAAAAATAATAATAATATTTGTGTATTGTACTTATTTGATGTACTTTGTAAATTTTCTTATTTGTGTTTCCCTTTATTTTTTTTTTCTTTTTGAATTTGCCACTCATTTGCTGAAGAAACTGATATATCTGTCTTGCAGAATTTCTCACATGCTGGAATTTGCTGGTTTCTACCCTGGAGTTAAACATGTTCCTCTATATTTCATACTAACCATGAGTGAGAACTAGAGGCTTGATTAGAATCAAATTTTATTTATTTTTTTTTTTTTGAGACAGAGTCTCATTCTTTCACCCAGACTGGGGTGCAGTGGCTCAATCTCAGCTCACTGCAATCTCCATCTCTCCAGTCCATCTCTTGCCTCAGCCTCCCGAGTAGCTAGGATTACAGGCACATGCCACCATGCCCAGCTAACTTTTTGTGGTTTTTTTAGAGTCTGGGTTTCATCATGTTGCCTAAGCTGGTCTTGAACTCCTGACTTCAAGTGATCCACCTACCTCAGCCTCCCAGAGTGCTGGGATTACAGGTATGAGCCACCATACCCAGCCCGATTTTTTTATAAGACTATAAAGAGGATTTTAAAAGCAGCTCACTCCGTCCCTCTTACAAGACCATCAGTAAATTTTGCGTTGTTCTTTATCTGGGTGGGTAAATAGATCCTTGGGGGAGCTCAGAGAGGAGCTGACATTTGGGATACAAAAAGATGGAAGATACATATAATGTTAACAGCAGAGGCATATTAAAGATGTTATGAATGTGTCCTCAATAGTGTTGAGTGCTTGTATTTTATAGTGAACACAGTTAAAAACAGGCATGCCTGGCCAGGCGAGGTGGCTCACACCTGTAATCCTAGCACTTTGGGAGGCGGAGGCGGGTGGATCACTTGAGGTCTGGAGTTTGAGACCACCCTGGCCAACACGGTGAAACCCCGTCTCTGCTAAAAATACAAAAATTAGCTGGGCGTGGTGGCGGGTGCCTGTAATCCCAGCTACTTGGGAGGCTGAGGCAGGAGAATTGCTTGAACCCAGGAGACAGAGGTTGCAGTGAGCTGAGATCACGCCATTGCACTCCAACCTGGGCAACAAGAGTGAAACTCCATCTCAGAAAAAAAAAAAAAAAAAGGCAAAACAACAACAACAAAACAACGGCACACCCAGGGAAGAAGTTTCCCTGACTTGCTCATCCCTGGCAGCCACCCTCCCATGGTGGGATAGACCACACAAGCAGGTGAAGCATCCTGTCCTGCCCATCAGACTATCTGCTTCCTCGTCTTCCAGGTGTGTCCCATGCAACTTCCTGATGTTCATCTGGGTTCTCAACTTGGCTTTCTTGTGGGAAGAGGACACACTTAACATTCTAATCCAATTCACCAATATATTTCTAGCATTCTGTGATATATTAGTCTAACTTCCCAGGGTCTCACATCATAAAGTGATCTAATAGAAGCAACTCTTTTCTCTTCTTCTCTTTTTTTGCTTGTTTGTAGAGACAGGGTCTTGTTATGTTTCCCAGCTGATGTTGAACTCCTGGCCTCAGTGATCCTTCTGTCTCAGCCTCCCAAAGTGCTGGGATTACAGGTTTGAGACACACACCCAGCCCCTGATAAAAAGCGATGTTCTGAACCTCTGTCACTGAACCAGACTCTGAGCCACAAATTCCACAGCAACATGTTGGGAGGTTTAGAGTTTCCTTCCAGAATGTCATTCATCCTCTCTCTTTTTCATCTCTTCACTGGAAGAATGACTCAGGTTCCACTCAGGGGCCATCTAATGAAAGACAATACGTTTTCTGTCTGGCTGCAACAGGACATCACTGGAAGCATATAAATTAAATATTAGTACAACTTTTCTGAAACCAGAAACTTCAGACAAAAAGCCACCGAAAAAAAGGTCTTTGTTCCTGGGAGCTTCTCTTAAGAGAATGCCAGCTATGAAAGTCAGTGGTGTGTGACCTGTTCAGGTACTAGACTAAGGGAGATTAAAGGATAAGCATTTACATTGTGTTCGCCATGGAATTTTTGTTGTTGTTGTTTGTTTCTTTTTTTGTCTCTCATAGGGAACCGTTGCTGTGGGGTAAACCAGGGTATTTTGTAGGTGAGAGTCCTAAAGTTAGGTAGCTTATGGGGTTGCTACTGTAGATGTGTTAAACCTGACAGGTAAATATTTAAAAAGTTTGTGTGCATATGTGTTTTCCTGGAAAAAGCATCCATAGATGTCTTCAGATTTCCAGAGTTCTATGATCAAAAAAGGTTAAGAACATAGAAATCACAGATATTCTTCTCAGGTTAATAATATGTCAAATGAACTGTGGATGACAGAGGAGGGGTGCCCCTGAATAATGCAACTGAATAATGTGGAGAATAATGAACAATGTGGAGAAATCTATGTTTTGTATTTTCTTCAAATTAGTGTTTCTGAGGAGACTAGTGTTACAGCTTATTTGAAAACCTTTTCGTGGAGAGGTGAAGTTGCCATGTAGGGATCCTGGTAATGAGAATTGAGTAGGTGACCTCAGCCTCACTGGCATGAGCACCGCCTCCAGAGTCTTTCTTCCAACTTTCTTTCCAAATAGTCACCTGACCTTACCATCTTAAGTCTTTTGTTGACTTAAAAAAAATTTTTTTAGAGGAAGAGTCTTGCCATTTTGTCCAGGCTGGTCTAGAACTTCTGGGCTCAAGCCATCCTCCCGCTTCAGCCTCTTGAGTAGCTGGGATTATAGGCATCCCCCACTGCACCCAGCCTTCATGGACATTTTTGTCTCATCTGTTTTTATTGTGATGACTGCCTACATTCTCTTGGAAGAGAAGACTATTTATTGCCTCCCAATTACAGGGAAGTAAGAAATAAAGCAAAGAGAAAGAAGTGAAGAGCTATACCAAAGGTAACAATTTTGTGATAAACTTTAAAGATTAATTTTTATCATGTAATGGAGAGATCATTTATTGATTTTTTTTTTTTTGAGACGGGATCTCACTCTGTCGCCCAGGCTGGAGTGCGGTGGCGTGATCTTGGCTCACTGCAGCCTCGGCCTCCCAGGTTCAAGTGATTCTCCCACCTCAGCTTCTCGAGTAGCTGGGACTATAGGCACGCACCACCAGGCCTGGCTAATTTCTGTATTTTTTGGTAGAGACAGGGTTTCACCATGTTGGCCAGGCTGATCTCGAACTCCTGACCTCAAGCGATTGACCCACCTCAGCCTCCCAAAGTGCTGGGATTACCGGTGTGAGCCACTGCACCTAGACTGAGAAAATGGGTTTTGAATGGGCAAGAAGGTGAAAGTTTACTTAACTTTCTTGCTTCTCTTGGATTAGGTTTTAGTAATGTATATTCATCCATCGTATGGTTTAACCAGCTATGAAATCCCTGGACGTCAGACCTATTCAGATGGAGGTGGGAGAAGGTCTAAAACAGAGGGTACAAAGCAGCCACCCCTGGACTGGATCTAGTCCACAGTCTTGAAGAGTGGGTAGCTTGAATAGTGTTGTTATATTTAATTAAAATTTTGGAGATAGTGCATAAATTCAGTTTATACTGAAAAGTGGAAGATGTAATAGCATTGATGTGGCAGTGAGTAATGAGAGCTGGAAATGGCCCCTCTCTACATAGAGCGTGTGCAATCCAGTTTGCCAGAATCCCCACCATTCTCATCCAGGCTGCATCCCTCATTAGGTTATAAGATTTTAAATTGGACCCCTGAGACCATGCAGGACTCTTTGTGCTAAGCTTGGATTTTATTCTGTGGGCATTGGAGAGTTATGAAAGCATTTTAGTTGGGAAAAGTAGAAAGATCAGATTTATGGATAATGGGCTAGAGGAAAGTAAAACAGAAGGTGGAGAAACCAATTCAGGAGATAACTATAGTAATCCAGATAGGAAATCATGAGAGCCTGAACTAAAGCACAGTTATTAGGACGACATAGGAGACAAAATTGAGACTTGTTAAGGAGGTTGAAGCAACTAGCATCTAGCAAGTGACTAGATGGAAGATTAGGAGAGAGATGAAGTTTAGTCCAGGAACACTTGAGTGATAGAAAATTGAAGCCATTTGTTAGTATAAGTAGTAAAAAGGGAAAAACAGTTTTGGAGACCATTAATACATTCTAGCTTTTTAAATGACAAGATATACCAATCAGATGTAGCCAGGGTGTGTTGTAGAAAGTCAAGGAGGGAGCCTGTGGAATGACCCAGCTCCAGCAGCAGGGGCTGGCCTGTAGGCTGCTGATTGGGCTGTGTGGGAGGCTGAACTAGTGGTCATCACTTCCGTCTAGTCTGTTCAGGCTGCTATTTCAAAGCACCATAGACTGGGTGGCTAATTAACAACAGAAATTCATTTCTCACAGTTCTGGAGACTGAAAGTCTGAGATCAAGGCACTAGCAGATTTGGTGTTTGGTGAAGGCCCACTTCCTGGTTCACAAATGATGCCTTCTCACCGTGTTCTCATATCACAGAAGGGGCAAGGCAGCTCTCTGGGGCTTCTTTACTAAGGGCATTCATCCCATTCATCTTGACTCTCCCCTCATAAACTAATTACCTGCCAAAGGCCACATCTCCTAATACCATCACATTGAGAGTTAAACACATGAATTTTGGAAGGATACAAACATTCAAAATGAAATAATTACCTGCATTATCTTTTAAATTGAGAAGTATCACCCTCTAGGGATGTTAGAGCAATGGCCATCTAATAAAAGGGTGAATCAGTGTCTTCTGGAGAGTTATTTAAATTCAGAGATAACCAGACCCCAGCCATATCTTCTGAATCAGCATCTCCTGGGTAGGCCTGGGTATGTCCATCACCAACAAACTCCCCAGGTGGTTATTATGGCTTCTGCACTTACCTCCCAACTAATCCTTTTCGGACCTCGGCTGCTGTTTTGTGCATTGCTGCCTGGTAATTGTGTGTTGTTTACTGTCAACTTAGCCAATCTTCTTCCCTGCTGCTCAAAATATTTTCATTCTCTGAGTTCATGTCCTTTGCAGGGACATGGATGGATCTGGAAACCATCATTCTCAGCAAACTAACACAGGAACAGAAAACCAAACAGCACTCATAAGTGGGAGTTGAACAATGAAAACACATGGACACAGGGAGGGGAACTTCGCACACTGGGGCCTGTCGAGGGTAGGGGGAAAGGGGAAAGGGGAGGGAGAGCATTAGGACAAATACCTAATGCATGCAGGGCTTAAAACCTAGACGATGGGGCTGGGTGCGGTGGCTCATGCCTGAAATCCGAGCACTTCGGGAGGCCGAGGCGAGCAGATCATGAGGTCAGGAGATCAAGACCATCCTGGCCAACATGGTGAAACCCCATCTCTACTAAAAATACAAAAATCAGCTGGGCTTGATAGCACATGCCTGTAGTCCCAGCTACTCAGGAGGCTGAGGCAAGGGGATCACTTGAACCCAGGAGGTGGAGGTTGCAGTGAGCCGAGATTGCACCACTGCACTCCAGCCTGGTGACAGGGTGAGACTCTGTCTCAAAACAAACAAACAAAAACCTAGATGACAGGTTGATGAATGCAGCAAACTACCATGACACATGTATACCTATGTAACAAACCTGCACGTTCTGCACATGTATCCCAGAATTTAAAGTATAATAAATAATTTTTTAAAAAAAGAAAAATTTTCATTCTCAGTACCCCTCCCTTACATATGAGCATATCTCCTTTTTATCCCCTCCTGCTTACTCTTTCCTCTTTAAATGCAGAAGCTCCCAAAAACTTCTTTGGAAAAAGCACAGGTCACAAATGCTTCAGTGACTTATATTTTTTCCTTGACACTTCCTCAACCTTGGCTAAATAAACCTCTGTATCTCAATTGAGACTTGCCTCAGTTACTTTTTGGGTTACATGAAGCACTCTCCCCTCCATATGCCTCACTGCTTTGTAATCCTTTGTGTAATTAGGGTAGAGTCATTAGAGATTTGGCCTTTTAGCTTTTCCCTGTTAGCTGGGTGGGATATGTATACCTCTGGTACTCCTCTTATTTGGATGTTGGAATACTAGAGCACAGAATACAACTATGAATTCGAGAAAGGGGAAATCCTCAGAAGCAAGATTCCAGAAGCACCAAGAGCCATCTGGGGGCATTCATAATGCTGGCTGTCCAGAACAGCTGTTCCAGGAGACCGCAAACAGAAGGTAAGAGCACTCCGTGGGATGATGGGAAATAAAACGCAAAAGCTCTCCTCATCTACTCTACCTTCTCTTAAGAATGGGGTACGAGGCCGGGCATGGTGGCTCGCACCTGTAATCCCAGCACTTTGGGAGGCCAAGTGGGGCAGATCACAAGGTCAGGAGATGCAGACTATCCTGGCCAACATGGTGAAAGCCCATCTCTACTAAAAATACAAAGGCCAGGCACGGTGGCTCACCCCTGTAATCCCAGCACTTTGGGAGGCCGAGGTGGGCATATCACAAGGTCAAGAGATCGAGACCATTCTGGCCAACATGGTGAAACCCCGTCTCTACTAAAAGTACAAAAATTAGCCAGGCGTGGTGGCGTGCGCCTGTAGTCCCAGCTACTCAGGAGGCTGAGGCAGGAGAATCGCTTGAACCCGGGAGGTGGAGGTTGCAGTGAGCCAAGATTGCGTCACTGCACTCCAGCCTGGCGACAGAATGAGACTCCTTGTAAAAAAAAAAAAAAAAAAAATTAGCTGGGCATGGTGATGTGTGCCTGTAGTCCCAGCTACTTGGGGGGCTGAAGCAGGAGAATCACTTGAACCCGGGAGTCAGAGGTTACAGTGAGCTGAGATCGGGCCACTGCACTCCAGCCTAGTGACAGAGTGAGACTCCATCTCAAAAAGAAAAAAAAAAAAGAATGGGGTATAAGTAACAGGGGAGAAACTGGAAGAAGATACTGAAGAGAGGGAAAGATGTCTATCTTGATGAACTTCAGAAAAAAAATTTGCTTATTCACCCACAGCTTCAGCCATCTTATTGTGCTCAAATAATGCCTGTAGGTGTCATGAGATGAAAAAATATTTTATGAGATTCCACAATGGAGTTTCTCTGCTACCCCCAGGGCAACAGGGAAGCCACAGCCACCAAAATTAGTAGGAATGTTGGAGAAGTGAAAGGACTACTTGCCTCACTTGGTGATTTTGAAGATTAAGTAATGTCAAAGAAAACACTGGGAAAATTATAAAGTACTACATAAATATGACTTGGTATTAAAACAATGAAAGACAGCCGGGCACGGTGGCTCACACCTGTAATTCCAGCATTTTGGGAGGCCGAGGCGGGTGGATTATCATGTGTTCACGACCAGCCTGGCTAACATGGTGAAACCGCATCTCTACTCAAAATACAAAAAAGTAGCCAGTTGTGATGGCGTGCGCATGTAGTCCCAGCTACTTGGGAGGCTGAGGCAGGAAAATCATTTGAACCTGGGAGGTGGAGGTTGCAGTGAGCCAAGATCGCGCCACTGCACTCCAGCCTGGGCGACAGTGAGACTCCATCTCAAAAAATAAAAATAAATAAAACAACAAACAAAAAAAACATGAAAGACTCAAAGGCAATGCGTGGCTTACAAATGTTATTTCTATTAAACATTTCAAGATTAGGCATTGTGATATTGTAATAATGAAGAAATGAGGGACATGCTATTACTGAAACTCAGTTGCCCCAAACAATGGGATCTTTCCCTGTTCACTGTCACAGAGCCAATATGGGAAACTGAGAATGAGCATCAAGCGGGGCAAGTTTTATTCATTGGAGAAGGAATGGAGAAGTAGGAGCAGGGATCACAAATCAACTTCTTGACTTGTGAGAGTTGATGGGGTTAAAATACAAGATTTCTCTGATCAAGGGATTGGACATTAAAAGCAAGAGCAGGCCAGGCGTAGTGGCTTACGCCTGTAATCCCAGCACTTTGCGAGGCCAAGGTGGGCGGATCACAAGGTCAGGAGATTGAGACCATCCTGGCTAGCACAGTGAAACCCCGTCTCTACTAAAAATATGAAAAATTAGCTGGGTGTGGTGGCGGGCGCCTGTGGTCCCAGCTGCTCGGGAGGCTGAGGCAAGAGAATGGCATGAACCCAGGGGGCAGGGCTTGCAGTGAGCCGAGATCGCATCACTGCACTCCAGCCTGGGCGACAGAGCAAGACTATGTCCCCCCAAAAAAAAAAAAAAGAAAAAAAAAGAAAAAAAAAACAAGGGCAGGAATATTCATGTCTTTTCTGGGAATGGGCAGTGAACTTCTCAGAACTGAAGTGCCACATTCTTTTCATCTTTTCATGGCTTCTTCCAGTCACTGTCATGGTGTCATGGTGATTGTCAGCTGTCATGGCAGTGGTGAGAGTGATATTTAGCATGGAAATTAGATTATAATGAAGTTGGAGGTCGTTCAGAGGTCAGGTGGGCTGTTATCTTGGATCCCACTGGTTTTAGCTGGTGTGAACAAAAGGGGAACCTCTGATCTCAGGCATCTTGTTGCTAAAGATAAACAGAGTTAGAGTTGTCCAACTGTCCAGTCAAGGCCTACAGCCTTATAGATGCCAGATGGGGTAACAGTGCCATCCCAAAATTGCTGGATTGGCATGTTGATTATTTCAAGTTGAAAACATTGGAGAAATTGTAGTTCAGAAAGGGCTAGCTGACTTGTTCCTTCCTGCATGCAGCAAGACATGAAGATTCCTTTGGGAAGGCTACCCTCCCCATAACAGGGTGATAAAATAGCCCTTGTCACTAGAGACTGAAAATTGGGGGCTGCAATGGACCTGAATGAAATACCCTTTATCTTTTTTTTTTTTTTTTTTTTTGAGATGGAGTCTCGTTCTGTCGCCCAGGCTGGAGTGCAGTGGCGAGATCTAGGCTCACTGCAAGCTCCGCCTCCCAGGTTCATGCCATTCTCCAGCCTTAGCCTCCCAAGTAGCTGGGACTACAGGCACCCGCCACCACGCCTGGCTAATTTTTTTGTATTTTTAGTAGAGATGGGGTTTCACCATGTTAGCCAGGATGGTCTCAATCTCCTGACCTTGTGATCTGCCTGCCTCAGCCTCCCAAAGTGCTGGAATTACAGGTGTGAGCCACTGCGCCTGGCCTTATCTTTTTATTATCATTATTATTATACTTTAAGTTCTAGGCTACATGTGCACAATGTGCAGGTTTGTTACATAGGTATACATGTGTCATGTTGGCTTGCTGCACCCATCAACTCGCCATTTACATTAGGTATTTCTCCTAATGCTATCCCTCCCCCAGACCCCTACCCCCCAACAGGCCCCAGTGTGTGATGTTCCCCGCCCTGTGTCCATGTGTTCTCATTGTTTAATTCCCACCTAGGAGTGAGAACATGTGGTGTTCGGTTTTCTGTCCTTGTGATAGTGTGCTGAGAATGATGGTTTCCAGCTTCATCCATGTCCTTGCAAAGGACATGAACTCATCCTTTTTTATGGCTGCATAGTATTCCATAGTGTATATGTGCCGCATTTTCTTAATCCAGTCTATCACTGATGGACATTTGGATTGGTTCCAAGTCTTTGCTATTGTGAATAGTGCCACAATACAGAAATAACCTTTATCTTTCACTAGTTTTCCACCTTCTCCCATTTGTCTCCTAGTGACTCCCTGTCTTCTAGCCAGATCCCCTTGGTCCTGTCATCCCTTCTCAAATGTATCATTCCTTGTTTAGAAAGTATAAAAACATCTTGCTTTGGCCACTTCTTCTGATTACACTTTCTTGTGAAGATTCCCATGTACATGTAAACACTAATAAAACTTGCTTGCTTTTCTTTTGTTAATCTGCCTGGTGTCAATTTAGTTTCTAGATTCAGCCAAAGAGCCATCTTAAGAAGTAAAGGAGGTTGGAGCTGATCTCTCACTCCCCTACAATATAATATGGAATATATTTGGTCTCTCCTCCTTAGTTCTTGGCATAGAGCTCCAAAAACTCTTGTAAATAAAGGCACTAGGAGAATCTTTTGTCCTATTACTTGGATTTTGACCTCACTTCCTGACACAGAGCTCCTAAGACCTTTGTAATTTCCTGAGTGGTAGAAGTATCTTTTGTTTTTATGAGATGACTCCTGTTGGTCTCCTAGATAGCCTCAGGTTGGGGGCTGGTGTCCAAGGAAATGAACCATGTGATGAGAGAGTTAAAAGTTTTAGTTCTACCCCTACCCTATCTCTGAGGAGAGAAGAGAGGCTGAAGGTTAAGTTGATACCAATGGCCAATGATTTAGTCATGCTTAAGTACTAAAACCTCCATTAAAAAAAAAGGACTGGGTACAGATTGCTTCCTGATAGCTGAACACATGGGAGTTTCTGGAGGGTGGTATGCTCAGAGAGGGCATGGAATTTCCTCGCCCTTTTTTCCATACCTTGCCCTATGCATCTTTTCCATGTGGCTGTTCATCAAATTTATAATAAATGGGTAAACATAAGTAAATTGTTTCCCTGAGTTCTGTGAGTCACTCTAGCAAATTAAACCCAAGGAGGGGGTGATAGGAACCCCCAGTTTATAGACAGTCAGAAGCACAGGTCACAACCCGGGACTTGTGATTGGCATCTGAAGTAGGGAACAGTATTGTGAGACTGAGTCCTTAACCTGTGGAATCTGACACTATCTCTATGTAGATAGTGTAAGAATTCAGACCAGGCACAGTGGCTCAAGCCTGTAATCTCAGCACTTTGAGAGGCCAAGGTGGGCAGATCACGATGTCAGGAGATTGAGACCATCCTGGCTAACACAGTGAAACCCCATCTCTACTAAAAATACAAAAAATTACCCGGGCGTGGTGGCGGCCGCCTGTAGTCCCAGCTACTCAGGAGGCCGGAGAATGGCGTGAACCTGGGAGGCAGAGCTTGCAGTGAGCCGAGATTGCACCACTGTACTCCAGCCTGGGCGACAGAGCAAGACTCCGTCTCAAATTAGAAAAGAATTCAGTTCAATTAGAGGACACCCAACTGGTGTCCACTGGGAAATATGGTGTCAGAAGCATTGTGTTGACTGAGTTGTATGAGTAGAGGGTAGAAAAAACACTTTGCTTTTTTCCTATCTTTCACAAGTATGTAATATAACTTACAAATTATAGATGCTTATTAAGTTGTAGTAATTTTAATTCCTAAAATTTCTTCCCTATGGTCAACCATTATTTTTATTTAATGTGTGAACATATTATTTAATCCTTTTGTAATTTTGTTGTTGTTACACTTATTTGGGTATGTGCTAGTCAAGACTGAACTTATTTTTTCTTGGATGGAATTCCACCTCATATCCATTTATTATTTTCCTGTTGATGGGTTACTTCTGGACACATTATGTAACTGATCTCTGTAAGAATTTATGAAGTTCTTTAGGGCAGATGGTGTCATACTCAGTTTTCTGGCAAGGAAACTAAGGTTCAGAGAGGATGGGGTGCAGGTCTCTTGGCCATGATTCATGACTTTCATAAGAAGTGAAGGCAGGAGAATCTCTTGAAATCAGGAGGTGGAGGTTGCAGTGAGCCAAGATCACACCACTGCGCTCCAGCCTAGCAGCAGAGCGAGACTCCGTCTCAAAAAAAAAAAAAAGGAAATATTATACTTAAATTTTTAATAAGAAACAGTATTTGAATTATATCTACTATTAAGCTTTAGTCCCAGGAAAAATGGGCTTTAATCTTGGGCTGCCCCAATCTGAAGCTCTCACTATTTCAGAAGCAAGGCTGTCAGTCATATTTCTGACCAGAAATGGGAGTAGATTCATTGTGATTTTGCTATGCAATTATGGTTCCATTATGTTCCATTACAGCAGGAACATTGCCAATGTTAGCATCTGCAAATTAAATGACTAATGAACACACAATAAAAGTTGTGTTTCCTGTGTCATGATCTAAGCTGGGGCCCAAGACTAAGCTAAGGAAAAGAAAAATATGCCACATGCAAATAAATGGGTGTGTGTGTGCACGCACGTGCGTGTGTATGTGTGTCGCCTTATCCAGGTTGTGCCCCAACCTAGATAGTGAGGAGTTGAAAGACTGCTATAGCTGGAGACAGAAAATTTAGATTCAAATTCTAGTTCTTCCATTTCCTAGCTGTGTAAGCATAAGCAACTTCCTTCATGTTTTGAAATCCTGAGTGTCAATGCAGTACACTAACCTCCTGTGAGATTTTTTAGAAGGACATTACCTCATGGATAAGAATGAATGTCAACAACCGTCTAAGAGCTCAACACAATGTGGCAGATATTGCAGATTGGCTCACTCTGCTCCCCTACTCTTTGTCATTTGTTTTATCAAATACGTCAAATGAAAATGTTCAAGGAAACCTTCCCAGACTGTTTGCCAGTTCTGGTTCTTCAGGTGATTTAGATTCTACCCAGCAGATGCATCTGAATAAGATTTGGATGGCAGAAGACAGAAGTCGAACTGCTGCTGCTGCTTCTCCTTCTGCTGCCAATCACCATCATGAAGGCATGTGATTGTTCCCCAGCAGCTGTCATAACAATTTCAGCATCCAGACCCTAGTTTATTGTCTTTCAAGAGGGCAGTAAATGAGGCCAGTTTGTTAGCACGGATCACAGAAGCACTTGTTGCCAGCAGTTCTAGCAGATTCCTCAGCTTCCTTTAGTAGTGACAGAGGCAGCAGTCCTCTGGGGTGGTGGTGTTATTCCTGAAAGCTCAGCTGCGAGCTGGCCCCTCCAACCCGCCCAATGACTATGTAAGCACTAAATCTCTGAATTAAATCTCGGTCTGCTTAAATTAGCCAGAACGGTTTCTATTTTCTACAGCTGAGCTCTGATCAATGTGAGATAGTAAGGTTTTAAAGAAAAGAAGCTTCAAAAACAAGTACAAAAAACATATTTTGCTATGGGATATGTAAGTTTTGTTATCCAGGAATAACATTTCTGGATATTTGTCCTGCCCAATATCTTTTGAATATCTTCTCTGCATTTTGATGCATTCCCACATTATGAGTCTGCCTTCCCAAAGGAAAATTAAAAACAAAAACTTTCCCCCAGGATCTCTTGTAGGTAGAGGTGTGAGTATGAAACTTAGATTCTAGTAATGAAATATACCTGCATGAGGTCTGGATGCAGAAGAGCGGCCCATGAGGAGGTGACTGAGCCCAGAGAGATCTATCACTTGTCAAGTGTGAAAGTTTGAAGTGATGGGGCTTAAGGTCTTCTGCTGAGCATGATCAGCACGTAGCGACAGACAGCAGTAGGAATGGTGTTTTTGCTGTAACTATCTGCAGCATAAAGAGTTGGATGTTCTATCTGGCTATGTTGCTCCTTGCCAAGTAGCATCCACACCTGCTTTTCAAGATCTCTTGGAGAGTCTTTGAGGTATCTAATATCCTTTCATAAATCCCAATTGGCTTAAGCTAGCCAGTGTGAATTCCATTGTTAGCAATTGAAAGTCCTGATTGATAAAAAGGTAATTGCATAGTCTTTTTGTCTCGTGCTTTTTACCCAGCTTATCTCTGTACATGGCTTATAGAATTGTACAAGTTTGAGCCAGAAGATATCTTGGAAAGAACATCCAGTAACCACACCGCCACCTGCCATTTTATAGATGAAGAATCTTAAGTACAGAAAAATGAATTGACTTGAAAAATAGATCTGGATTCAGAGTCAAAACCAGGTCTCTTTCGTACCAGTTTGGTATTTGTTTCACTACTCAACTCTTTCTACCAGACAGAATCTGCTGAGCTAAAAATCCAAGAAAATGTTATATACCAGAGAACTGGATATAAGAGCTTTAAGGGGTCTTTAGGAATGCCTTAAATATTCTTATAAAGGAATATAGAATTATACTCTCAGTCCAGTCATATCCAACTTCAATATTTTAATAAGCACTTTAAAACTACTTTTTACTCTAGAACTCTCAAAATGTTGAATCAGAAATCTACCCCTTTAACAATGGCAAATGACAGCTTATAACATGTAGCAACCTGCAATCATCTCTGAAATTACTCACGGTTTTCCAAATTAAACTCTGTAGTGCATTCATACTGTGTGCAAAGGATATATCATGATTGATTGATAAATTTACGGTAGCAAATCTTAATTGTAGGTTCATTCCAAGTTAACAGTTAAACTACTTAGTAATTTGCATAATACAAACCTCAAAATTCTTCTATTTATACTTAATAAGAGTTTTATTTTAAAAGTATTACATTCTCATTGTTAAAAATTATGGAAGTGTATAAAGCAAAGATATTAAAGTCATTCTGCCATATCATCTCAGTTCTCAGGCTGGTATGGATCTTTACTGACTTTACAATGTCTACCACTTGAATATTCCCATAATGGCCTCTAAAGACAGATTGTGTGGGTTTAAGATCTGGCTGTCTTATTTTCTAGCTATTCATGATCTGAGAACCTCAGCTCTTGTGTGTCTGTTTCATCATCTATAAAACAAAGACAATAATAGTACCTGCCTCTTAGGGTTATTGTTGTATTAAATGTGATCATACCTCTAAAATGCTTAGGAGAGTGCCTGGTGCATTTGGGTCAGTAAATGTTATCCAGTTTATTTAACGATGTATTGTTGCTTGAATTTTTTTTTTTTTTTTTTTTTTTTTTTGAGACGGAGTCTCGCTCTGTCGCCCAGGCCGGACTGCGGACTGCAGTGGCGCAATCTCGGCTCACTGCAAGCTCCGCTTCCCGGGTTCACGCCATTCTCCTGCCTCAGCCTCCCGAGTAGCTGGGATTACAGGCGCCCGCCACCGCGCCCGGCTAATGTTTTGTATTTTTAGTAGAGACGGGGTTTCACCTTGTTAGCCAGGATGGTCTCGATCTCCTGACCTCATGATCCACCCACCTCGGCCTCCCAAAGTGCTGGGATTACAGGCGTGAGCCACCGCGCCCGGCCTGCTTGAATTTTTTTTAACATACAACAATGCAGGAGAACTTTGTATCCTTTACACATTGATGTATCCATTAAACTCACCTAACGAGAAGCACTGATAATCTAAATTATAAGAGCAAGAATATTTGAGCAGGCATCAAACAATGACATGTGCACAACATTGTCCCGAATACACAATCTGTATTCACATCCTTCTCTTCCCCAGCTCACTGCTTATTTGTTTATAAAACCAAAACTTTGTTAATTTGACATTCAGATACTCCTTCTTTTTTACCTTTGGTATTCTTTCCAATGCAGCTAGTATACAGAGGCCAAGAGGCAAGAAGTGTTTTAGGAGAAAACATATACACACAAAATCTTGCTCCCTGTAGCCCAGACCTATTGAGGGAAGGCAAATATGCTATATTTTATTGATATGACACCCACTTGTTAATTGCCTATGGACCAAGTCCAGCACTGGGCACCTAGAAAGAATGGGAAGATTCCTAAAGTTTAATCCTTACCCCAAGAGGAACTCACAGTTTGGTAAAGGAAGCAAAGACACAACATGAAGGAATCCAACAGAAAAAAATTGGAGTGGGGACCTGAAGGAGGTGAAGGAAGAAGCTCACTAAATAAAGCCTAGAGCTGGAGTCTTGGTCTTCTCCAAGGGAGGCATCTGTCCGTCCATCATCTGGGTGTGACCAGTGATGATAATCTCACTTGGGCTTGAAAATGGGAGACTAGGTACAATGGAGAAGAAGTTGCTTAAAAATACTTATTTTTACTTCTTTCCTGAAGTACTACATAATTATAGTAGAAAATTTAGTGGAAAATAAAAAAAACTCAGGTAAATATAGCCATCAATCTCATTCCAGAAGTGATCATGGATTATGCCTTGATGTATTGTCTAAACTTTTTATGTATGTGTTTAAGAGTACCCCCAATTTTCTTTCTTTCTCTCTTTTTTTTTTTTTTTTTTTTTTTTTTTGAGACTGAGGTCTCACTGTCGCCCAGGCTGGAGTGCAGTGGCGCGATCTCGGCTCACTGCATGCTCCGCCTCCCAGGTTCACGGTGGCTCACGCTTGTAATCCCAGCACTTTGGGAGGCCAAGGCAGGCGGATTACGAGGTCAGCAGATCGAGACCATCCCGGCTAACACAGCGAAACCCTGTCCCTACTAAAAATACAAAAAATTAGCCAGGTGTGGTGGTAGGCACCTGTAGTCCCAGCTACTTGGGAGGCTGAGGCAGGAGAATGGCGTGAACCTGGGAGGCGGAGCTTGCAGTGAGCCGAGATCACACCACTGCATTCCAGCCTGCGCGACAGAGCGAGACTCTGACTCAAAAAAAAAAAAAAAAGAAAAGAAACTCCAGAGTGGAACATTAACCACCAGGAGGTTGCCCTGACAGGTAACAGTTGTTTTTCAACCCAAAGTATGCCCACTAGAGTTGTTGGCCACCTTTATAACCTATTTCTGTCCATGAAGATGCCACCTAAACTGCCCAGTAGATAGGGCACTGAAGCAACTGTACAGACCCCTGACCTGCTCACTTCCACCCCTGTTTTAAAAGCACCACTGCCCCCACTTTCTGCTCCAAAAGCAAAGTGGTCTCCTTAATGTAGGAAGCCTGTACTTCTTCCCCTAAGCTAGCTTTGGAATAAAAAGTCACTTTAGACTAGACCTTGTTCTTGTTAATTGGACTCTGCAAGCAGTGAGCAACTGAACCTGTATTTCAATGACATGTACATATATGTACTTGAAATACTTTTTAAAAAATCTCTTATAAGAAATAGAAGGGATAAATTTAGGGACAACTCATTACATGTATTCTTTTTCTTCCCTACATTTTCCCTTAACTATCTTGAATATCTTACTATGTCACTTGAAATTACAATTTTAATGGCTGTATAATAGTTGATCAAATATATAAACCATAATGTATGTAATGAATCCTCAGTCACTGGACATTCAATGTCACATCCTGTCACTTGAGGGAACACCCTTGTTTTCTTTAGCATCCTTGATTATTTCCTTAAGCTAAATTCTTAAGAATAGAAATGCCAAGTCTAAAGTTTGCACATTTTAAAGTCAAAATTTGGTTTGTTATTAGAGTGGCAACTTTTTTATTGTATAATATACCCAACATAAAATTTACCTTTTTACCATTTTTAAGTATAGTTCAGTGGCATTAAATACATTTATGTTGTTGTATAACCTCACCACCATCCATCTCCAAAACTTTATCATCCCAAATAGAAACTCTGTTTCTATTAAACAATAACTCCCCTTTCCCCACTCCCCTCAGCCCCTGGTAACCTGTACTCTACTTTCTATTTCTATAAGTTTGCCTTTTCTAGGTGCCTTATATAAGTGGACTTATAAAATATTTTTACTTTAGTGTCTGACTTCTTTCACTTAATATCATGTTTTCATGGTTCTTCATGTTGTAGCATGTATCAGAGCTTCTGTCTCTTTAAGGCCAAATAATATTACGTTGTATGTATAGTCCACATTTTATCTATTAATCTGTCCATGGACATTTGTGTTGTTAAGCAACCACTTTTTTATGATGTGTAGAAATTAGAACCTTTATTTACTGATGTTGGGGATGTAAATAGTGTAGTTGTTTTCGAAAACAATTTGTCAGTTCTTCAAAATCTTTTTTTCTTTTTTTTTTTTTTTGATACATGGTCTCACCCTGTCACCCAGGTTGGAGTGCAGTGGTGCAATCATAGCTCACTGCAGCCTTGAACTCCTGGGCTCAACCGATCCTCCTGCTTCAGTCTCCTGGGTAGCTGAGACCAGAGGCACGTGCCAGCATGCTTGGCTGATTTTTTAGGTTTTTTCAGAGATGGGGTCTCACTGTGTTGTCCGGGCTGGTTCAAAATCTTAAACATAGAGTTACCATATGTTTATTCCACACTTGGGTACATATCCCCCAATTCCACACTTGGGTACATATCCCCCAAAAATTAAAAACATAAAAACCAATCCATGAATATTCATTACAGCATTATTTATAGTAATCAAAAAAGGAAACAACTAAATGTCCATCAGTTGATATGTAGCTAAATAAAAAATGTGGTATACTTATACACAATATGTTATTTGACAATGAAAAGAAAGTACTGAATCATGCTACTACATAGATGAATGTTGAAAGCCTTATTCTAAGTGAAAGAATTCAGTCACAATAATCTTTGTATTGTATTACTTCATTTATATGACATTCCCAGAACAGGCAAATCCATAAATATAGAAAGTAGATTAGCAGTCATTTAGGGTTCAATGGCTGGGTGAAGGGAGGATAATTAATAACCAATAATAAATATGGGCTTTTTGTGGGGGAAGAAGTGGCAATGAAAATGTTCTGGAATAGACAGTGGTGACCTACAACTCTGTGAATACACTAAAAACTCTCAAATCATCTTCTTTTGAGGGTTGAATTTTAGATTTTGTGCATTCTATCTCAATAAAGCTATTTTAAAAAAGAAATTTTAAATTAGTAGCAGTGAAGGATAATATTAATAATGACTAAACTACCTCAGTTACTTTTAAAAATTTTGACTCAAGTTTTTAAAATTGAGATATAATCCACATACCATAGCAGTCACTCCACATTCACTCCCTCCTATCCAGCCCCTGGAAACCACCAATCTACCTTCTGTCTCCACAGATCTGTCTATTCTTGATGCTTCATACAAACAGAATCAGAAAATACATTGCCTTTGTGTTTGGCTTCTTTCTCTTAGCATAATGCTTTAAACTAACTCCATTTCTAAAATACCTTTATAAAGTAAAATGCTCTGGCTCTTGGTCAAACTAAAAAGTAATTACATGCCATTTTACAAAATTTGAAAAATATAGAAAACATTAAATTTGACAAAAAAGGAATCATTTTATTTTATTTTGTACATGTGTGTGTTTCTCTCCCAGATTTATTTATTTATTTATTTTTCCTACCAACTTTTATGTTCATGGGGTACCTGTGCAGGTGTGTTACATGGGTAAATTGTGTGTCAATACATGAATATTCATTACATCATTATTTATAGTAAGCAAAAAATGAAACAACTGTTTTTCATCTAAGCACAGTGAAGATCATGAGACACCTGAGCAGGCCTGGATTGCAGCCACCTAGGCACCGTAGTGAAGGTTATGAGATAAGCCCATGCAAGGCACAAGAGCAAGCCTAGATAACAGCTATCTGGGCCGCATAGCAAGAGTTATATGTAAGCCTGAGTTATGAACCTGTCATAGTATGATTAACTGCTTTTGTTCTGCTTCTGTATCCTTGCTTTTGTGCCACTTTAAGCTTATTTCAAGCTAGCCCACCCCCTTTTAGAAGTGTGTATAAAAGTCAAGTGCTGTCTTTGTTCTGGGCCAGGTCTTTGGATGTTAATCCACTGGGTCTGAGTGAATTCAATAAATCCTCCTATTTCACCCTGTGGTCTCTCTGGTCCTCCGATTCCTGCAACAGTATGTATCAAAGTTTTCCTTTTTATGGCTGAATGCTATTCCATTGTAGGTATGTTCCACATTTTATTTTTTTTCTGTGTGTACATTCAACGTTTATTACAACTAATTGGCGATGCAATAAGACAGTGCTCACATGGCCTGAATATTGGTCATAGTCACAACAAAGCTTAATCCATCCCAGCATATACAAGTGAAAGTATAAACCATGAAGACATGTTTACATACTTACAAGTAATTAGAAAAGTGATGTTGGACAATTATATAGCTTTAAAACATTTAGGGCCAATTAATGTCCTTTTACTTCATTCAGCTCTCACTTTTTTATATGAAAGGTGAGGTCAGGAGTTCGAGACCAGCCTGGCCAACATGCTGAAACCCTGTCTCTACTAAACATACAAAAAAATTAGCCGGGCATGGTGGTGGGCTCCTGTAATCCCAGTAATCCCAGCAATCCCAGCTACTTGGGATTGAGGCAGGAGAATTGCTTGAACCTGGGATGAGGAGGTTGCAGTGAGCCAAGATTGCACCACTGCACTCCAGCCTGGGCAACAAGAACAAAACTCCATCTCCAAAAGAAAAAAAAAAGTTTCTTTTTAAATTTTTTTTTTTTTCAGATGAAGTCTTGCTCTTGTGCCCCAGGCTGGAGTGCAGTGGCGCAATCTTGACTCACTGCAACCTCCGACTCCCAGGTTCAAGTGATTCTCCTGCATCAGCCTCCTGAGTGCTGGGATTGCAGGCGCCTGCCACCATGCCCGGCTAATTTTTGTGTTTTTAGTAGAGATGGAGTTTCACCATGTTGGCCAGGCTGGTCTCGAATTCCTGACCTCAGGTGATCCGCCTGCCTCAGCCTCCCAAAGTGCTGGGATTACAGGTGTGAGTCACTGTGCCTGGCCTCTTTTTAAATTTTTGTAAGACTTCTGTTAACTAGGCAGTGCCATGGAAAGAAAAGAAGCCACTGTAAAGTTTGTAGCACTTCTACATGGAGGGAAGGAATAGGGAAGCAAAATAAATTTGGTTTTCACAAGCACTGCAGAAGGAACGTTCATACTTCATACAATGACTTTACACTCAACACTTTGTGAAGAGAGCAACACGTTTTCTGTAAGATACTTTTATGAAGAATCCCTGGCAAATTAACATTTCCACTTTATTTTGGGGCATCAAAACCCATCCAACTAAGTGATTGTGTCCACAAAAATTCATTTCAGGAGTCAAATGTGCCTTCACCTTAAAAATTACATGCTTGCTATTATGAAACAATCCTGTTTCTCATTCCAGGTTCAGAATACCTAAGAAATAATTTTTAGTGTAAAAAGCATCATTCCAATTTAGTCATTTAAAATCATCTGTATTCTCCCCACCCCTTTTTTAAGATATGTAGTTTCCAATAGGAGTCTTTGGCGTAAATCTGCTTTCTGAAGTTTCAACAAGGTTAAGTTTCCATTCATTCAATATGTAACATGTCAATTCCCTTTACTCTTATGTATACTGAAATGTTCACTAGTCTTTGGTTTTATAAAATGAGGTTTCACATTATAATTTAAGAATTTCTTTGTCAAATATAGTAATAAATGTATATTGCCAGATTGTTTCATTTTGCATGTATACAGATGTCATTTTCATATGCATATATAATCAGATTAAGAGAAACTGACCTATAAACTTTAAAATATCCAGAAAAGTCATCTTTTTCTGCCCCATTCATATTTAAGTCCTTTAACTTATCACTTGATTAACCAAAGTTCCTTCTTAAAAAATTGTATAGGCTTGAATGAAGTGGCTTAGAAAAACAGTAATACTGACAAGACATCATCTTACACCATTAGCTAACATGGACATGAAGACAGGGGCCATCTACAGTGTGTGAAATGCCAAAAGAAGTTATCAACAAGGAGGAGAGTTATGTCAGTCCAATTTCTTGGAGAACTCTGTGTGGGGTTTAAGCTTCCTCCTGAGGTAGATCAGCCTGTGCAATTGCCTTTTCTTGGAGGTTTCCTAACTTCCCCTCCAAAAAGAACTCATCCAAAATAAAATAAACCTCTTCAAAATTAAAGACGACATCAAGTTCACACACACTGCCAAAATACTTGTTAAGTAATTCCATGTAATGATGAATTGTTTCTAGGGCAGTTAGTTCATTGCCCTGATTCACAGTAGCACAGCATATCTGCACATTTTAGGTTTCTCTGCTAAAGTGAACAAGTTCTCTCTCTCCTGCAGTTGAGGCTTTTCCTGACAACTTTTAATAAAAAGCAACATAAACTGCATGGTGGTCTCAGGCTGCCAGTGTGCAGGAAGTCTGCCTGTGGCAACAGGTCCTGAGGGGAAGCCAGTCACCGTGCTGAGGAAGAGAAGCTGCCATGTTGCTGTGAGGAGGGGACCTGGTTGACCCACATTTTCTTTATACATTCCTCTGTTAAAGGATATTTGGATTGTTTCTACCTTTTGGTTATTGTGAACATTGGTGCTATGAACATTGGTGTACAAATCTGTCTGAGTCCCTGCTTTCCACTGTTTGGGGTATATGCCTAAGAGTAGAATTGCTGGACCATATGGTAATCCCACATGTAACTTTTTGAGCATTCTTTCTCTTTCACATTTGCTTCATTATCTCTGAATAACATTGCTGCAAGAGTACAAATGCAGCTTCCAGCATCTCCAGGTTCACAACGTCACAGTATTTAGACAGGAGAAGAGAGATTATCTTCCTCTAACAAAGGGTTAAAAACCTGGGAAGGACATTTAATTGGCTAACTTGTCTCTTAAACTCTTATCTAAAACAGTCACTGAAGGTCAGTGAAGATCAGGGATGGTGTGTGGAGATGTGATTATTGGAGAGTCCTAGGATTAAGCTCATTGAACTAGGTAGAGTAAGGTTCCTACCTCATCCCGGGGGAAATGCAGTCATGAGGAAAGGACAGTTCCCATCTGGGACATGTGTCTAAATCTGGGAGGAAGGGAATACAATTCCCAGAAAGAAGGGAGTTCCCTAGACATGGCTACTAGAGAAATACTTGTTAGCTGAGCAACCATCCCGAATCTGCAAACATCAAAAGATTTGTTTTGTTTGTTGTTATAGTTTGTGGTTAATATAATCAGTCAAGGTAGGTTTGTATACCACAGCCCCCCAACCCCCACCAAAGAAAGGAACCTGTCTAAAACATAGGACATTTCATGGAATAATTCATAGCAAATCTCTTTGAACACTTGTTTAACAGGTGCAGTGACATTTTTCAAGGGAAAAGCCTGTGAAAACCACTTCATATAGATAAACAGTTGACGGTGGTATTTTTAAAAATCTATGTTTTCAATATGAGCTTATTTTTTGACTTTAGTGCCTTCACGGATACATTTCCAAACTATATTATAGCAGCAGAGAATAAAGCTGTGTACTTTGACTTTCAACTACTTATGCCATTTCTACTTTTAGCTTGGATTCAAATGATGTCAAATAGATGGAAACTGCCTGTTGAGAGTTGAGAACTGCATTACCAGCAATTTTTTACTCTGTTTGGAACACAGAGCCAAGAATTGGTATGACTTATTCAGTTGTTGTACCAAATCAAATTTAGTAAATTATTGATCTGATTTCAAGATTCATGAGGTTCCCTATGCTTTTACAACTTCTGTTTTATATTTATACATCCAGCAAAGAAAGCTATCTTCACTAAGCATATAATACAAGCATAAGAATAAATCTTATATTTATTCTGTAGTGCCTCATCCCAATTAATCATCTTTATTTCCTTTTATAATTACATTATTATACTATTTCCTGTCTTTTATTTTTTGATTCACTCTGCATCTTACCTTTTCCATCTTAAGCATTCCTTCAGTTTTAGGCTTTCATTTCATCATTATCCATTTCATATCTCTTATTCCTCTCATAGGCTATTCCCTTTGTATCTTATTTATCACCAGATAATTAATAAGCATAATGTTCAAAATAATGTTTTGGTTATGTACGTTTATTGGCATGCTAAATTACTGCTTTTTTGTGAAGGAGAAGAGGAGTTAATACAGTTCGGAGAAGGAAATCAAAGAGACACAAATTGATAATGGCTGTTCATTTCCTCTTAAAAACAATGCTTATCTAGTTATAAATTGACTTGTAGAATTAAATTAACTTTCTAATGTATTATGGAATCTCTCTTTTTTTCTGTTCCTTTTTTTTCCTCTCTCCCCATCTTCCCTCTGCCTCTTTCCCCTCTGACCCATCCCTTCTCTGACTCTCTCTCTCTTTCCTTTTTTCCTTACCTCCATCTTTCCCTCCTTTTTTCCCCTTCCTCCCTCCCTCTCTCATCTCCATCCCTCTTCCAAATGAAAACACTTAAATTTTCTAGGAAAACAGTATATCTTTCTAAGATGGTTATCTAAGTCTCTTCAGTTTACCCAAGTAGACACCAAAAAAGGATAAGTCTGTCTGTTGTCCTTGGAGGTGTATCTCAAAAGAAGATGTGTCTTTGTTACCCTGGATTTGCCTATGAAACCACAAATTGCTGCTACCACCAGCCTCACCCACCAACTTTCATGACAGAACGTGGAGGGAGTCTTTGGAGAAAGGTACACAGGAAAATGAAGGGTAGTTTTGAAGCAGAGAGGCATACATAGGAGAAAGAGAAAGGCTTTCAGAATTTTCAGTTTTGTTAACATTCCATTCCTATCTCAGGAGATTTCAGTGTGTTTTCAGGTAATCAACTGAATGTTAGTAACTAATTCCCTTTGCTTCTCTTTGCCTTCCTTCTTCTCATGTTAGTCATTCACTTCTCCCTTGATTAACCTCACTGATCCTATTGGTTTTCTTCTCAACAACCAATAATAATAATATTTTTAAATGTACATTCTAAATGGACATCTTGACCTATATCTATTTCTCAATCATGGCATACTGTTCATCATAACTTTTCAATTAATATATTCATATTGGTCTTTCTTTCCAATGGCTTTGGCTCTCCTGTGTTTAAGACAGACTTTCTTCTTGCCATACAGTGCACTCAAAGTTCCCATAATATTAGGCCCATCCCACTCAAGAAGAATCTCCTTTGCAATATTAGAAAAATAATTGCTCAAATGCTAGTTCTTTATACACTTGATGGAAGCTATGAACTTTAGACTTATCTTGACAATTTAATCCAAGGTCTTTAACATTTTCAATGGACTCTATTTCCTACTCTTTTAATTTCTGTCCCTTTCTTTTAAGATTTCTCAGTTTTCAAGATAAAGAGCTAAAGCCAGACACATCACTCTAATAAGATTCTGGTCAATGACAATATCATGAGAAGATTCCCACAATGCTTAAGTGCTAATCTTTTACTGTACTCTCATGAATGCTTTTAAAATGTTACAGGAAGTCTGGATTTGCAGTTTCCAGTAGTCATATAATTCTTTCTGGACTTTCCAGACATCAGCTTCTAGGGAGACTGTTGACCTCTGTATGATTTCACGGCCCTTTTCTCTTAAAATTTCTTCAGAAAAGTGTTTCCTGTAGTTGGGCTGAGAGAGAGAGCAAGACATTCCCCATACCCCTGTTGATCTGGAAGAAACTTGATTGCAAGACATCTATAGGCTTGAAGGGTGATAAGTGAAACTGGCTACATAGTTTTCATGACCCGGTACCAAATGAAAATGTGAGTCCTTTGTTCAAAAATTAAGAATTCAGCATTAAACCAAACACTAGGCTCTTCTAAGCACAGGGGAATATGCAGTTCCACAGGTAAGGTATTTGTGAAATGAGGAAGTGGTAAGGAATCCTGGGGAGAGGACAGGGGTATCATATTTTATTTTATTTTCCCTCTTCTCTAGACAGAACTCATTTATACCAAATAAGTGAGTGAACAAGATTTTCTATTCATTAGGACATTAAAATGCATTCTTCCATTTGTGAGGCAGGTTTAGTATTTTTTGCTAATTATTTCAATGCATTGTTCCTATTTTCTTATAGCCAATCAGGTTTTTACCCCCTGTCCCAGTATGCTACCCTAAATTTGCTTTCACCGAAGTTATTTTTTTTAAATATTGTTCTTTCCTATAAATATACATAACTGCACAAAGGAGATGCATAAGATACATGAGGTCTACCTATTTCAAATTTTTGGATGTAAATACGTATTAAATGTAGCCCTTGCCCTCAAGTGCCTTCCTGTTTGAGGAGATAAGGCAAAAATAAATAAAGACCTAAATAAATATTATTTAAAATTGCTATAAAGGACAACTCTGTGGCATGTAGACATACTGAAGTGACATTGATTTTGTCCAATTCTGTTTTAATTCTTAGTTGTGATTTGCTGGGCTAGGATGAGACCAGCCCCTTCCCAAGCACTGCTTTGTATGTCTTAGTCCTTTGTTCTCAAGTAAGTACTAGAAAACTTAGGGAAAAGTACTTACACTCATTTGGTACCTTCACCTGTTCTATTATAGTAAAGAGCTATAATAGGGGTGGTGTTGTGGAGTAGAAAGACTTCTAGATTAGGAATCTAAACATCATGTTTGGTCTGCCTTATCAGATAATGGAGTTTAGGACACATTTCATTCACCCGCTTCAAGCCTTAGTTTCTTAATCTGCTGAAGGTTAGTAATGCCTTCCTGATCAAGTAACAAATTTGCCACAAGTATCAAAAAAATTAATTTGGTAAGCATGTTTAAGAGTTTTCCTTCGGCCGGGCGTGGTGGCTCACGCCTGTAATCCCAGCACTTTGGGAGGCTGAGGCAGGCAGATCACGGGGTCATGAGATTGAGACCATCCTGGACAACATGGTGAAACCCCATCTCTACTAAAATACAAAACATTAGCCAGGCGTGGTGTCACACACCTGTAATCCCAGCTACTCGGGAGGCTGAGGCAGGAGAATCACTTGAACCCAGGAGGTGGATGTTGCAGTGAGCCAAGATCATGCCACTGCACTCCAGCCTGGCAACAGAGCAAGACTCCGTCTCAAAAAAAAAAAAAAAAAAAAGTTTTCCTTCTATAAGCAATACTCTTCGAGAGACGCAGACATTCCCAGAGAGAGTTCCTGCCCACAAGGACCCTATAGTTTATAAAAGAACTGAGACAAATAAAGAAAAAAATACTATAAAAGAAGTGGGACATAATAAAGACCCTGAAAGAGATCAGATTGGTTAGTGAATTGAATATGGAAGGCAGGCAAAACATTGTAAAAGAGAAGCGTTGGAGTTGAGCCTGGGCTGGCTTTGTCAGCAAGGTGGAGGGTTGAGAAAATGGATTCTAAGGAATGGAAAGAATATCAGCAAATTAAGGAATATGGGAAAGCCTACAACGTTTGGAGAACCCAAAAGAAGATAAATCCATCAGGAACCTAGGGAGTGTGAAGGGAAGAGAAAGTTAAAATTAGGTCATCAAGAGGCTTGACCATCCTGCAGGACTAGAAGTTTTTTTGGCACATAGTATAGAACTTTTGGAAGAGTTTGGAAAAAGGAGTATTATTAGATCAAATGAGATGTTGTATATGAAAGCAGTTTTAAAACAAGCAGGATTGTGATATAATAGACATTCTTATATCCTGTCAGATAGATTGTGTATGCAGCCATGATATCAACGTACCAGTTGGCAGGATCAGTCGGTTGTTCCCTGAGGTAGTGCCTACTCCTTCCAGATAGTGCAGCATTTAATTCTGTCTTCTAAGGGACTGGAAACAATCAATCTCACTTGTTATTTCAGTGGTTAGAATAATGGAAAATAACCCATGGGTACAAAAGCTTTATAGATACTAGAATCTTATAATGGCCAAGGCAGGCGGATCATGGGGTCAGGAGATCCTAGAACTTCATAACGATCTTGCCAAACATGGTTGAGCCAAAGTTATCAGTGAGATTACAGTGACTAATAATAAAATATAATAACAGAAACAATTACCTTCTATGGAGCACTGGCTATTTTTCAGTAATTGTATAATTACATTAACTATGTTATTAAATTTAGTTCTCACAACAGTTCTGTAATTTAGATTTTATAGTCTCTTTACAGGTAAGGAAAGTGATATTTAGAAATACGAAGTGACTTGACCAAGAGCATGCAGCAATAAGGCATTGGTGCTGATTTTTCTAGTCCAAGTGTTTTATAATCCAAAACAGCTCTTAGCAACCTTGCTATTTGTTTTAATTTTTATTCTCCATGTTTCCTAATACTTTTTTGATGAACATATATTGCTCGTGAATTTAAATAATAAACTTATGTTATTTTTTTAAAATCCCCTTAATAAGATTTGTGACCTGTCTGAAATTGATTATGGCTTTTGCTTCCACATTTTAAGGGTTAAGTTTTATCAAGATGAGAAAATCTTTTCGTCTTCTTAATCATGCTTGCCAAGATCACATTTGAATCTATCCTAATGGAACACTTTAAAGGTATTTTACTTCTTTGTGTCCTGGATCCCAAGTCTAAAGTGCAATATTAAAAATCCTTGATCACAGCTTTTGTAGAAATGTAAGATAAGCCTGATTCCAGTCGGGTTGCACTTCTGGTTGTAATGGTGAAAGGGGGCACTGCAGGGTCAGACGCTTTGCTGTCCATTATTTGAATGCAGAGAATGGTGAGCAACAGCCCGATGTCTTTCTCTTTCAACACGGTTTGTTTTTTAGCTCCTCCTGCCTCTTCTATGGTCTTAAGGTCCCAGACAGAGGAACAGGAGCCAACACACCAAACCCTTCCTCACTGGGGATCACTGAATGATTAATACAGATGCAACCTCCAGGTAGTCTCTGCCAATTATCGCCATTATAGTTAAGGAAGCAAATGACCTTGATCAAGGTCACCCAGTGAGTTAAAGTTTCGAAAGGCTCTTCTAGAAACTGCTAGAAATACAGGAATAATTACAACAAATTTAGGCAAGTGCATATGCATGGTGGGGGTAGAAAAGGGAAGTACTGAAGAGTCAATAAAACAATCTTAATATTAGGCCAGGCACAATGGCTCATGCCTGTAATCCCAGCACTTTGGGAGGCCAAGGCAGGCAGATCACTTGAGGCCAGGAGTTTGAGACCTGCCTGGGCAACTGGGCGACATGGCGAAACCCCATCTCTACTAAAAATACAAGAATTAGCTGGGTGTGGTGGTGCGCACCTGTAATCCCAGCTACTCAGGAGGCTGAGGCACAAGAATCACTTGAACCCGGGAGGCGGAGGTTGCAATGAGCAGAGATTGTGCCACTGCACTCCAGCCTGGGTGACAGAGTGAGACTATCTCAAAACAAAAAAAGGATCTTAATATTTTATAAAGTGAACTTGGAACTATTTGATGTATCACTCAGTTTGTGTGTTCATTTTATAGAATCCTAATTTAAGAAAAATTTTTTAATTCAAGGCTTCAATTTCCAGACATACGCAAATGCTAGTGCTACCATATTCAACTAAGATGCAAAGTATTTTAAACCTCCAAACTTTACATTTCAAAAAAAATTCCTTTAAGTAATCTGAATATGCTTGTTTTGCTTCTGCTCAGAGTGAATGTCTTTATTCGCCCGTCAGTCTTAGTTGGTGGGCAAGCTGTCTTTGGAATCTTCCTCCTCTCAAACTGTCTCGTTGATTGTCATTTGAGTCTGTTAGTCATACGTCCTTGGGTGAATGGTGGGCGGCAATTAGCAGCCTCTCTTCAAGGTCTCTCCTGGTGCACGTGGCCTCCTTGTCAGTTCGTTAGGAAAATGGCTGGATAATAATCGTCTTCTCATGGTGATCTGCCTTTCTGAAGGTAGAATCGGCATCTCATTTCTGATTATGCTCATTAAAAGTTGTGCTGTCAGCTTACCTGGGAGAAGCAGCAGTCTTATGAGGCATGTGATTTGTCCCTGAAACGTTCATTAAAATCTCATTTAAGTCAGAGGAAGTAGCAACATTTTTATGGGCATACTAGAGAAACAGATGTGAAATCTGTAGATAGCAGCTGTTGGAAAAAGATAAAATCAAAATTGGCAGCATCCAACTAACAAAGAATGTTTGAAGACTAAAAATACTTTGGGGCTCAAACTGGTTCCTACATCATTATTAGTGTTCTTTGATTATCGTGAATGATCAACTACTAATTGGAAAATTAGCAAATAATTTTCAAATTCATATGAAAACATTGTTCTGAAATTAAAGCTTTAGGCATCTATAGCTCTTTGATTTTAACAATTAAGAAAATAAAATTATTCCCACTGTTATTAGGAAAAATGTAGGATATCTAGGACTATATGGTTAGGGCCATTCATGACAGACTAGAGTATCTTTTACCCCATCCAGGAAACTGTTAGTACTCAAGGAATAGCAATAATCCCTAAATTCTGGTTCCAGGAAGGAGGGAAAAAGGTCAGATCAGTCCATTTTTCCCATAGAAAAGGAATTTCTTTGGAAAGGATTGATCTGACCTTTTCCCTCTTCTCAATTTGCTTCCTCCTCTGACAATTTAAGACAAAGCCTTAAAAAGCCTGAATATTCCCTGTCAACTCTTAGTCAACCTCTACTCTATACTTCCATGATTAGGCAATTACTTGTTAACTTGGTATTTAAAGAGATACAAATATCTGGCTGTGGAGTGGACCTTGAGAAATGATTAGGGTGGCCATGTGGGTTTGTGGTCTTGCAGACAATTGACCAATGCCTTGCCCTTTCTCCTACTCATTTCCAGACCTTTGTTAATTGTATTCTTCTTTTTGCTGGTCAGTGGTTGATAAGGAGAATATCAGTTAATCCCATTTTATGTGATGTGTATCATCCTAAAAATCCTGTGTTTGTATGTTAAACCATATATCTAATTATGGCATTACAACTTCAAACTCACTTCCCAAAATGAAAAATAATAAACTAAGTGACTTAAAATCTGAAACTTAAACATTCTGCTTTTGTGTAATCTATATGTGATTACCTCAAAAAGATAATAAAATGGCAAGTCAACCTTCACTTTAATTGCATATTCATTTAAAACTGCAGATACACCAAAATACAGGTTATAGCACACATGTGCAGCCCCTTTGGAAGTAGGATATATCCCCGAATGTGAGAAAACTCAGGGCCTTATGTAATAGTAATAAAATAATAAGATTTTTCAAAAAAGAGAATAGCACAAATTGGCTGGGCGCTGTGGCTCATGCCTGTAATCCCAGCACTTTCAGAGGCCGAGGCAGGCGGATCACGAGGTCAGGAGATAGAGACCATCCTGGCTAACACAGTGAAACCCCGTCTCTACTAAAAATACAAAAAATTAGCCAGGCGTGGTGGTAGGCGCCCGTAGTCCCAGCTACTGGGGAGGCTGAGGTAGGAGAATGGTGTGAACCTGGGAGGCGGAGCTTGCAGTGAGCTGAGATCGTGCCACTGCACTCCAGCCTGGGCGACAGAGTGACTCCATCTCGAAAAAAAAAAAAAAAGAAAATAGCACCAATTAATGCATGAAATTAGGAAGGAGTATGGAATCCAAAGCCCATTTGTACACATGGGTTCTCATTCAAATTTTTATGGCTAAGAAAGCAACACAATTCAAACAGGAACAAAATATTTTATTTCCTTTGATCACTTATAAGGTTCTGGGTATTACTGATGCAATCAGTGCATCCCTGAAAGAAGACCATAGCAAAACCCAACAGCCTCTAGGACTGAATCTAAGGGGTTACTGTTACCTTTCTTCATCATGAATATTCTTTGATGCTACCATTAAATGACCGTAAGTTTTTTCTCCTTATTTCACTTCACTTAGTATATATTTATTTTTATGAAGACAGAGATAATTTCTAACTCTTTGACCTTAATGAAAGACAAACTAGCTTCCTAAGTTGAAAATATCAACAGTGTTAATTACCTTTTTTTTTTTTTGAGACACAGTCTTGTTCTGTCACCCAGGCTGGAATGCAGTGGCACAATCTCGGCTCACTGCAACCTCCGCCTCCCAGGTTCAAGCAATTCTTCTGCCTCAGCCTCCCGAGTAGCTGGGATTACACGTCTGCACCACCACACGTGGATAATTTTTGTATTTTTAGTAGAGATGGGGTTTCACCATGTTGGCCAGGCTGGTCTCAAACTCCTGACCTCGTGATCCTTGGCCTCCCAAAGTGCTGGGATTACAGGCATGAGCCACTGTGCCTGGCCTACTTCTTTCATCTACTGCATTCAACGTATTAAATTTTAAATCAAAACAAGAACTTTAAACACTCCGATTATGACATTTACATCAGTGGTAATTGTGCCCCTCTCTGTGGATAGGCTTCTTGATCTTCTTCATGGCAGGGACTGTGTCATAGTCATTTCTGTATCTTTAGTTTCTTATTTGCACTCTCGAAGATATTTCCATGGTAGTAGAAAACAAAAACTTAAATTACAGGATTATACAGACTCATAATATTGAGACATACTGGCTTTGTGTTACACTTTGCTAGAACATTTTCCCCCATATTTCAGCTATATTGCTATCTTACTACTGTGATTATCATGTCACTGATTCTTCTTTATAGAGGAAACTTTAATATTAAATCTTCAAGAGAATGGAAAGTGACAGGTAAGAAAATCTGCCTGTTCTGATCATTGAGGTTTATATAGAAAAGGCTTCCTGGGACCCTGACAAAGCCCAGAATGGGGTTGTCGCCTGTGCTACTGGCAAGCCTCCCACTAAGGAGCGTTTTCTCCTGCCTGGCTCCGTATGTGGGGGGATCAAGGAGGGTGGGGGGCTGATAGCTATAAGGCATGATTTAGCAGACTCCTGGTGCCATTCTGGAAGGGGGTGACTAGGAACATACTACTACCTTGACTCAAGATTTATTGGACTGTGTTTTCATAAGACTATAATTGCCTCTGCTCTTTGTCCAGAAGCTTACAAAGGTGAAAAAAAAAGCACACTTTTAAAACACAAGCACTTTCTATCAATGCTAAATTATTGTGTATTTAAACAGAAATAAAGTCATCTTATATAGGATTCAAAAACCATTGGCAGTTCACCAACAGAATTTAAAGAAGCAATTTTGTTTTTAACTTTACAAACTTTTCCTTGTTTTATTTTCTGAGAAACCTAATTGGTATTGATATTCCTCACAATGAGCATGCTTTGTCTCGAAGCATGTACACACTGAATAATACATGAGTCTGTGGCAAGATGAGTTAGAAGTATACTGAAAAAGAACAGCATTAGCTGCAAATAATTTTAAATCCTAGATTAAAGCTCAGATAATTTAATATAAGGATTGGGTAAGATTGAAAGAAAACCTTTACTTGCTTTAGTAATTTATTTTTTATTGCATTTTCTGTATATTCTTAGCCATGATTCTATATAGAATACCCTCATGAGATTTTTATTTTTAATTTAATTTTAGCTACACAGTTTTGGAATTAATGAAGAGATCTCTCTACCCATATAAACGCAATTATCTGGACTCTGACAATAATCTCTATTTCTCTTTAAGACAGATGAAATCTTTTGCAATCATGTTTGTCCAATTACTTAATGTTGGCCCAGTGTGCATAGAAATGTCTTCTGCTGCTAATTTGCCCATGTAGAGATCTTGTGCCATTTGTCACTTGTCAATGCTCTGCTCATAAACTGCTTGTTTGAGCTATTATAGAAGCTTTATCAAATCGTTTTTCTCTTTACCATTTGCATGTTTAATAGAAATGGCTTGGGCCATTTTTTTTTTTTTTGAGATGGAGTCTCACTCTGTCGCCCAGGCTAGAGTGCAGTGGCGTGATCTCGGCTCACTGCAAGCTCTGCCTCCCGGGTTCACACCATTCTCCTGCCTCAGCCTCCCGAGTAGCTGGGACTACAAGCACCCGCCACCACACCCGTCTAATTTTTTGTATTTTTAGTGGAGATGGGGTTTCACCGTGTTAGCCAGGATGGTCTCAATCTCCTGACCTCGTTATCTGCCCGCCTCAGCCTCCCAAAGTGCTGGGATTACAGACGTGAGCCACCGCACCCAGCCAGAAATAACCATTTTTCTGTCAGGAGGACTGAGTCATCAGGTGGCCTTATTTCCAGTAATACTATATCCAGAGGCAATTCCTCTTGGGATTCAAAGTGAGTAAAAAAGTGGAAAATGAGAATAGTTTTTCTCCATATATATATGTGTGTGTGTATATATATGTATATATATGTATATATACACACATAATTTATATGTAATTATGTATATATGATTTTATATATAATTTTTTCTGTATTTCTGGTTTTCATTCTCCATAGATATGCACATATACATAAATGTGTATATATAATATATACATATATACATAAATGCATATATAATATATACATGTATACATCAATAACATATAAAATATGCATGTTATTTTCCTTTTATAAGAAACTGTCATAGGAGGAAATACAAAGAATATCTTCTGGAATCCATTTTATCCTGGCAAAAATAGTAAAATGATATAAAAGTTCAGTAACACTTACCTAGAACAATCAATGCCTCGCCTTCCACTGCGCCATCTCATTTTATCCTATTTCAGGACCTTACAAACTTTCAATAAGAAAACAATATGAAATCTAAGACATCCTTGTCACGACAGATAAAGGAATCCTCCACACAAATAGACCACCCCCAAACTAAAGAGCCCTAAATTAAATAGCTTTTAACTTGGGGGCTCCTTACTTTTACCAGAACCCAGAAAAGTGTCTATATTGTGTAAGTCTAATACTGGTACTTTCCTGGTGTCATTTTAATTTGGGGAGAAAAGAAAAAAGATAGCTACCTCGCATGGGTGTGTCATCTGTGATCCAGTGCTGCTCCCATCCAATGATCCACCACACGTGAGAAGCTCCATGTGTTCAACCACAGAGGCAGGTCACTGAGTAGGAAGGAGCACAGGTGTGGCAATCAGATGTTCCTAGTTTCAAATCCCACCTCCCACTCACTGGCTGTGTGACCTTGGACAAGTTACTTCAGCAAACTTCACTTTCTATATCTTTAAAGTCAACATGTAACATCAGCTTCATATGTAGACTAAATGATTTGTATCTTTAATTGTTGATACCCTGAGGCCCTAACATTGGGAGAACTTCCTGAGCACCCCATTTGTGTGGGAATATCTTTTTTTTTTTTTTTCTGAGATGCAGTCTTGCTGTGTTGCCCAGGCTGGAGTGCAATGGCACATCTTGGCTTACTGCAACTTCCACCTCCCAGGTTCAAGTGATTCTCCTGCCTCAGCCTCCCTAGTAGTTGATATTACAGGCACCCACCACCATGCCCAGCTAATTTTTTGTATTTTTAGTAGAGATGGGGTTTCACTATGTTGGCCAGACTGGTCTCGAACTCCTGACCTCAGGTAATCCACCTTCCTCGGCCTCCCAAAGTGCTTGGGTTACAGGCGTAAGCCACCACACCTAGCCAAAAACTTTTATAGGTAATCTGCCACCTCCATATTTTTAAGAAGATGGAAAGGGATTAGGAAGTCACAGTTGTGATTTTTAAAAACCATAAATGGGTGGTTCATGTGACTGATTTTTTTTTTTTTTTTTTTGAGACAGAGTCTTGCTCTGTCACCCAGGCTGGAGTGCAGTGGCGTGATCTTGGCTCACTGCAAGCTCCACCTCCTGGGTTCATGTCATTCTCCTGCCTCAGCCTCCCAAGTAGCTGGGACTGCAGGCGCCCACCACCACGCCTGGCTAATTTTTTTGTATTTTTAGTAGAGACAGGGTTTCACCATGTTAGCCAGGATGGTCTCAATCTCCTGACCTCATGATCTGCCTGCCTCAGCCTCCCAAAGTGCTGGGATTACAGGCGTGAGCCACCACGCCTGGCCTGATTTTTGTTGTTGATACTACAAAGAGCTTTTGAAATTTTTGTGTCCATGCCTGGAACAATATTATAGGAAGCTCAATGTAGACCTCCCTGAAACCTCCATAAATCCCCCTAGAAAGGAAACTGAGTCAATTTAAAGGAGAATATGAAACAACATGAATAGTGGAATATGTAAAAGAAAATGAGCCTTTAGCCAGGCGCTTATTATGGTCATGACTTTCTGAGGGATAGTTGTATTCTAGAGAGCACTCAGGGCAGGTGGCTATAATTTTACCGCTAAGGCTTTTGTTCCAAATTCCAGTGAGTCAAAAGATACCTTCTGAGAAAATGTGTTTATAAGGGTGTATTAGTCTGTTATCATGCTGCTAATAAAGGCACACCCAAAACTGGGTAATTTATAAAGGAAAGAGGTTTAACTGACTCACAGTTTCACATAGTTGAGGAGGCTTCACAATCATGGCTGAAAGGGAATGAGGAGCAAAGTCACATCTTACATGGCAGCAGGCAAGAGAGAGCATGTGCAGGGGAACTCCCCTTTATCAAACCATCAGGTCTCGTGAGACTTATTCACCATCATGAAAACAGCACTGGAAAAACTCGCCCCCATAATTCAGTTACCTCCCACCAGGTCCCTCTCCTGACACGTGGGGTTTATTAAAATTCAAGGTGAGATTTGGGTGGAAACACAGAGCTAAACCTTATCAAAGGGAAACCTAGAGAAACAGTGACTATATGGCAGCTGCTTAAAATTCTTTAGGGAATAAGGCATGACTGAGAATGGGAAGAGAGAGGAGTAGGGGTGAGGAGAGACAAGAGAAAAAGAGGTAGGCAAAACCTATTTGTTCTAAACAAGAAGAAGTTAAAAGGAGATTTTACCTAACCCTATTCCTGTGAAGAAATATTGCAGAACTGACCACAACTGGGTTTTTCTCTGCATTTTCCACTGCCATAGGAGAAAACAAACCTAAATCCATTCAACCACTTATTAAATTTGGGTATAACTCTATACATCATCTTAACCTCTCCAGATCTCAGTTTCCTCATCTGTACAAAGGGTAGAATGTGATCCCCAAATTACTTCTAATTTGTAATTTTTAAATTTGATACCAGTAGTTGTGAGATTTTTAGAATAAATGCCCTTAAGCTAGATAATTTTAAGTAATAATAACTATTTTTCTGAGATGCTTTGCAAAGACTGTTGCCTGATGGTTTGAGCAAACAGCCTATGACATCTAAATCCTCCTTCTAATGTTTGAGCAAAGGCAGAGGAATATGGTGAAAGCCTGAGTGGTAATCTGGGAAGGTTTCCAGGAGGAGGTGAGCTCTGAGCCAGTTTGGAAAAGAAACTGATAGAAAGGGTAGAAAAAGGAGCATATTGTAAGAAAAAAGTAGGACTGGATCAGGCAAGTGCTGGGCTTGGTAAGTGGAGGGTAGAAAAGCTCAGATGGAGAACAAGTCACTTCTACAATATTCCTCTGTGTTAGGAAGCAGTCCGTTTGTGTGATCATCTAATTGCATGATAGCTTTTGAGTCACAAGGGCCAAGTTTGGATCTCAGCTTGTATCCTTGAGCAACATCCCCCGCAGAGCTACAGATTCATTATTCGCACAATATATAGAGACAATAATACCTACTTCTATTGTGCTATTTAAAAATTAAATAACATAAGAAATATGGACTGTCTAGCATAATGACTGTATGCTGTGTAGGAGCAGATGACTGAGTAGGAATGAGCGCAGGTGTGGCAATCAGATGTTCCTAGTTTCAAATCCCACCTCCCACTCACTGGCTGTATGACCTTGGACAAGTTATTAGTCACCACCCTTCCCTTTCTGGGGACAAGCCAAATATTCTGGGAAGTATACATACAGTTTTACTGGGAAAGAGCAAAATAGTTTAGGGGCAAGTGCAGTGGGCTGGAAATCAGGAGACAAGATTTGTCATCACAGATGTGACTTCTAACCAGCTATGGGCCCCCAAGCCTGTGAATCAAAATTGCCAAATTCAGTTTTCTTGTGGTAACAATTTTGAGTTGGTGATAAATAATCCCCAAGTTCCTTTATGTCTCTAAAATCCCAAATTCAGTTTCTGTCCTTAGATGTCACTAACATTCAGAGAGACCATGCATGTAAAAGAACTTAGTGCCAGTCCAGGCTGAGAAAAACAGCAGGAAACAATGCCACAGCATGTATTAAATAGCTTTCCAGTTTAGGAATGTGAGCAAATAGAAGTTCAAAAATTTGTCATGCGTTCCTGGGAATATATTAAGGGCATTCCTTTTGGAGAAATTCATTCAGTAGACATTTGTTGAGTCCCTATTATGTTCTAATTCCTGTATCAGGCCTGGGGACATAGTGATACATTGCACAAGCTCCCTCTCAAAGGTGTTTCCAGTTTAGTGGAGAATATGGCCACAGCTGCGCAGTGTACTGAGCACAATGAAGTGTATGCAGGGCATGCTATGGGAGCACAAACTGTGTAGAATAGAAAGAAGAGAAGCCTTTGGACACTTCCCAGAAAAAGTGAGAGGTCAACTGAGGTTTAAAGGGTGACCAGGAATGAGACACCTTGTGCTTTAATGACTCACAGAGCTTTACACCAGGAGTCCCAGCAGGGAAGCAGAACATCAGCTGTTGGGGCCGATACCCGCCAAGGCAAGTAGGTCTCAGGCAGCTACTCAAATTTCCTGAGAAGGCTTTTCATTCTAGAGATTTCCCCTTCTCTTCTGGCACCAGTTTTTCATTTCAACAAAATTTTTAAACCAAAAATAATAATTTTGAACACTTTGTGCAGTTGAGGTTTTGGTTGCCAAAAATAAAAACCAGCTCAGGACAACTTAAGGGAAAAAAAAAAAAAAAGCGTGCTTTAGAATATTGGGTACCTCAAAGAATCAATGAAGATACTTGAGAAGTGCTGAAAAACAGTAGGAACCAAGAGAAGCAAGGCACAGCCAAGATCACCCAACAAGACTAATATACTTTGAATACAGACTCTGGTGCCATGTCCATGGGACACTTGTGGCCACATCCTAGACTCTGTTGCCCCCAGACACCTGCACTTACTCCTGGACTCTCACTTCAGCCAAGCCAGTATGAACAATTGATATCCTCATACCTTTGTTTCATTTCCATGCCTACATCACAGTTTCTACAGAGCTTGTGGGGAAACATCTGCTCTAAAGGGACTTGCCTCTTATCTGTTTACATCTGTAGGATAGCCAAGGAAGCATGTACACTCAATCTCAATCTCTCTCTCTCTCTCTCTCTCCCTCCCTCCCTCTCCCCCTCTCCCTTTCTCCCTCTCCCTCTCTCCTTCCTCTCTCTCCCTCTCTCTCTCACACACACACACACACACGCACATGTCCACTAAATTCTGTCTCCTGCCTGGCTCACAGAGATGTTTTGAGCATTTGTGATAATAGGCATTAAATACACTGAAGCAAAGTGTTATGTAAGTATAAAGTATTATTAACATCAATGATTAACTTTAGTCAGTAAAAAGTAGAAATCATCTCGTTTATGCTCTTTGTAATAAGGGAACAGTTGTCATTTTCTCTGAAATGATCTAAATTAGCTACATTTTGCAGTGAGGCTGAATGTCATTACAATATAATACACCAAACTGCTCCTTAAAAAGGGACATTTACATATTTAAATTTAAATAAAATGTGAATAGACCTATTATATCAATGTCCTAAAAGATAAGAGCATCATTATTATATAACATGTCTTCTATTTACAGACATTATGCTAAGTATTTTGAATAATATATTTTAAAGATCATTTCAGTTTTTTAATATAGTATCTGGAAATAACCCTAACGATAAAAAGTGTTATATTCATTGATTTGTAAGATTTACATAAATTCTTCTAACACAGTGCTTTTGATGTCAAGTTATGAGAACTGAGATTCATGTTGTATTTGAAATAAGTTAGGTCAGCTGTTTTAACAAAACAAATCCCAATGGCTTCAAATATTAAAGGAAAACTTCTTGCTTACATGGCAGTCCAACATGGACCAACAGAAGTATCTTCTCTTTGGGGCTGGGTGTGGTGGCTCACGCCTCTAATCCCAGCACTTTGGGAGGCCAAGGTGGGCGGATCACAAGGTCAGGAGATCGAGACCATCCTCACTAACACGGTGAAACCCTGTCTCTACTAAAAGTACAAAAAAAATTAGCCTGGCATGGTGGCGGGCACCTGTAGTGCCAGCTACTCGGGAGGCTGAGGCAGGTGTGGACCTAGGAGGTGGAGCTTGCAGTAAGCCGAGATTGCGCCACTGCACTCCAGCCTGGGCAACAGAGCGAGACTCCATCTCAAAAAAAAAAAAAAAAAAAAAAAAGAAGTATCTTCTCTTCACAGACGTTGGGAGACAGGTTTCTTCTATCTAGTGGCCCTGCTTTTCCCTAAGACTTCAGAGTCCTCTACTAAGCATTCTGCATCCAGCCAGAAGCCGGGAGAGAATATAAAGGAATCGAAGGGAGTGGTTTTAAATATCTATATTTATTTCTTTTTTCCTGAAAGTAAACATGAAGTTTCTGGATCAAAGATCAGACTTATTATTGCTTATAGCAATGACTGAACTAATCCATTTCCCTTTTTGGAATTTATACAATGAGGAAAAACAGACTCTACAGATAAAAAGGAAGGATTTTGTACTACAGGAGAGGAACTCCTAATTATGAAAATGGTAGCTTAAATAGGAGCCAGGTATCTACCCCTCTTCTTCTCTGAGACAACGAGAGAAACTTCTTTCCAATATAAACAAACACCTTCTTTATGCAGAAATATGTATTTACTTCATAAAAATTAGGTTTCTTTATCTTGAAGGGATATCTCTTTAAAGATAAGCTTTCTTTATCTTGGCTTCGGAGTGTCATACATTACTCTAAATCCACATTCTACTAGTCAGAACTCAGTCACCTGTCCATACCTAACTGCAAGACAGCCTGGAAAATGTAGTCTCCCCATGTTCCTCCCCCCAAAAATATGTCCGATTTGGAAAATCCATATGGGAACTTCCCTGTGTTTGAGGGGAGCTTGAAGAAGGCGACACAGTGCACCACAATTCAGAAATACCAGTAAGCTCCAAACTGGTGTGCATTTGCCAGGTGCCATGTTTACTAGACAAGGCTGTTTGACAGATAAGTGTGCTAACAGTGTATCTTCCTGGAGAATAAAGGTAAGGGAAATGGTCCACGTCAGATGAACTCTGGGTCCCCACCCCTTACACCTCCCCAATTCTGAATATTTCCATTTAGACATCCATTAATACCTGGAGACAGCACATATTAAGGTTCTAATTCCAGAGGGGATGTTCATACAGTCAGAATCCCATATTTTTCTATCAAATGTTTTTTCTATAGAAGAGTGAAAAAGATGATTCCGATGGAATAAATGTCTTTAGTCATCAAAGGTACAGGGGCCTGGCTTACACAACCCTAATGTGGGCCCATTGGTACTAAGAGTGAAAGTGGCATTGGCAGAAGGAAAGTGCACCATGGATGAGTTCCAGCAGAGCCTCCATAGGGAGTTGTGCATTGTGTGCCATACACAAAGTGCCCAGATGAGGGGGCACATGGGAGCCCAAATCCAGGCCTGCAAGTAGCTCACCAAGCCTTGCCCTGGCACCTGCATGCATCTACCTAGAGAAAGGGGAACATTTTGATTTACCAAAAAGTTGGTCCATTTGTCAAGCTGTACACTCATGGAGTACATCAGCCGGAAAAGGTGCCTTTTATTTTGACCACCCTAAAAAGATGCCTTTCCTAATACTCACTAAAGCATCATATAGGCTAGTGGGTGGTCCAGAACTCTGAGCAGTCAATAAGAACAGCATGGGAGGCAACAGCAGCAGCAGCAGCAGCAGCAGCTGCAAGAATATAGCACAGGGAGTATGTGGCTGGAGAAATACACTGTAAAGAAGACAAGAGAGAGTGCAACAAAACAAGAATGCAGGAGCAAACAATTAATGAATACAGGCTGAGCTGTTGTAAACAAGAGGTTCCATACATTCATCAGCTTTTAGAACAGGAGCTTCCTTTGTTTCTTATGTACCAGCCCTAGGCAGGGGTTCTAGGTCAGAGGCACCTCTGATACAATTTGCCATTGAGGAGTTTTCGGTAGCCAAACCATTAGATGTTAACGTCACCATGGTCATTTCCACCATAATCAGGATTCCTCCTTCCTCTTTCCTGAGGGGGAAAAATATGGAAGACCACATACAGGAGAATTTTATGAGCCAGGCCTGGAAGAATCATACACTTCCATTGGCTGAAACCCAGTTTATGGCCACACCTAACTTAAAGAGAAGCTGGGAAAAGTAGTCTATCTGAGGACCAAGAAAGGACAGACTTTGATTAACAGCTTACAGTCTCTGTCACATGGACTTACAGGGATTCTTAGCGACCGAAAGTAGGAAGATATAAATACAGAGGGAGCTCTCTCCTCTATTCATTTGAAAAGGGTGAGAAGAGGGAAAGACAGTTGATCGGCCATAAAACTATATCCTGACCTCTAAGTGTGAGTCAAGGCTGGTTGATAAAGCTGAATTCATACTTCAGTAATAAACAGGTTTAATACTGCTCTTTGGTGTGACTGGCTGATCAAAACCCCCCTTTTTTTTTTTTTTTTTTTTTTTTTTTTTTTTTTTTTTTGGCGACAGAGTCTCATTCTGTTGCCCAGGCTGGAGTGCAGTGGTGTGATATCAGCTCACTGCAACCTCCGCCTCCGAGGTTCAAGCCATTCTCTTGCCTGAGCCTCCTGCCTGAGCCTCACGGGTAGCTGGGACTACAGGTGCGTGCCACCACGCCCAGCTAATTTTTTGTATTTTTAGTAGAGATGGGGTTTCACCGTGTTAGCCAGGCTGGTCTTAATCTCTTGACCTCATGATCCACCCACCTTGGCCTCCCAAAGTGCTGGGATTACAGGTGTGAGCCACCACACCCGGCTTACTTGTTTTTAAACACTACTCGGGAACTGTATCAGGCAGAATAATGACCCCCGAAGATGTTCCCATCTAATTCCCAGAATCTGTGAATATGTTGCATTACATGGCAAAGGGGAATTAAAGTTGCAGATGGAATTAGTGTTGCTAGCCAGCTGATCTTAAAATAAAAATGTTATCCTGGATTATCCAGGAGGGGTAATCACAACGTTCCATTAAAGTGAAAAACAAATGGAAGGAGATCGGAGTGATGCCCTGTGAAAAGGATTCTAACCCACCATTGCTGGCTTTGAAAATGGAAGAAGGGGCCACAAACTAAGGAATCTCAATGCTGGAAGAGGCAAGGGAGTGTATTCATTCACCTCTGGAGCCACCAGAAAAATGCAGTTCTGCGGACACCTTGGTTGGAGATCCATGTCAGATGTATGACCTACAGCACTGGTAGATAATAAATTCATGTTGTTTTAAGCTGCTAATTTTGTGGCAGTTTCTTAGAGCGGAAATCATAATGGGCCCTTGCTCATATGAAACACATTAAGGGCTGGGTGCGGTGGCTCACATCTGTAATTCCAGCACTTTGGGAGGCCGAGGTGGGCGGAGCACGAGGTCAGGAGATTGAGACCATCCTGGCCAACATGGTGAAACCCCATCTCTACTAAAAATACAAAATTAGCTGGGTGTGGTGGCGCATGCCTGTAGTCCCAGCTACTCAGGAGGCTGAGGCAGGAGAATCGCTTGAACCGGGGAGGCGGAGGTTGCCGTGAGCCGAGATCGGGCCACTGCACTCCCGCCTGGGTGACAGAGCGAGACTCTGTCTCAAAAAATAATAATAAAAATAAAATAAAATAAAACACATTAAAATAGGAAGAAGCCTGCAGAAATGCTGGTCACTAGAAGAGCTGCCCAGAGATGACTGGTCCCATCAGATTCACTCAAACAGTAGCACAAGAAGGGCTACCACTGTCTAAAATGTTTCCTAAACTTGCTGAGAAATCACTACCTGAGAGGAGATTCTTATTGCTTTTTAAACAGAGAGTTTCTGTAGGAGCTAGAAAAACAAGGTCCTCCAGAGTCTAACAGAAATATGATGCTAGGTAACATCAGAACACACCCTGAATTACCCTGAATCCTTTTGACTTCCTTATGTCAAAAATTAGGAGTTTAGAAAAGCCATCAAGGTATGGAATTGTAATCTGCATCAAATCTCTCTTATATATAACGTGAACTCCAACTGAATAAATGCATCTATGCCTCCAACTCCAAAACCTTCCATTCTACTGCCCACTAAAGAATCTCTGAGCAGGTGTACTTCTTGCTGTGTGAGATGGAGTCTCACTGTGTCGCCCAGGCTGGAGTGCAGTGGTGCGATCTTGGCCCACTGCAAGCTCCGCCGCCCAGGTTCACGCCATTCTCCTAGTTCAGCCTCCCGAGTAGCTGGGACTACAGGCGCCCGCCATCACGCCCAGCTAATTTTTTGTATTTTGTAGTAGAGACGGGGTTTCACCATGTTAGCCAGGATGGTCTTGATCTGCTGACCTTGTGATCCACCTGCCTCGGCCTCCCAAAGTGCTGGGATTACAGGCGTGAGCCACCGCACCCAGCCACCTCTTGCTGTTTTACAGCCTCATTTCTTCTTTTCACTGTGGGAAGTCTTCCTCTTTACTTCAGAGTGTTCCATTTTTTTCTACCTGGGAGAAAGAAGTTAGCAGATTTCACAGATCTAGTGTTTCAGGATAGTAGTGTCTGCATGTTGCCCCGAGTATTAACAATACGTTTTAATCAGTGCTGAACTTTTGGAAGAAAGGTACTAGTTAATAAAGACAGAACATATAAATATATTCCAGTTTACTAGCACAAATGATAATAAACTAGAAATATATCAATAGAGTGAAAAGCTGGAGAACTTCATTTGAAATTCTGTTATGCTCTTTTTGGAAAATTAATAAGAGCCAGAGAACTGAATAACTAAAGTCTTTTGTGTTGCCACTCATCTCTCAAACTGACAGAACATCCTATTTTTTCATAAAGAACCTTGATATGGCTAGAGTTTGACTTGATTCCATCAAGAAATAATAAACTGTGCAGCAAAGAGAAAAATTATTACAGGCAAGGTTGAGCCTAGTTTTTGTGCAACAATGTTCACACCTAAGGAGAGCACAACTGGAAGATAATTTGATTTTCTTTCATGATTATAAAGTATTTTGTTCCCAGAAAACTTTGTCTTGAGGCAGTACTGCCACATTCATGAAAGGTTCCAGCTCAACTGATTTCTTTGTGGCATAAAGTAAGGTGAGAGCTGACTTTTGCAACATGGTCCATTTTGAATTGAGAGCTAGTCTGTCCAAAGCTTAAGGACAAGTAATTAATTTTAAAGTAAAGTGCTAAGGGCATGTATGTGAGAGCAAAGTTCACATAAGGAAATGATAACATTAAGACCAATTCTGAAAATAGTTAACTTTTCCATTTTTATGGCATATTTTCTACAAAAATGTTAAGGTTCTTCAAGCATCAGTAAAAGGCTAGAGTCCTCTTTGCTAGCTTTGTAAAAAGTATGGCCAATGCAGTAAAGGAAGAATAAAGATGCAGGTCCATTTGCATTACTACCATGTTTGCAACATAGAATAGAAAATTAGAGACTGGTTTTGGTATGTGCTTTGGACCTACCTCATTGCTTTATAACCCCCATATGTATATATATAGCTCTTCATTTCTCCAGGCCACAGCTGCCTGAGAGGTAGAAAAAATAAATCACATCACACTGTGGTCATGTCAAGTCATCTCATGTCTTGTAATCCTCATTTGTGAAATCACTAAAACCTCAGTCACACAAATATTTTCCTTCCAGTTCAAAGATTGCAATTTCTCTTCCAAACCATGCCCAGCCATAATAGTCTTCCTTTGGAATAAGTGGCAGGCCCTGTGGGTTAGCTAACATAACAAGCTCTGTTTCCAACGCTTCTTGGCTGCCCCTGCTATAGATGTAGATCCAAAACACTAGAATTTCTGGACTGCCTTTGAGCTGGCCTGACTGTGCAACACAGTTCTGACCAATGATGTGTAAGGGAAGTCTTCTGGTACTGCAGATCCCCGTTCTCCTTCTTCCTGCCTGGGACATGGGGTGTCTGGAGGTGTAATAGCCATCTTGTGCCCATGCTGGGTAGAGCAGACAGATTCTAAGATGGAACCATAATTCCCACCACCTGGTCTTCGTGCCCTCATGTATTCTCCCCTTGAGTATTGGCAGGATCCGTGACTTGCTTCTAACCAATAGAATAGTAAACGTGTTAAGACAGTACTCTTGTGATTAAGATTGTAACATCTGTTTCACTGAGGGACTCTCTCTTGTTAGCTTTGACAAAGCAAGAGGCCATGTTGGGGAGGTACATGTGGCAAGGAATATAGGGCAGCGTCTGTCCAAGAACCAACTGAAAACTCTGAGTTGTGTCCAGCCAAGAGCCAGCAAAAAACAGAGGCCCTCAGTCCAATCAATGCTCCACGAGGAATGGTACGCCTGCAGTAACCATGACAGCTTGGAAGCAGCTCTTTCCCATTAAGCTTTGGATGAAGACCCAGCCTGGCCAACATCTTGACTGCAGTCCTGCAGAGGACCCTGTTAAACTACATTTGGAGCCTTCTGACCCACAGAAAGTGAGATAATAAATTTGAGTTGTTTTAAGCTGTTAAATGTGTTGTTGGTGATCAGAAACTGACATAGGGTGCTTTGATATGCTGAATTGAAGAAGAAGCCTCAAGATTTCTCTGACCTTCCTCTCTTCCCATCTCTCAATTCTCTCACTCTCAAAACATGGCATGAAGTTTCCCCGACTGCCTAGTCTGGACCCATCAAAGAAGAAAACAATTACCTCTGGACCCTTCCCCAAGTTCTCATAAATTGAACTGATATGCAGGGGGAGAAGGACTGAAGTCTGTCAATACAGCTGGAAAGAATTTTTTCACAAACCATTGTCTGCTCTGTGTGCCCAACAGACTTTGTACTAGGCCATTGTATGTTCTTCAAGCCCATTGAATTTCCCTAAAAATAATTTACTAGCCCCCTTAAAATCATCCACATTTTCCAATCTCCTTTTCCCCTAAGAAGAAGTAAGGTATATAACCATCTGTACCCCATTGTGTGGTGGGGTCATCACTCTATGATTCCCCCCATGCACTCTAATAAATTTGTATGCCATTTTTCCTATTAATCTGCCTTTTGTCAGTTGATTTTTCAGCAAATCTTCAGAGGACAAAGGGGAAGTTTTCCCTTGGCCCCTACAGTGTGGTGATGCTGTTAGACAGCAATAGGTACTTTATTCACTAGAGACGACGGAGCAGATAGAGGGCCCTGCCTTCTTTAACGCACTTACACTGGACTGTAGCTCCAGCTCTGGACGGCCCATTTATGGATTCTTACTGAGTAAGATAAACAAACCCTTGATGTGCATAAGCTCTTTAGTTTGTCAAGTTTTCTGTTACTTGGAGTTGAAAGTAATCCTTACTGGTATAAGGTGGCTTGTATCTCAAATTGTGCCCCCAACTCTGAGCACAATCTCCCTCTTATAATTATAACTCTTTGATTTGAAAGGCTGTAGATGCTATTGCTATAGCTGTCTCAAGACACATCACCCCAGATAGTATGGTTCTAACTCTTCTTTTGCTTTAAAAATTGTTCAGATGAGTTAGGGGAAGGGCTTTCCTTCATCCAATGATGAAGAGAAAGGAAGAAGAGAATGAGGGAGAAAAAAATTAAAAGAGAGGAAAATAAAAAGAAAAAGAAAAATGAAAGGACACAGGGAAAGATAATTTTTTTAGCATCCAAACTACTGGTCTAGACCATTTGTAAATATGGTTATAACATATCACATGTTACAATTTTAATCAGACTGATATTTTTAGTTATGACATTTTTCCTTTCTATCCCAACTCCAAAACTTGACACAAAGCCCTCATAGAATATTCTTTTCTACCCACCTACTGCATATTGCAAGTCTTTATCACTGCTAACATGGTAAGTCTTTTCTAACCTTTGAGAGATCAGAGCTCTACTTTTTCTCAGTGTCTTGAATAGTTAGTTCTGAAAATTTCCCGCCAGGTCCAGTCACCTGAGTCTTTTCCAAGTCTCATGGAAACTGCAGGCTATTAGGTCCCACTTCCCTCTTGGAATATTGACTACCTAAGTAAGCCATTGGTGTGAATTATCATGTGCAATACTGAGTCAAGTAAGTATGGTAAGTATTATGTCCATTATAGACATAAGGGAACTGAAGGGCAGAATCATAAAATTTTAGCTGTAGAAGTGACTTTTAAGAGACTATGCTATTCTTACTATACAATAGAGAAGTGTTATGGAATAGAATGAATTATGAATAAGACTTGGCTTCTTGTAAGGACTCCAGCATTTATAACCCTGTAACCTTGGTAAACCCGTTACCCTTACTGAGAGTTCCTATCTGAAGGGTGTAACTTCTTGCTTATTCCATAGTGTAGTGGTGTGGACTAAAAGGATTAATCAATATGACCAGATTCTGAAAGCCTCATAACTCTCCATTAACTAAAGAACAAGACCCACACATTCTTAAAGACTCATTTTATCTCAAAGCTGTACACTACGCCATGATTAATGAGACTGCATAAAAACACAAAATGCTTTCAAATGGGAGTTATACCAATAATATTTTAAAATGCAAATTTCACAAGCATAAACATTTTGAACAACATTTTTAGTTTTTATGTTTTGGGTTTTTTTATTGCCTTGATATTATAGATTTGTTTCATCTTCCAAAGATATCTGGTCTGTATATTGTAGTTTTTACTCTGTAATGATTAGCTCTGTTTTATAAAGAAATAGACTAATTAGTGTTGGTTCACAGCTGACTTCAAACAACAGTCATGTAATTTTTTAGAACATTGGACATACATTTTATTTAGGCTCTTTCATTAAAATATCTGTCATGGAGGCCGGGCACGGTGGCTCACGCCTGTAATCCCAGCACTTGGGGAGGCCGGGACGGGCGGATCATGGTCAGGAGATTGAGACCATCCTGGCTAACATGGTGAAACCCCGTCTCTACTGAAAATACAAAAAAGTTTGCCGGGCATGGTGGCGGGCGCCTGTAGTCCCAGCTACTCGGGAGGCTGAGGCAGGAGAATGGCGTGAACCCGGGAGGCGGAGCTTGCAGTGAGCCGAGATTGCGACACTGCACTCCAGCCTGGGCCACTGCGCAAGACTCTGTCTCAAAAAAAAAAAAAAATCTGTCATGAATATATGACATTTTAGTAGTGGGAAAATTGCTCACATATCAAATATTTTAAAATAAAAAGACAATAGTCAAAACTAGACAGCTTGAGACTAATTTATGAATAATAGTCAAAAATCAATAATTTTAAACATTTGTCTCCTCTTAGGCTTCAAGCAAGGAATGTCTCATGGCAACTGATGTCTGCAGATATTCACCATGGTTTCTGACTGTAGTGATTTACCTCTTGGTGAATTCCTAACAATATAGGCAAACATGAGGAAAGGTAGTCTAAAAACCCTTCATTCAGGATTACCAATGCCTCCATTATTAAAAAGGTTTCAAATTATTGTAAGATTTTACTTTATATCAGTAGCCATGGGATATACTAAAAAATGAGCTTAGTTATTCTTGTAAGCAATGGATAAATATAGGGATTGTTAGGGTCCTTTCCCCGCAGGAGCTCATCCTCGAGTAAGCAAAATAAATATGAAGTTTCCTCAATTCTACTGAACTCTGAAACCAGCTTACTCTTTCTATTTGAGTGATTGCTAAAGTCCTAATTTAAAATTCTCATTTTTATCATTGCTTTAAAGTTAAAACTTCTGCGGGCAAGGGTTGGGGGTAGGGAGTACAAAAGTTTAAAAAAAAGTAATTTATGTTTCCTGACTTCCCAATTTTTCCAGAAAATCCATAAATCAACATTCCTATTCCTCCTCAGTGTTAACCAATTCATTACTAGATGTCATAATCCTCAGAAGGGAACAATGCATGAAATCTAGCAAAATGACTGCCCCTGTTTCTGCAGTGCTGTGGTGTGAAAACCTAGACAGACATCAGAGGCACGATGGGCTTGTCCTGGAGATTGCCTTCCCCCAGGTGACTGGGTACTATTAGGATGAAGAGCTAGACAAGGGCACTGCTGCATCCTTTGGCTCTTCCTAACTATTTAACCAATTTGCACCCACTAAGAGATGCTGTTTGATGGAACATTGGATCAAAAGTGTTGAAAATTTCAAAAATAGAGACATCAGATAGGTAATTAACCAAGATAAAGCATGTAAGAAAATTAACACAGTACCTTGCACATTAACCACTGAGTACATTTAACTATTTGGGTTTGGTTTTTTTTTTTTTAATGACAAGAGTAGTGTTTTCCTTTAACTATTCCTGCTGCTTTATCTCCAGTTAAAAGTTGTCTGGCATGTAGGCCATGAAGCATTTATCATTTCCAAAATCCACAATTTGTAGACATTTCACCTGCTCCTTGTTCAATCTAGATCTCAGCACAAGTTTCCACCATGTTTTGACATATGCTTATTTGCCCTGCCACTAAAAATGAGATCAACAACGGAATGGCTACATTCAAAGAAATGCTTACTGTTAAAAGTAAAATCAAAATAATATTCCTGAGTAGCAATTTTCTCTGGCATCTAATTCTTGGGATTGTGACATGTAATTTGAGATGGCAGAAGAGGATTTCTATTACCTTCATAAGCTACTGGGCATTTACGAAGAAAATAGTGCAAAGAAAATGAAATTTTGCATATAAAACTAGTACATCGCCTAGCAATTTTACATGCCAAAGAACTATCATTTACATGTACTTGTGAATTATTTTATTGTAGAACTGTTTGAAGATACCAGTAATGTTGAAAATGAAAAATAGATGTTTATGAGAACTGATCTGAAACCAAAGGTCACATCATTATTAGAAATCTAAAAAGTGAACTCTGTACTTCTTGGTTCATTTTCTGTATGATTTTAAAAACACAAAGAGGAAAATCTTGGTCACAGGCAGCCGATGTTTTTTTTTTTAATTTTTTAGGAAACAATGTTTGTTTGCTTGTTTGTTCATTTGTTTTAGACTTTGGCTGGCCACAATCTTGATAAATGGTTGCTGCTGGTTTTTATGTTTTCTTGATGACCCTATTTCTCAAGTAATTTTAGATCTTTAGAATTACTGTTGTTTTTCTAAGACTGATTCATACTTTCCCCTTCATCCCCTCTCCCTCTATTTTAGATGTAATTCAGATGTCAATACTCTCTCTTTGAAAGAGATGATTGATAAGTATGTTCCTGTTGGATTCTTTGCAGGAACAAAGTAAGAACTTACAATGAAATGAAAAATGAGTTAAAACTGTTGAAAGTGTAATTTTAAAAACATTTTTGGCTTTGTACAAAGAAGGCTATTTTTATTCATGACAGAAAAAAAAAAAATCTTTGCTAGAAAAAGCGATGTCCTTGCTTTAGGGCAGAAAATAGCCCCAGCGAAAAGTCAAGTCCACTCCTCATTAAGCTTCAGCCCTGGCTTCCTTCCCCTTACTTTTCCCTTGTACCAGGTGGGTCAAATCCTGGAAATCTCTATTTTATATTGTTGTTAAAGCTGCTATTCTAAATATTGTTTAAAATATAATAAGATATAAGGAAGAAGCTCTTTCAGAAGCAAGGTGGATTATAAAAACCGCAAAACAAATTATGCATCCATAAAATGAAAAACATGAAGTTGGGTACTTACTCAAGGTGGGATAGATAACTAGGGCTATGATAAATAGCTGTGGATCAATTCCCTTCAACAGTTCAGAGTCTGGAACAGGTGTTGGCATGTTTTTTCTGTAAAGGTCCACATAGAAAATATTTTTGAAACTTGTGGGTCATATGATCTCTGTTGCATTTGAATATTTCTGCTTTTGTACTTTGTAACACAAAAACTGCCATAGACAATAAATAAATGAATATGGCTGTATTCCAATAATGTTTCACTTATAGACACTGAAATTTGAATTTCATATCATTTTCACGTATCATGAAATATATTATTTGTTGGCATTTTCAACCATTTAAAAATGTAAAAACCTTTCTTAGCTCAGTGGTTGTGCAACAACAGGTAACAGGTCATAGTTTACCAGCCCCCTAGTCTAGGGAGTTAGAAAGGGACCTTTATTTCATAATAAAATGTCAGAGCTAAAATTACAACTAGAAGGGTAATACTTTGTTAAGAGTGGAAAATAATGTTTTTCTTCTTATGATATTTCAAAATGTGTTGCAAGAGCTTTTGGTTCTGTCATTTGCAGACATTTTACATGATAGAATTTCTTAGGCACACAAGGAGGTCAATTATAGGGGAGTCAGAGAAGATGGTAGATGATTTCAGCTGAGGAGGGGCTAGACGGGCGTTGCCTTCAATTAACACTAGAGAGGAACAGCTTCTCGTATTTCCAATGGAGAAAAGTTGGCATTGGAGAATACTGAGGCCAAACTATTGGCAGGATTTTTTAATTCCAACTCTAAGATTCCAGAGCTAAGGACAAGTCCTTAAGGGTCCGACTCCAAGATACATATTTCAAGCGTGTTAGACAATTATATTCTAATGAAGTCTGGTAGGTAATTAGGGCTAAATTGAACAATGAGTGATAGTCAAGAATTTGGGAGAAAGGAAACCATTTTTTATCCTAGACTTTGTTGAAAAGCTTGCAATTAATGTAAATTCTTAAAGTTTAATTCTGAAACTAGTTATTAAATATAGGTGTATCAGTGAAGTATTTGATTTAAAGAAAGAAAAGCTATTTCATCCTCTCTTCTTCTGTTCTTTCCCCTTCCATACTCCCTCCCCCTTTTCTTTTCCTCTTCTTCCCTCTCTTTCTCTCCTTCCCCACTTTTCCTTCCCTCCTTCTCTCTCCTTTTTTCCCCTCTTTCTTCTTCTTTTCCCCCTATTCCCCCAAAATGTAAGCCACTGAAATCTGGTAGTTTATAAAGTGGTTCCTAAACCCAGATAATCAACACAATCACTTAGAGGCATCTTTTAAAAAGATAAATGTCTTGGTCCCAAACCAACTGAATCAGAATCTGGAGGAGTGGCATGAGATCATTTGTTGATCTGGATTTTTTTTTTTTTTTTTTGACAAGCTCTTCTGGAGATTCTGATGGACATCCAGATTTAGGAAGCACAGCACTAGAGCAGTGGTTCTCAGACTTGAGTGGACATCAGAATGATCTGAAGAGCCTATCAAAGCATAGAGGGCTGAGCCCCACTCCAATAGGTTCTGATCTATGGATTTCGCATGGGGTCTAAGAATATGCATTTCTAAACAAAATTCCTAGAGGCTACTGGTTCTGCTTGTCTAAAGACCACACACTTGCTGAAAACAACTGCTTTAGGCCATATAATTAAGGCTCCTACTCTCTCTAGTTGGCCTCATATCCTTAGTTCACTCAAGCTTTGAACTACTTATTAAAAGTGACTTCTGCAATCCTAAACATGTAAGACATTATACAGCATCAAGCCCACCAAATAGTCCCTAAAGATAAACTCTATAAGCTGGACTATTGTTGTTAAAACATTTAATTAACAAAAGATACATTTAGCAAAGCACCATGACACCATGTAAATGACTCTCATGGCCAGTCTGATCCACAGCTCTCTGAACTGGGATGTGTTCTTTGGCATCTGCTCCTTTGTCAGTATTTGGATTCTGTCCCTCGTGAAGAGGGTGTTGAGGTTTTTCTGAATCAAAGGGTGGTGACAAATTAGACTCAATTTTATTTCTGTACAAATACAAGACCACAATGACACAAATGATTTCAGAAAAAAATATGTCTCAATATGGGTCATTATTTTTATAACTTATAATGATTCTTTGGGATCACTAAGATCTCTCACCCCAATCTCCCCCTACTTGAATTAATGTTGAAAACAGTCTCCAGAATTTGAAATGTAACGGCTTCTTGTTTGAACCGGCTATTGTTTCTGTGTCAAACGTGGGAGGTTTATTGCCAGCAGGAGCTGGAGGAGTCTCCCATAACAACTCCACTGGGAAAATGATAAGGAAACTAAGGCTTAGAGAGATTAACTCTCCAAGGATACATAACCAGGAATTTCTGGATCAGGATTCTTATATGCAATTCTATTAGGCTGTGTCATGCCTCTTTGACAGATAAACTCAAAGCTCTTTAACAACCACAGAATCTGCTGAAAATAATAACAAGCCAAAATAGAACTACAAAGTGACACAGATGCTTCTTGATTTCTTCTTAGAACTAGCCTTTTGTTTCAATTAGATTGATTTTTTAGGACCCACACACATACATCAACATACTTATTTTTATGAATATTTTATAAATAGATTCTGATTTTCAGTTTTGGATGTGTAAAACTTCATTGCACAGGCAATCAAGAAAATCAACAAGCTCTGTAGAAATATCTTCATAGAACAAGCTGATTCTTTTCCCTACTGAGCTATATTTACCATGGAGAGACATTTCTGTGTATGTCACGATCCTCTGCCAAAATGTCAACTTATCCTCTGCATCCAAAAGTTCATAAAAATAGGAAAAGCTCCAAAAAACAAGATATGGGAACAGCTGGTGGTAGGACAGAGGGAGTTAGAGGGCATGCACTCAGGAGGACTAACCAGGTGCATAGGGAGTAGGCGTAATGCACTCAGAGTCTCCCAAAAGAAGAGCCACGGTCAGATTCTTCACACACCCCAGCTAATCCATGAAAAGCAGCAGCAGTGCAAGGATGTTTTCATCTCATGCCTTCTGTGTATGGCTATCTGAGTGACTGGCAATATTAAAATAGCTTATTTCACATTGACAGCTTCCAGAATTTGTAAGCAAGCTCCATTTGCTAGAAACACGACTCTGGGTACCAACAGGTTTGTCTGGCTTAGGATAAGAATTCAGTACTTGCCTATAAATATTTATCTTTGAAGAGGTTTTTTAATGTTTAATGTTTCCATAAGCTTTTGCTTTGGAAAAAAAAGGTTTTACTGAGTGCTTATTATGTTCTTACGACATTGTACTTGGGAGGGAAAAATTTTGATGTCTGGATCCTACCTTAAGGGTTCTAGTTTAATTAATAGAAAGTGGGCCCAGTTGTGAGCATTTTTAGAGTCCCCAGGCAATTCATGGAGCCACTGCTCAAGCTTCAAAATTTATTGTTGCCTGTGTCCCACCCCTAGTGGTTATAATTTATTAGTCTAGGGTGTGACCTAGATGTTGGGATTCTCCCCAGTCTTGCAATAGACTTGGGTCTCTGCAGCTCTCAAACTTCAATATGTGTCAAAATCACCTGAAGAGCTTGTTAAATGACAGCTTCCTAAATACCACTCCCAGTGATTTTGATTCACTACGTCCAAGTGGGATCAAATTTACATTTTTTATAAACCAACAGGTTATGGTGATGCTGCTGGTACAGAGATCACAGGAAAATAGAATTTTCTCCCCAGGAACATTTGCCTGAATCTGAACACATTTTTGGGTGTCCCAACTCAGAGGATTGGTGGGTACTACTGGCATCTAGTGGGTAGAGGTTAGATGTGTTGCTAAACACCCTACAATGCACAGTACAGCCCCGCCACCCGCCACCTGGCAGCAATTATCTGGTCCAAAATGTTGATAGTGTTAAGGTTGAAAACGCTGTTTTAGTCTAGACTCTAGAAAGATGCTTAGGTCATTATAAACCAAGGAATTTGAATAAAATTCAAAGCAAAAATCCAGAACTCTTCAATTAGTATCACCTTTAAAACTAAGATACAGAACCAACTGCATGGCTTAGTTATACATATAGATTGGTAAAACATTGTGGTTTCTGTTGCTAAACAGAAGACTGACAGTCTTTTGTAGATATAGAAAACATTTGGCACAATTTTTGCACAGCATGAATCGTTATTATAGTATTTAGTTAGCTTCCAGGGGGTTGCAAATTCTCTGTGAGTTTGCCTTGAAACCCTTTGAATAAAAATCTAAACTTATTAAGAAAACCGTTAGAGCATAATTTTTGTTTAAAAGTAGTCAATGGGACAGGTGTGGTGGCTCACTCCTGTAATCCCAGCACTTTGGGAGGCCAAGGAGGGGGCGGATCATGAGGTCAGGAGTTCGAGACCAGACTGGCCAACATGTTGAAACCCCGTCTCTACTAAAAATACAAAAAATTAGCCGGGCATGGTGGCGCATGCCTGTAATCCCAACTACTTGGGAGGCTGAGGCAGGAGAATCACTGGAACCTGGGAGGTGGAGGTTGCAGTGAGCAGAGATCGTGCCATTGCACCCCGGCCTGAGCGAGAGAGCAAGTCCAATCTCAAAAAAAAAAAAAAAAAAAAAAAAAAAAGTCAAAATAGGATCTCATGAAAAAGCTAGTGTTCACAGTGTATTTTAAATGAAATCTGCATTACTTTTAAACATGTCTATTTCATAAAGTAAGATCCCTAAGTATTTACCCAACAGTTTTAAGTTCTATGCTTAAGAGATCTGCTAGTCAATAAGAATAGGGGAATGTTAAGAAAATAAAGACCTGTCTTCAGTAGGTTTAAAGCTAAGGTATGTGTGTATGTCTCTGTAATGTGAGACAGTAAGTATGAGTGCTTTGAGGATGTAAAATATGTCCTGGAAATGTAGATACTTTTGAGAGCATCACTGGTGGACAGCCTGCTTCATGGGAAAGGTGAAATCAGACTGAATCCAAAACAGTATGAAAAAAAATCTAGAAATGAGATGACAAGTTTGGAGGTAATAGGTTGAGATGGAAACCTAGATGTCCCCAACAGGGAGAGCATGATCCTGAGGTGAGCATCTGCTTTTCCCAGGGGCTTATGCACTGGGCCAGGAGCCAGTCTTAGGACATGTCCCCTGCAGTGGAAGGAGGCAAGTAGGAGAGCAACTCTGCAGAATTCAGGGAACACGGGGAGATTCTGACACTCTGTTGCCAACTTTGTCATCTCAACCAAGACTCAGAGATGGATGACTGAGGGGAGGCAACAAAAGTAAGTCTGGATCTGACATGTCTATTGAGGAAATCCAAGAAACTACAAAACACAAGTTCAGTGACAGGGCTAAAATTTCAGAACAAGTTGAAATTAGGAAGAATGTTGGTAGCCCTCTCCCACCATCCACCTAATGCTTATCCTCTCTGACAAGTGTGCCATTTAAGGTTGTGTTCCAGTAAGTGTCATAATTATACATCTATTTTAGTGATAGCAAACATCAGCAAAGGCTGATATTTCTCCATGGATTTTCTTGTTTTCCATCTCTCTATTGAGCTCTATTCCAAATTGTAGCTATCTTTTAGATACTGCATTGGTGAAGAAATATTAGTTCTTATAACCTCTGGTTCCATCGGAAATAAAATACAAAGATACAATTAGATGAAATCTGTTGGCGTGATTGTCTGTTTGTCTAGAGTGAGTGAGCAGGGAGAGTGTTACCCTACTGCACTTAGAAGCCTTGTGATTGTTAGCATTTAAATAGTAGTGGGACCTTTTCTCTTCATTATGATACAATTTTAAAAAATATCTATTGACTGCTTCAGGTGATCATATGAATACATTCCTCTAGTGTTCCAATAATGTGAGTCAGGTTAGAGGAAAATTCTTTGTTGTTATCAAATTATTGCTTAACAATAAAATTTGCAGTGAAAGGCTCCTGCGTGATATCTATTCTTGTTTTCTCTGAGGATAAAAAGCCAAATAAGTGCATTCTTTGAAATTTACTGGCAAGGTTCTGAAACTCATTTGAGTTACAAAATCTCAGAAGCATTTGGTTGTTTTAAAAATCAACAAAGGACTTAAGCTAGTCACCTGGAAATTAATAAATACCCCTCTGCGTTTCTCCATGACTCTCGATGAGAGTTGGTCTTTCTACCATTTCCATAAGGTAGACAAGCCCTTCTGCCTTGCTCTTTGGATTTAAGATAATACCACAAATAAGGTTTTCACTGTGCGGATGAAGGAAAAGGAAAGAGCATTTTACCCTCCTCTCCCTCCCTCCAAGTATTTGCTGAGCAAGATACTGCACTAGGCACTGCAGAGACGTAAAGGTGAATTAGATACTTCAAGAAGTTCACCACTGGGGAAAGTAGACATTCCTGTTTCAGGCTTTGACCAAATCCTGGTTGACTTCCTTCTCTAGAAGGAATTTGGGTCTTTGGAAACTAGTCAGTGAGGTTGTAGAAACTGACAGAGATGGGAGGATTTTTCTGCTGCCCTTCATTCTCACTTCAAAATAATGTTGAAACACTTTCAGGTTTCCTCATTGTTTTTAGCTCTTTGTGGGGTTTTCTTTCTTTCACATGTCTCAACAGCTCTGGGCTCAGAGACTGGGAATGAGAGTCAGAAAGAGGCACCATAACACTTCCCTCTGGTGGGGAGGCACGGCCCTGGGAACAGTCCACCATATTACCTCGGTTAACTGGGTTCACTAGGGAGGTCTCTGGCTGCACACTGAAAGACAACATAATTCTAAGACAGAGGTACCTCTCTCAGGAATTTTGTCAACACTACATGTCCGTTTCTTGCATCAATGCAAAGATTTTATTCTGGGAAAGATGCCAATTTTTTTTTGGCTTTCTGTGTAGATGATAGCCACAATTTCTAAACCTATTTGTTTCCCACAAGAGGCAAAAAGAGCCCATAATTATTTGACGAATGTCAGAAGGTGTGTTTAGCCCCTTATTCAAGCCATAAGGGGGTCTCCTGAACCAACGGCCTGCAAAGCTCCTTTATTCAAAGTGGATCATGCTCCAACCTCTGTTTGTGTGCCAGGTTGATCTGTAGCAAACTATCATGGTCCACAAATCAGTGGCTAAATGTTTAATGTCTAGGATAGGCACACAACCAAAGTCATGGGAAGCATACCTCAGAAAAAAGTTAAACTTGATCTTCAGTGGCATCTTTTTCAGCATATATATAATCCCAGTTGAGTTTCTCCTAAAACCTCCTGTGGATACCCACATAATGTGAACAAGGTTTTAAAAGAATCAGGATGTAAATACTGGGAACATGTAAATTCAAGACCACAGATTACAGCTTTTAGATATCCTCCATGTGAACCTAGAGATTCATAGTAAACAAAAAAGCATAAGATACAACGTTTTAAATATGTGGAACAATAAACAAAACCATTCTTAGGATAGCTATTTTTTTAAACTATACATACAGAGTTAAAATAGATTACTACTTAAATGCATATATTTAATATATTTTTTCATGCTACACTGATAAAATATCCCAGAAACTCAAAGTTTAAAGCCATTGAGATTTCTACTAGTAACTCAAATTGTTGCCAAGTCATTGTGAGTTAGCTGAAGTGTCAGAAAACATGTGCATTTTAGAAATATTTTGGGTTTTCACCAGGCGGAGCTTGCAGTGAGCTGAGATCACGCCACTGCATTCCAGCCTGGGCGACAGAGCGAGACTCCGTCTCAAAATAAATAAATAACTAAGTAAAAATAAAGAAATATTTTGGGCTTTGTTTGTGTTCTCTCGTTTAGGAAACAGCACTTTTAATGTAGCAAAAATGTTCACTAGTTTCTTTTTTTTTTTTTGAGACGGAGTCTCGCTCTGTCACCCAGACTGGAGTGCAGTGGCATGATCTTGGCTCACTGCAACCTCCATCCACCTCCCAGGTTCAAGCGATTCTCCTGCCTCAGCCTCCCAAGTAGCTGGGATTATAGGCACGTGCCACTGTGCCTGGCTAATTTTGTTGTGTTTTTACTAGAGACGGGGTTTCACCATGTTGGCCAGGCTGGTCTCGAACTCCTGACCTTGTGATCAGCCCAGCTCGGACTCCCAAAGTGCTGGAATTACAGGAGTGAGCCACCGTCCCCAGCCACTAGTTTCTTATAATATAATCATGGTTGGAAGGTTTTGGCCTGGACATAGTGAGTTAACAAAAACCTGTTCTATTATCCTTCAGACAACTGTGCCTTACCTCTTCTGGTCGTGCTGTATATGTCTTTGGGCCTGATTTTCCTGTGGGTATAAAGTAAACTTTCCTTCCTTTTCCTCATACATTCTATTTACAAATAAAAAATAAACTCCTTCATAATTAATTGGCAACAATGTCCAAGTAAGAGTTAAGCATATGAAGGATTTAGGGGTTATTTCTCCTACTTCGTGTTACCCAGGCAAAACATATTTGTGGGTTTTGATAACTATGATGAAACTACAGCAAGGCTATTGTAGTGTATGTGTTAGTTCAAGTATATATCCCATTTTGAATTTTTAAAATCAGGGAGCTATCTTCCTGGAATGGTCACAGTACAAATACTGTTGCCTTAAATTTTTTCATTTAACCTTCACCAAAAAGCATTATGTAGGGCTAGGATATTGGGAAAGTCAGGGTTTGTTATATACTTCATCAGTCATCCAAACTTCAGTGAGTTCCCTTAAGTGTTTGCCATTGGGTAGGAAATAGTGAAGATTTATTCTAAACCTGAAAAGTAAAAAAAAAAAAAAAATCATGATTATAAGGGAATATACATGATACATCATGAGGTAAGTCACTAGGAGCAGAAAGCTTATTAAATCTCCAGTTGAAAATGTATCTATGTTGGAAAAAAACAGACATTCTGATTTTCAGTTTTTCCCTCAGGCACAAGCTTAGTCACAGCTTCGTCTGTAAAGATACTGGTCATATTCATTGTATTTTGGAAAAGTACAGGTGTACATAAAGCCACTATATCTTTAAAATATATAAATAAGTAACTTTTCCTGACAAGTTTTAAAATGTAAGACATGTGATAGAACAGTTTTCCTCAATTATATGATTTTATTTTCCACAGCGGTACAGTTGTATAGTTTTCCCTGTTGTCATTTTACACATCAGTTCTGTTGACACTTGCCACCATTCTTTTTTTCTAGAGTTCCAGGAATTTGCCTTTGGAACTTTTTCCTAACTCAGTCTTCAGATACAACTTTATTACATTTTATTTTTAAATTATTATATATTATTATTAAAATACTACAAAAAATTATTACATATTACATTATTAAGGTAAAAAGAATTCAGCCAACAGAACATTCTTTAACTGTATCAATCCAATTAATTAAATTTAATAAATTCATTCTATACATTAAATTGCAAAAAAATGCTAAAACAAAAATTGCAAATTATTTTATTATTAGATTAGATTATTGAACTTAGTTGTACACTCCAACATACGTGGAAAAAAATAGACATTTAAAGGTAGTGAATGAAAAGATGGGAAATTATGCTTTAGGCAAATACCAACCAAAGCATTGTGGTATAGGCAAAATGCTATCAAACAAAATAGACTTTAAGACAAAGGTAGCATGAAAATAACGGGATCCCACATATATGAAATTTTTAATTCACCAAGAAGAGATAATCTGACATCATATATACCCAATGACATAGCTTAAAATACACAGAGCAAAATTTGACAAAATTAAAAGGATGAAATGAATGCACCAGCATGGTGAGAGATTATATCAGACATATTTCAGTAACTGACTTAAAGCGTAGGCAAGGAGAAATCACAAAGGATGAGGATTTGAACAGCACAATTTAAAACCTTATTCTAGTGTACATATATAGAATGCTGTACTCCCTGTTTGAGAGTACACATTCTTTTCAAGCATACATGGAATGTTTTTAAAGAATACATTATGAACTGTACTTAAAGAAATGTCACCTAATTTCAAAAACCTGTATCATACATGTCTTAATATTGGACTTCCCAAAAATTGAATTAGATAATAATTACCAGAAAGGTATCTTTAAAAATCTACATATTTCAAATCTACACTTGGAATTTAAACATATGCCTTAATTACCCATGGTTAAAAGAAGAAACTACAATGGAAATATAAAATAGTTAGAACCACAAATCTAAATGAAGGAATTATATATAAAAACTTGCAGGATCCAACTAAAGCGTCTTTGTATTAAGGGAATGTTTTACCACTTTAGAAAAGAAGTCTAAAAATGAAAAAGGTGCTGTAAGTACCTAGGCTGCAGAAATCATGCAGAAGCTACTGTGAACAACTATAAGGAAATAAATTTGAAACAGGTGGAATGGTCCAAGACCTAGAATGATACAAGTCACTAAAACTGACCTATGAGGAAATAGTAAATCCAAATAGCCTATAACTGTATCAGTCAGGGTCCATTCAAGGAAGCAGAAAATTTTAACATCAGGAATTGTTTAAAGAGGCTTTAGGACAACTGAAAGAGCAGAAGGAGACCTCTGAGGTGACCCAGGGATGCTAGTTGCAGGCAGCATCTGCTACTCCTGGAGCTGAATGTGAAAAGGAAGAGTGGGGGTTCTCCCAATTTAACAGCTTGGAGCAGGACTCTGCAGAGGTGGGACCCAGACCTCTGGTAAGAAGGTATTGTCCAGCTGGTGCTGGTATTTGGGAGTTCAGAGGAAGCAGTCCTGCTTCCAGCCAGCTGATGTTGGTATCTCTGAGGGGACACAGTGAGGCTAATTCTGAGACTATAGAAGAAACTGGAACCAAATGCTGCTGCCAAAGTGAAAAACATTGCAGAAATGCCACTTACAGAAACAGGAAGCAAAACTGGCAGGAGCAGTTTCCTTTCCTTCTCTCCAGTCTCCTCATCTCCATTTAGTGGCTACTGGAAGAAGCTAACAGGGAACTAGGTAGAAAGGAAAAATGTGATTTGAAGAGTGTCTGTCTCAGCATCACAAAGCAAATGAGAGAAGGGTGGTTTGGAGGCTAGGAGAAAACAGTGTGATAGCCTTGATTACTTGTATCAGAAAAGAAAAATAATCTAAAAATACATGAGCTAAATATCCAACTTTAAGAAGTTAGAAAGAGAAAAACAATAAATTTAAAGAAATTAGATGTGTAGAATTAAGAGACAAAACTAAAAATTAGTGAAATAGAAAATAGTCAATAGAATAATATAAAGCCAAAATACAGTTCTTCAAAAAGACTGAGAATATTGACAAATTGACAAGAAAATGTAAAAAGGACAAAACCATAAATTAAAAATTGGGGAAAAGATGAAGAACATAACTACAGACACTGCAGAAAACAAGCAGAGGGTATTATGAAGAACTGTATACCAACATTATAAGCATGTAATATGGTCAAATCACTAAAATAAACTCAAGAATAAGTTGAAAATCTAAATAGTCTATAGCCATTAAAAGAAACTAACCTGGAAGTCAGTTCTTTTCACACAAATCACCAGGCTCAGATGGAATTATAGGAAAGTTCTACTAAGTCAAGTAAAGGATCATTCAATTTTTCTATAAACTCCTTAAAGAAATATACAAAGGAGAAATAATTATTGTTTTATGAGTAAACTTAATACTAAAACCACAAGAGAAAAAGAAAGTGTATAGTCAAATCCAAACAAAACAAATTCATCAATATATAGTCAGCCCTTGATATCTGTGAGTTTCTCATCCATGGATTCAACCAATTGTGGATCAAAAATATTTGGAAAAAAAAAGTGTCTCTACTGAACACGTACAAACTTTTTTCCTTGTCATTATTCCCTAAACAATACAGTGTAACAACTATTTACGTAGCCTTTACATTGTATTAGATATTCTAGATAATCTAGAGATGACTTAAAGTATATGGGAGGATGTGCATAGATTATGTAAATATTACACCCTTTTATATCAGGAACTTGAGAATGTATAGATTTTGTTATCTGTGGGGTGTTCTGGAATCAATCCTCAAAGGATACCAAGGGACAACTGTATATAGAAAGAGAACACATATTAAGTAGCAAAATGCTAAAAGCATTCTTTAACGTAAGGAACAGCGCAAGCATACTTACTATCATCACTAGTATTCAACATTATACTGAAAGTCTTAAATAATTTAGCAAAGAGAAAATGGTATAAGAATAGAAAAAGAAGGGAAAAAGCTGTCATTCACAGAGAAAATTACCATCTATATGAACAATACAAAGGGTTATGCAAATTATAGGAATTACGGGAATTTGTCAAGATGGTACAATATATGATTAATGCACAAAAGCTAACTGCATTTCTTGATTCCAGCAACAAACAGAAAATTAAAAAAAACTTGTAAAAGGTACTACTATTTACAAAAACAACTAAAAATAGATGGTACTTAGGAATACACATATCAAAAGATATGTAAGCCCTCTATAAAGAGAATAATAAAAGCTGGGCACAGTGGCTCAAACCTATAATCCCAGTACTTTGGAAGGCTGAGGAGGGCGGATCACTTGAGTTCAGGAGTTTGAGACCAGCCTGGTGAACGTGGCAAAACCCCGTCTCTACTAAAAATACAAAACTTAGCTGGGTGTGGTGGCATGCACCTGTAATCCCAGCTACTTGGGAGGCTGAGGCAGGAGAATCACTTGAACCTGGGAGGTGGAGGTTGCTGTGAGCTGAGATCATGCCACCGCACTCCAGCCTGGGCAACAGAGCGAGACTCCATCTCAAAATAAATAAATAAATAAAGTAATAAAATTGGATCCAAAGACATTAAAGAATATCTAAATCGATAGACTTATATGTTATGTTAACATATTGGAAAGGTTAATATAAAGATGTGTTTCTTCAAATCTGCATATTCATTGGAATTACAGATTTAAACAAATAAAAATCCTAGATTCAAAAACCTGTTGGAAAAGCCAAGAGCTAAAGTAATCCTAAAGATGAAGAAACAAGAAGAATTTTATTACCCTAAAAAAGTAATAATAAAATTTTGTAATTGGTGCAGAGATAAATAGGGCAATGAAACGAAATGGAAAAACAAGAAAATTACCTATTTACATATTAAAAACTTGAATAATGGCACAACAGAACTCAGAATTAGTAGGAAAGAATGGATTATTCTATAAATGGTTCTAGTATAATTGTTCATCTATAAGGAAAAAAATGGAAAATTGACCTTTAGTTCATACCTTACACAAAAATCAATTTCTGATATATTGTTTCAAATGTGAAAGGCAAAACATTAAAAACTTTAGAAGAAAATATAAGTGAAAGGCTTCTGTCTCCTTAGGGATCTCATAAATAAATAATGTAAACTATAATAAAATATTAAGAAATTTAATCTTATTGTAATTAATAACTATTCACTAAAAGACCCCATAAAGAGTGTTAAACTACAAACTTGGGAAAATATTTTTGTGATTCCTGTAAAATAAAACATAAAAAACTAGTTTTGTAATATATAAAAATGTTGTGTATCAGTAGGCCAATACAAAGAATCAAATTTTTTTTTATTGAATACTCATGTCTCATGAGTAGCATGGAGAGCCAGTAAATAGCCAATGATTCTCCACATCATTAGTATGAGTGAACATATGAATTTCAATGATATACCAATTCACAGCCACCAGACTGGAAAAAAAAAAAATTAAAGCCTGACAAAACCAAGTAATGGGAAGGACATGCAGCAATAGAATTTCTCAAAGCAAATAAGAGTTTAAATTGGCACAGGCCAGGCATGGTGGCTCACACCTATAATCCCAGCACTTTGGGAGGCCAAGGCAGGCGGATCATGAGGTCAGGAGATCGAGACCATCCTGGCTAACACCGTGAAACCCCTTCTCTACTAAAAATACAAAAAATTAGCCAGGTGTGGTGGCAGGTAGGTGCGGTGTAGTCCCAGCTACTCAAGAGGCTGAGGCAGGAAAACGGTGTGAACCTGGGAGGTGGAGCTTGTAGTGAGCCGAGATCATGCCACTGCACTCCAACCTGGGCCAACAGAGCGAGACTCCATCTCAAAAATAAATAAATAATAAATTGGCACAAACATCTTGGGAAATAAATGTATATCTACCAATGAAGGTGAACATGCCTATAACCCTTGTCCAAGCAGTTCCACTTCAGGGAATATATCCTAGAGAGATCTTTGCACATGTGCATCAGGAAACATGTATGAGAATGTTCATACTAGCATTGTTTATGATAGGAACAAACACTAGAAAACAGCCCAATTGTCTATGAAAGTAGAATAGGTTTTAAAAATTGTAATATAATCATACAATTAAAGATGATACAGTAGTGAAGGTGAATGAACTACAGCTATATGCACCAGCATGATTGAATCTCAGGAAAAATAATTTTGAACTCAAAAAGCAAACTAAGAAAAAATACAGAAGTATAGTTTTGTTCATCTCAAGCTCAAAAATAGGAAAGTCTAAATATGTTGTTTAAGAGACACATGTATGTGATTAAAATATAAAGAAAAGGAATGGAGAGATTATCACAAAATTCAGGATAGTGGCTGCCTCTGGAAAGGAGAGAGAGAGAGATCATCATGAAGGAGCACACAGGAGTCTTCAAACATATTGGTAGTTCTATTTCTTAAGCTGGCTGGCAAGCACAAGATGTTCCTTTTATGTTATTTTATGCCTTTATTTACATTGTAGGGGAGGCAAAACTTTTCTTCTACCCTCTTCTGGTCTCCAGGTAGCCCTGAGAATTAAATTAACATAGATTAACAAGAAAAAAGCTTATAGATTTTTATTACATACCTGGGAGCCCAATAGAAAAATAAAGACCCAAAGATGTGGCAAAACCTAAGTGCTTATGTGCTGGGTAGAATGAAGAGAAGCAATTGTGGAAAAATAACTGTAATTGAGACACCAGAGGTTCAGTCTAGGCCCTGTTACCACACAGAAACCTAATCACTGAGACGATGAGTATTGCCAGAGAAAAAGTATTTATTCGGGTGTTGCACCCAAGGAGATACAAGATCAGTCTCCAATTCATCTCCTCGAGGGACTAAAATTAGGGATTTATATAGCAGGGAAGAAATGCAACCATGTGTGAGAAAATAGGAATTAGGGAGGGATAAGGAAGAGAAGTTGTTCAACAGGAAGCAGGTGGTCAGTTAGGCAATAATGATAGGCCTCATTGTCCAGATTGGGTTATCTGTTAAGTTTCAATTCCTTAATACTATCTCGAAAGCCTGATGGTTGATTTCCTGAGAGAGGAACTCAGATAAGATAAATGTAACTTTCTCAAGTTTTAAGACTGGAGGGTCCATTCCTATGTTAATTCAAAAGAAACCATAGACATCAGTTCTATGGGGCAATTGGGCCAGTTTCATAACTAAAATGTATGAGGAGACCAAAAGAAGATAGCTATTTCAAGTTGGGCACAGTGGCTCACACCTGTTATCCCAGCACTTTGGGAGGCTGAGGCAGGCAGATTGCTTGAGCCCAGGAGTTTGAGACCAGCCTGGGCAACATGGTGAAACCCTATCTCTACTAAAAATGGAAAAAATTAGCCAGGCATGGTGGTGTGTGCCTGTAGTCTCAGCTACTTAAGAGGCTGAGGTGAGACGATGGCATGAGCCTGTGAGGCAGAGGCTTTGGGCTCTGTCTTGAGGAAAAGAGTTATTTTAACAAGGTCTGTTTGTACAGAATTCTTTTGGCCTCACCGTGGTGATAAGAATGTTTCCTCTTGGAATAGAGAGGGCATCTCTAAGATGGGAGTTTTATTTCTTGCTTTCAGAAAGAGAAGGAAAGGTCAGAGCACCCCTCTTGCAGCTGCTGTCTTTCAAGTGCCTTTAGCTCTCAAAATAATACTTATGCCAAAGTAGCATATTTGGAGTTGGTAGATTCTGTCATCCTTCAACACAATAAAATGTTTTATAAAATTCAATTTGAAACAATTTACCTTTATGTTAGGTACTTGTTTGGCTTTTATAAAGAAACTAATAGATTAATATTTTTCCTATTGTCCAATAATTTGTACTGTTTCGTTGTGTTACAAAATTATATATATTTTTAATTACCCCCTAAAAGTCTAAATTGTATGTTTTTCATCAAATTATTTTTAAATTTTATTTCTGACAAACATGTCCATATGTATGAATTTTAAGATGATGCATATGAAAGTGTTTAAAGATACATATACTTATACAAATGCAAGGTAATATATACATGGAATATATTTTAAAGGGTAGGTAGAATCACTGTTTTTTGACTAAGTAGAATGTGGCTAAAGATCAAATTAGATGGTTATCCTCTGAAATCTTGGTTAAGCCTATTTCTTTTTTTGTTTATTTTTGTTTTTGTTTTGATACTACCAAAGCAAAATGATTGAGAGGCACAGAGATGGGAATAGAACATCCAGTATCTTTGCAGAATAAACTAGGGATTCCTGTTATATGATAAAAATGTAGGAAGAGAAGAGAAACAGTTTTCACCAAATAAACTAAGTAATTAAAGCACATCTTACCAAACTAAAAAGTCAAGTGTTCACCCAGCTTGATATCTTCCGCCTCCCCAGCAAAAATAAGATTTTTCGGCAGGTTACACTGGCCCATGCCTGTAATTCCAGCACTTTGGGAGGCTGAGGTGGGAGGATCACTTGAGTTCAGGAGTTGGAGACCAGTCTTGGCAACATAGTCTCCGCAAAAGTACAAAAATTAGCCAGATGTGGTGGCACATGCTACTAGTAGTCCCAGCTACTCGGGAAGCTGAGGCAGGAGGAATGCTTGAGCCCAGGAGGTTGAGGCTACAAGTAAGCCATGATGGCACTGTTACCAAAACATTAGGGGTTCGGTCTAAGTCCTGCTGCTTGCTGCACAGAAAGCCAATTACTGAGACAATGAGTATTGCCAAGGAAGAAAGCTTTAAATCAGGTGCTGCAGTGAAGGAGATGGAAGATAAGTCTCAAATCCATCTCCCTAACCAACTGAAATCAGTGGTTTATATAACAGGGAAGAAATGTAACTATTTGTGAAAAAATCAGGAACTTGGGAGGGGTAAGGAAGCAATCATGATGAGTAAGAGGCCTGGTATCTCATTGTCTGGATGCCATTACCCAGTGAGTTTTAGTTCTTTGATACTTTTTGAGAATCCTGAGGGTCCTTTCCTGAGGAAGGAACTCAGATAAAACATATGTAAGTTTCAAGCTTTAAGCCCAGAAGAGAGTCAATTTCTATGTTTATCCGAAAAAACACTGTCTATGGGACTGTTGGGTTGGTTTCAGCACCACTGCACTCCAGCCTGGCGAACAGAATGAGGCTGTCTACAAAAGCAAGCAAACAAACAAACAAACAAAAACTTATCAGGCTGGGTTTGTTAGCAGTGGCAGGAATCCACGTTACCAGTGGCATATCCATACAGGTTCACAGCAACTTCAGTCCCTGCCTTCTCAGAAGAAAGTATTCGACTGAGGGGCATAAAGCAGAAAGAGACTGAGGGCAAGTTTCAGAGCAGGAGTGGAACTTTATTTTAAAAGCCTTTAGAAAAGGAAAAAAAAGACAGTTCACTTGGAAGATATCCAAGTGGGTGCCACAGTCCAAGAGAGAAAAGAGAACATTTAAACTTGATCCCAGGCTGGGCACGGTGGCTCATGCCTATAATCCCGACACTTTGAGGTCAGGAGTTCGTGACCAGCCTGGCCAACATGGTGAAACCCCATTTCAACTAAAAATACAAAAAAAAAAAAAAAAATAGCTGGGCATGGTGGTGGGCGCCTGTAATCCCAGCTACTCAGGAGGCTGAGGCAGGAGAATCTCTTGAACCTGGGAGGCAGAGGTTGCAGTGAGCAGAGATTGGGCCACTGAACTCCAGCCTGTGTGACAGAGTGAAACTCCATCTCAAAACAAAACAAAAAACACCTGGGACTTTATAGGTTCAGCTCTTTGCCATGATTCTTCCTTTAGGTGGGCCTCCCACATACGCAGTGCCCTCCTTACACTTAGGAACTGAGCATGCATGGGGTGTTTAGGAAGTTGTACACATGCCTATCTGAGGTTTTCTTCCCTTTTCCGGTGGAAAGTACCCCCGGAACGTCATACTTTGCCATTTTGTCTCTTAACGTACCTGCCCAGGAAATTTCTTCTCCATAGGGTCTGCATTCAGCTAACATTTTGATGTTAATAGGTGTGAATCATCAGGAAATGGCCCTCCCTGGTGCCAACTGTCAATTATCTCTTTTAGGAAGGCAATGTGGTAATTGCTGAACCATCACCTGACATTCCTAGTGGGTGGGAGAGAGTCCTCTCCTGTCCCGCTCGTGCCTAAATAACTACCTGTAACAGGTTTGAGTTTAGACCTCTATCAGTGCAGCCCAATATTAAAACTGGTGTTTCCCAATCTTTATTTTGCTTTATACAGGTTTTTGTTTTTTATCCTAGAACAATGCCTTGCACGCAGTAGTTGCTCAATAAATATTTGTTAAATGAATAAATAACATGCTTAGGCCGGGTGCAGTGGCTGACTCTTGTAATCCTAGCACTTTGGGAGACCAAGGCAGGTGGATCACCTGAGGTCAGGAGTTTGAGACTAGCCTGGCCAACATGGCAAAACCCCATCTCTACTAAAAATACAAAAATTAGCCAGGTGTGGTGGCATGCACCTGTAGTCCCAGCTACTCGGGAGGCCGAGGCAAGAGAATCACTTGAACCCAGGAGGCGGTGGTTGCAGTGAGCCAAGATCGCACCATTGTACTACAACCTGGCTGAAAGACAGAGACTCCACCTCAAGAAAAGTAATAATAATAATAAATAAATAAATAAATAAACAACACGTTTAAAGTTTAAGAAGCAGAGAATAAAAACTAAAAGCAGTGGTTTAGAACAGAAAAAAATATTTCCAAGGGCATTTCATATATGCTTAGAATAACTCAGCAGTAGATGAAAAGTCAGAAATTAAGTACACTAGGGAGCAGAATAGAGCAACTGCAGGGTAAATGAGCTTTGGAGTCTGAGAGATGTGAGTACAAACCCATTTTTTCTGGTTCCTGGAATTGTAATCTCCACCAAATTACAAATTTTCTCTTTAAATTTTTCTAGCTATTCTAAGGATCTTTGGCCTTAATCTTCAGCAGTTTTTCTATGAGTTATGTAGGTTTTTATCCTGCTTGGGACTCATATTTTCTAAGCATGAAGATTTTTGTCTTTTATCTGTTCTGGACATTCTCAGCCATTATTTCTTTATATATTGGCTATTCTTTTCACCTACAGTTCATTTTCAACGCAAATTGAACCCTCTCTTTATATACTCCATGCACCTTACTTTCTCTTTTATATTTTCCCTATCTTTATCTTTCCTCAATTCCATCTTTCATTTCAATCATTTTCTGTTCAGTCGTGTATAACATGCTGTTTGACATTCCCATTGAGACTTTTTATTGCAATGATCATTTATTTTAAGTAAGTTCTGTTTGTTGTTTTAAATCTTAGTTTTTTTCATAGTGTCTTTGTTACTTTTCTTATGTTTTTATTCATTTCATGATAAGTCAAGTTTTATCCTAGGGAATCTTTTCTGGACTGGGTTGAAGAGGTTTCTCTCAAAGGTGATTTTGTGTTTGCTTCTGACAGATGAATCAAGTATTTTCTTAGCCCCAAGCCCCTTTTACACAACTGTTTTTTTGAATTTTTTGATTTTCATTTGAGATTCAGGGTACACATGTGCAGGTTTGTTACAAGGGTGTATTGCATGGTGCTCAGGTTTGGGCTTCTATTGATCCTGTCACCCAGATAGTGAACATAGTACCCAACAGATAGTTTTTCAGTCCTTGCCCCTCTCCCTCCCTCCTTTTGCAGTCCCCAGTGTCTACTGTTCTTGTCTTTACGTCTGTGTGAACCCAAGATTTAGCTCCCATTTATAAGTAAGAACATGCAATATTTGGTTTTCTGTTTCTGTTAGTTTACTTAGGATAACAGCCTCCAGCTGCATCCACACTGTAGCCAAGGACATGATCTCATTCTTTTTTCATGGCTGTATAGCATTCCATGGTGTATATGTACCACATTTTCTTTATCCAATCCACCATTGCTGGGCACCTAGGTTGATTCCATGTCTGCTATCGTGAATAGTGCTGCAATGAACATAGGAGTGCATGTGTCTTTTTGGTAGAATCATTCATATTCCTTTGGTTATACACCTAGTAATGGGATTTCTGGGTTGAACGGTAGTTCTATTTCTAGTTCTTTGAGAAATCTCCAAACTGCTTACCACAGGGGCTGAGCTAATTTGCATTCCCACCAATAGTGTATAAGCAGTCCTTTTTCTCTGTATCCTCACCAGCATCTGTTATTTTTTGACTTTTAAATAAATAATAGCCATTCTGACTGGCCTTTTATGCAACTTTTGTAGCTGTAATTTCCTTTTCTATGTGGGAAGCATACGTATGAATCTCAAACTCTAGGAAAAACTACCCCTGGGGTAAAGAACTCTCAGGAAACCCATTTTGCTCCCTACCCATGGAGCTGAGGCCAAGAAGGACAAATTTCTTTGTTGCCTATCAGTGCTGAAGGGCAGATTTTTACTCTAGACTTCCCCTTTACTGAGGGTATAGTTATCCAAAGGCCCCTATTTTTTATGAAGGTTTCCATTCTACTTCTTGTCCAGGCCCTTTGAGCCCAGGGCCTTATTTCTTGATCTGTTAAGGACATTCAATTTTAACGTTCTTCAAGGATTTCTGGCAAATTTCATTTCCCAATTTGTGCTTGCCTCCCAGGAATTTCCCTTTCTTTCTTGCAAACTCAGCTATGCAGTTCGAGGTGTTTTATAGCAGAAAAGTTCTCAAGCTATATATTCTATCTTGCTGCAGAAAGTGAAAATCTCCCACTAACCTAATATAAGGTCTCACCATATGACTTGCTAATATTTGACTACTTTTGGCCTATAAAATTTCATATATTTCATGTTTTATAATTGCATATAATTCTTAAATAATTTGTATCTTTCTTAAATATTTAACTCGGATATTTTCTAATCCCCAAATCTGATGTGAGGAATAAATGAAATAATATATATAAAGTCCTTGGCATTTTGGACATAAACAATGGTAGTTTAGCATTATTAACATGTGTATGTCAGTAACTGCATGGAGTATAATGGGAAGAATAAATACCACAAATACACAAACTGGTGAGAGGATTTGCCTCCAGAGGGGGGTACTGAATTGCTGGGAATGGAGAAGAGACTTCATTTTATCTGTAAGCCCTTAATTTTGAACCATGTGTGTTTCCCATGCAAAAATTATTTTAAAAATTAAAAATGAAAAAGTATAAACCCATACTCTGCCTCATAGGTATGTGTGCTTTTGACTTTTTAATAATAAATGTGTTTATATGCTATGTTTACCATTTAGAAATTAAAGCTCAAAAAATCATTTGGACATATGTCCATATGGGTATAAAAAATCATTAATACTTTATTTTTTTCTATTTGCATGATGAAACCAAGGCTATGTTAGCTAAAAGATAATCAGTGGGCAACTCAAGTCTAATTTGGTGTGAAATGCAAAAATAAAAAAAAATTTAAAACAAAGCAACTACAAAAGCTGAACTTTAAAGTCAGCAGAGATATTTTATAGTTATAAATCACACTCTGTGCTTTGAATATTTTAGAGAAGATATTCAGCCTCAGAGTAGAGAAAATTGTTGTAAAAATGTGGTAGAAAAATGAAACATTATTTTGTTGTTGTGGTTTCTCATAAAACAAAGCAGCGACTGCTTTTTAAAACACGCTCACACCATGATTCCTCTGTGGTGTGGTACTGAAGACATTTACAATGATGATACTAATGAGTTTTTAAAACTGCATCCTAGCTGGGACGTTTTCCTAAGAAATATAAGGCCATTAAAAGGAATTATCACAGCAACCTTCCGGGGGTCCCCCAATATGCCTGGGAGGTGCCCACGGTGTATCTGTGGACTATTGGAATTTACTTTAAATTGATGGTCCCTGAGTTATTTGAGGTAATATGGTATTCTGTTGCCTTTTTATTTCTTCCTCCATTTGGTCTGCATCAAGGTTTCTCAGCCTCCACACTATTGATATTGTGGGTCTGATAATTCTTTGTTGTGGGGCACTGCCCTGTGCATTGTAAGAGGGTTGGCAGCATCTCTTGCCTCTATCCACTAGACACCAGTAGCACCCCTTCCTCAGCTGTGACAACATGGTCTCCATATTGTCAAATGGCCTTTGTGGAACAAAATTATTCTTTATTGAGAATCACTGTTCTACATCTTGCTAAATTCTTTAATCTGAGCCTGGATTAGTGAGGAAATTGTCAAAATTGGGAAGAGATACCTTTGGGGTCCTTTGTGGCTTACTGAGGAAGAAGAAATTCCTCTTTTTTGGAATAAACTCCATAGCGCATCCTGGTTCTCTCACTAGATAAACTGAAGGGAACCAGTTGCTATGTCCCAGTGGTACCCAAAAGAAATGCCACTGTCCTCCCACTGAGACATATGAAATGTCGCCTTGGAAGGTGTTCCTTCTGTTATTCATATAGACAAAGTTCATTTGCAAGTAAGCATGGGCGTTCTTTTGGGTACAAGTCCATAAATAAACTGGAGGGCACAGAAAAGGACTGGCAGGAAGTCCTTATGCCATATACCACACCTCCTTGGCTCATTAAGAATCACATTGGCCTGGCGCGATGGCATGGCTCATGCCTGTAATCCCAGCACTTTGGGAGGCCGAGGTGGGCGGTCAGGAGTTCAAGACCAGCCTGACCAACATGGTGAAACCCTGTCTCTACTAAAAATACAAAAAATTTGCCAGGCATAGTGGCATGCATCTGTAATCCCAGCTACTCAGGAGGCTGAAGGAGGAGAATCGCTTGAACCTGGGAGGTGGAGATTGCAGTGAGCCGAGATCACCCACTGCACCCTATCCTGAGAGACAGAGCGAGACTCCATCTCAAAAAAAAAAAAAAAAAGAAAAAGAAGAATCACATTAACTATACCTCCTCACGTAAATATACGTTTCTGCACATAACACAGCTTAGCTTTGCTTTTTGGCTGGTATATATTGGACAAGTTAGAAGTTCTGGGTTGAGCATTTCTTTTGTGTTTTGTTTTGAGATGGGATCTTACTCTGTCGCCCAGGGTGGAGTGCAGTGGAGCAATCTTGGATCACTGCAACCTCCCTCTCCTGGGTTCAAGCAATTCTCAGCCTCCCAAGTAGCTGGGAATACAAGTGCGCACCACCACACCTGGCAGATTTTTTTTTTTTTTCATTTTTAGTAGAGATGGAGTTTCACCATGTTGGCCTGGCTGGTCTTGAACTCCTAACCTCAGGTGATGCACCCGCCTGGGCCTCCCAAAGTGCTGGGATTACAGGGGTGAGCCACTGCACCCGGCCCTAGGTTGAGGATTTCTATTTAAAACATTGCCATCAACTCATACCATGTTCATTTCCAACTTACTTAAAACTTTGCACTTAAGAATATTAATATGTAGGCCGGGCGTGGTGGCTCACGCCTGTAATCCCAGCACTTTGGGAGGCCGAGGTGGGCAGATCACGAGGTCAGGAGATCGAGACCATCTTGGCTAACACGGTGAAACCCCATCTCTACTAAAAATACAAAAAATTAGCCTGGTGCGGTGGCAGGTGCCTGTAATCCCAGCTACTCAGGAGGCTGAGGCAGGAGAATGGTGTGAACCCGGAAGGCGGAGCTTGCAGTGAGCCCGAGGTAGCACCACTGCAGTCCGGACTGGCCGAAAGAGCAAGACTCCATCTCAAAAAAAAAAAAAAAAAAAAAAAAAAATGTAAAAGTATAACTTCACTTGGAAAGATGGAGCAAATTTAGGAAAATTTCTCTTTTCACAAGGCAGATTAGATGTCCATGTTAATCTATTAGTTTTTCTTCCTTTCCCTAACTTTTTAAAATAATAATAAACAGTTTTATGCAAAATTTAGTTCCTTTTATGGTTCCTCTCTCTTGGCATAGGAAATAAAGTATGTTTTACAAAGTCAGTTGTCAAAAATCAGCATTAAGAAGTAAATAATCTTGGCCAACGGCGTGAATGTTTTTACTGTTTTAATTCCACCAAGTATGCTTGAATAGGCATTTATTCAATTAAAATACTTTGAAGTTACTCAAGATTATTTTGAAAGCACATATAACTTTAGATGAAAATAAATAATTTTTTAAAAGCTAATCTAGGCCAGGCGCAGTGGCTCACACCTGTAATCCCTCCCTTGGGAGGCCGAGGCGGGCAGATCACAAGGTCAGGAGATCAAGACCATTCTGGCTAACACGGTGAAACCCCATCTCTACTAAAAATACAAAAAATTAGCCAGGTGTGGTGGCGGGCACCTGTAGTCCCAGCTACTTAGGAGGCTGAGGCAGGAGAATGGCGTGAACCCAGGAGACGGAGCTTGCAGTGAGCCGAGATTGTGCCACTGCACTCCAGCCTGGGCGACAGAGTGAGACTCTGTCTCAAAAAAAAAAAAAAAAAAAAAGCTAATCTATATTAGGATGTATTTATATGAAAGCTCTTTAATTTTATTTTAAAATTTTCATAACATCTTATAGTTTCATATCTTAAAATCCATCACTACATTAATATGCAAAATGACTAAACACTTAGTCATTTGAGGATAAGATAGTTTACTTTATCTAGTTAAACTCAAATTATTTCTACCCCCTTTCATCTATAAATGTATCTATCAATTTGCTTCTGCCTCCCATGTTCAATATAATTCTATAATACAGCCTTAGCATACTGTGTAATTTTTAACTTGTGGGAAAAAAATCATTTGCCTTCTCCTTTATTTGTAAAATATTAGCTTCAAAATTCCTTTTCATAGTTAGCAATTGTGGTATCAAACTGAATACACATGACCTGAACATACTTGAAAGTTGGAAATATCTGGGGTTTCTGAAAAGAATACATGTTTGTCCTTGTTTCATTTCGCTGCTTCCTTCTCTCCAGCTATAAAAAAAAAGGTGCTCACTTATTTCTGCTTATAATCTGTAACTAAGAGGCAACAAGAAAAGGATGTGTTCTAAGGATCACAAACTTATTCTAAGAGTTAAAGACCCCTTATTTAGCATCTGCGAGGCAAAAGGAGAATGCAATTAAACCCTTTTACAGGAAATAAGCATAACCTATAAAATGACTTTCTATACTTGTGTCTTTTTCATCACTACAAAGAGTAGGCACTGGTGATTAGATAACACTTTCTAGGATGTGAGATGACAGCAAAAAAGGGACAGCCCTACTTACCTTTCGGTCTAGAAGAGGGCTGGAAAGATTGCCTTTCTACTGATAACAGACAAGTTACATGTGACAGTGATGTGGATACACCTGCAGTGACCCCTGCCTATGTCCCAGCAGAGAGGCCACGAGCCCCTGCTGTCAACTTCCTGGGAAGGAGACCTCTGGAAAGTTGGTGTTTCCACCATTCAAGTTCCCTCGCACACTCCATGACTGAACAGCGGTGTAACCTTCAGCAAGTTCCAAGTTTCTTAAGCTCTCTGAGTCCCAGTTTTACTTCCTAGTATGTTGTAAGAATCAAATGACAGACTGCTGGTGACACATAGTAATTGGATCACAGTAAATCTTTGAGAGATATGGGGAGAGAGATAGAAGGTCCTATCTATTGGTGACTCCTCCTTGTTCTGGATCCCCTGCCCATCATTCCTGCCAGCTCACCCTGTAGTTTTTTTTTTTTTTTTTTAAAAGGTGGAAATATGAACAGAGGCTTAATAAGAACAAAATAAAAATTTATTTGCAAAAAATAGAGTCTTAATTTGGGGTTAATTGCTCTGTTTACTGAATGAAGCTCATGAGGCACTGTGCTTTGGACTGCTCTCCTTTCCTCCCCTCTATTATTTTGGTCATAAGTTGTTTAGCAAAACCAACATGTTAGGTCCTTTAGGAAACTGAACGCTGATATGTTTCCATAAATAATTTGGTCAACTTTTAGTCTGGAGGCTGGATCTGGAATGTAAACAATTACATGGCAGTAGCTCCCTAATACTGAAACAGTCCCTGACAGTCTCTGTCTTTCTGCACCATCCTTCTACTTGCCCTGGTGAGGAATTAGCTTGCCACTGGAAGCAGCCTCCATTCAATCACTACAGCCCCAGGGGAATGACAAGAGCAGCCAGGCCCTCTATTAGATGTGAGCATCCCAGACCACACTTTGACACTTCTACCTATTTCCTTTGACCTTTGATGAAACTGTCAGTTTCCTCATTTATTATCCTGTCTCAGATTAGCTTTTTTTTCCCCCTCCCTGGTTTCTAGTTTGCAGCTGTCTCTTCCCCATCAAGTTAACTTTACATCAACTATGTGGAAATTTTTCATGTTTAGATTTTATATTTCACGCTTTCTCCAGCTAAGGAAATTTATGATTTGTTTCCTAAAGACATTTCCGCCTTTTGCCTCCAGAGGGAATCACATTCATAGCAATTTTTCCATCCTTCTGTCACATCCGTAGATTATGGATATTAGATTATTATAGTAGAGAATCTTCAACAATCTGGAAATTTTCACTTTCTAAGAGTAGGCAAAGTGAGTGTATAACAAATTCAGAGGTCAAAATAAAATTTTTGAACTTAATCAGTTGTTTAAAAAATTATATGCCAGCTATAATATTGGGAGTCTCAGTTCCAAGATTTTCCCTTTAAGATTTGCTTTTGCTATAAGTCAGTTTCATGAATATGTAATGAATTTCAGTTTACCATTAGTCCCACTGTTAAATAAACAGCATTATTTTAGAAGGAAATTCTCTTATGATTCCCAGAGAAGTCTATTAAACTAAGACTCTTAATGTTCAAGTAGGTTTTATTTCTGTTTGTGTCGGTGCCTTTATCACAGGGAGTTGGGAGAGTAGGGCAGAAGACAAACCTCCATCCTATATTTTCTGTAACATGTAAATCATTTAAGTGGAAGAAAAAAAGTAGAAAAACTGCTGGTTTTTGATGCTATCCAACTTGTAAAGAACAAAATTCAGGGAGCAGACAAAGTTTTGATTTTGAAGATAAAATTAAAACATCTTTCTTTTAAGAGAGGAAAATTACAATTTGAAGACATAAATGACTTGATGGAATAAAACATACTCATGGTAAAATATCTAGAGTTGGTCAGAATAGTGCCATTTTCTAATGGGTACACAGGAATCCTGTAGCCAAATCTACACTAAATATAATTATATACAAATGGTAAATATAAATAAGTAATTCTCAGATCTTGGCCACACCAGAAAACTTTTAAAAATTCCCTGCCAACTCAAGTGAAAAGGGGCATGTGTTAGCCGCAGGCTCCAGGGCTAATTTTTTAAAGAAAAACAATATAACTTGTAACCCAGGCCTTTGCAAAAGCAGACACCATTTTTGTGTCAGCAAAACATCTTAGCTAACCCCCTGAATGCCCGTGCAATCATCTTTTTCTCAGCTAAAGGATGGAGACTGGCACTAGAGAAAGAAGTGTCACCAGCATCTTGGTTTCTCTCATCCTGACAGACCATGGACTCCACCATTCAAAACTGGTCAGAAATGAGGTCATTAATCACACAATAGCTTTGCTTCAAAGATCTGAAAACAATTCACCAAAGTTTTTGAGTAGAGATAATTTTAACATCTGTGTAGCTTAAAAATAGTGTAAGTGGTAATTGTACTTTTCAACTGCCAAGTAGGGAAACTTTTACCTTACCTAGGGAAACTCTGGTCTAGGTAAAATGATCAAGAGGGTTGATTTTCTCCAAAAGAAACAAAACTTTTAAGTTTAGCGGAGTAAATCCAGAGATATATTTCTCATCTCCCTATGTCCCTGCAGTCCCTGTTAAGATGCCCAAAATGTATTATTTTGCCAAAAACTGAATCCAGTCGTTTGGAAGATGAAGATTTACAAGGTTTCATTAAGCACCTGGGACAGGCACATATTAAAAACCAATAGGGAATTCTTTTCCTTCTGCTGTTTCCAGCATGAGTCCTTCCCTCTTCCTCCCATGTATCCCATGATTTTAAAGTGAGTACCCTGCGCCTACTTTATAGTTAGAAATATTGAGGTAAGTAGAGAAATAGACTATTACATGTTTAACATGGGTTAGACTATTACATGTTTAACGTGGGTTATTTTCCTTTTTACAAAATAGGCGCTATCTTGGAATAAATAAAAAGCTTCTGTCTAGGAAAGGAAAATGGCCAAATGATTAATCCAATAGGAGATAAAACCCAGACCATCACTTTCTACAGCACAAGGATATGGCTTTGGGTGAACCATGACATAGCTTGCTTAGGCATCTGCCCAATGGGCGTGATAGTTTTGTTGCAGATATTTGGCTTTAGAGAAATAATTTTTTTCTATTGCAGCAATGCTTAATTATATGTGCCTTGAGGCTACTACTGGTTGTCTCTGTAAGTTCATTGTAAATTATATTGACATTTTAACAAGGTGTGGTATTATATAGTGGAGAGCCACAAAGCCCAGAGATGTCAGAGCTAACCTGTCAAAGTTGGATTTCAAGTACTTGCTGCAGGCTCTCTCAGCATAGCCAGAATCACATTCTCTTTAGAAGAACAACTGAATCTGAAACTGCAGGATGGCTTAGTACATTGCCAACTTTATTTACTTTTAAAGATATTTGCACTCATCCTCACCAGTAGGTAATTTCTTAGGTAAGTGGATGAATAATTTTTAACCTTTCTTCAAAATATAGTTATCCTCAAAATATATAAACTTTATGAAAGAATAATGAGAAAAGCAGAAACATGAAATTTCATCTAGTTTCTGAAAAACAAATAGTGTTTATACCACAGTGTTATGCCAGAGAGATGTTTATTTTTTTCCTAAAACATAAGGTAGACGATAAAATTATTCACAAAATAAACTTAGCCATCATTTATCAATCTTATGAGACATTTAAAATATTTAGCTCATTTGTAGAATACATCCATTGGGAAGAAAAATTATACATTCAATTGTAACATTCAATATCATTTTTTCCGCTATTGCCAAAAATGAAAACAATGTTTCCCTTTTATTGGAGAAATCACATTATAATCTTACTTTGTCAAAGGCCAAACTTGAGAATTATGTGTCTGAGAGAAGAAATTTCCTTCAATTTGCTTAAAATGTAATTCAGTGTATGGGAATGAGCTGCCTGGATAATGATAAAGCTTCCACTGGTTTCTGAAATATGATTTCTTAAAAATGAGTGCACATCTAAAGAGGACCCACATGCTGAGTGTGCCATCCAAGACTGACACCAAAGAAAAATAAGTAACTATAAAGGGGAGGGGAAGCTGAATCCGTGAAAGAAATCCAAGAAGAAATGATCAGAAACTTTATAGCAGGATGCTATGAAGTTTCCATTTTCTTTTTTCCTTGGGGCTGTAGGAGCTTTGTTGTCTGAACCTAAGCACAGTTTGGTTGGCTAGAGTCTTTTCTTGATGAAGAGAAGGCCATGGAAGAGGAGACCTTCTTACTTAGCATAGATGACCTGGTCATCTGCTGTTGGTGATGCTAGAGCTCTTGCTACCCATTCACACACTAACTCAGCTGATGATGAAACTTCAGTTCCCATGGTCTCCGGCTATATTAGGATATATCATAGATGTGTGTGTGTGTGTGTGTGTGTGTGTGTGTGTGTGTGTGTGTGTGAAAGAAAGAAACAGATAAATTTTAGAGAAAAAATAGTAAAATGTCTGAGAGGTAAGTCTTTAGAATTTAAACATTCTACCTTCATTTATCAACCACTTCAGATATGACATAAACATTCCCCACTCATAAGCATTATCCTCCCCTCTTCTGTGCTCCAGTAGGATTTTTTTAATACCTTAAGAGTAGCATGTATGACACGTCATGTTATTGCTCATTCACTTGTCTGCTTTTCCTAGCAACCCCTAGGTTTCTTAAAGGACCATTTCTATATAGTTCCTAGTTGTCTCTCCAGCACCTAGAAAAGGGTCTGCACGGGGAGGCCGAGGCGGGTGGATCATGAGGTCAGGAGATCGAGACCATCCCAGCTAACAAGGTGAAACCCCGTCTCTACTAAAAATACAGAAAATTAGCTGGGCGCGGTGGTGGGCGCCTGTAGTCCCAGCTACTCGGGAGGCTGAGGCAGGAGAATGGCGTGAACCCGGGAAGCGGAGCTTGCAGTGAGCCGAGATTGCGCCACTGAGGTCCGCAGTCCGGCCTGGGTGACAGAGCGAGACTCCGTCTCAAAAAAAAAAAAAAAAAAAAAGAAAAGAAAAGGGTCTGCACGTAGTAGTTGCTTAATACATACTGGATGAATGAATGATCAGGTATGAAAATGAATTTGACTATACCCAGAAAGTAGACTCACCACCCATTCCCCCTTGTAGTCTCAGTACCTTGCCCAACTCCTGTACTAGCTGAGTCTTGGTACATATGAGTAGGCAGGAAAGACGCAAGACTCTAATGGAATTAGACCTGAGTTGGAACCCCAGCTTCACCACACAGAAGCTATGTGAGCTAGACCATATAACTTTACATCTCTGAACTTCAGTTTTCTCACCAGTAAATAAGGGCATTGGCACAGTGCCAGGCAGAATCAGGCCTCATTAAATACCAGCAAATCTTATATGAAAGGCTAGAAGGCAATATTCTCACTCTCCTTTTGACTTAAATGTTTACTTAATTTTTGAGGCCAAATTCCATGAGAGAAAGGCTGATGGGATAATAATAAGTCTTCGGGCCAAGTGTGGTGGGTCACGCCTGTAATCCCAGCACTTTGGGAGGCCGAGGCAGGTGAATCACGAGGGCAAGAGATTGAGACCATCCTGGCCAACATGGTGAAACCCTGTCTCTACTAAAATAGAAAAAATTAGCCGGGTGTGGTGGCAGGTGCCTGTAGTCCCAGCTACTCGGGAGGCTGAGGCAGGGGAATCATTTGAACCCGGGAGATGGAGGTTGCAGTGAGCCGAGATGGCGCCACTGCACTCCAGTCTGGCGACAGAGCAAGACTCCATCTAAAAAAAAAAAAAAAAAAAAAACCAGCAACTTCATATGCATTCAAGTTTGATCATGAGATTGCAGTAGTTCAGTCAGATCTTTAGGCTCCACTTCTAATTCTAGTTCTTTTGTCATTTTCACCATATCTGCAATTTCTTTCTTGGCTAAAGTCTTGAACCTCTCAAAGTCATTCATGAAGGTTGGAATCAACTTATTCTAAACTCCTGTTAATATTAATATTTGACCTCCTTCCATGAATCACAAATATTCTAATGTCATCTAGACTAGCGAATCCTTTACAGATTTTCAATTTACTTTGCCCAGATCCACAAGAGGAATTGCTATCTATTACAGCTATAGCCTTATGAAATTTGTTTCTTAAATAAGACTTGTAAATTGAAATTACTTCTTGATCCATGGATTGCAGAATGGATGTTATATTAGCTGGCATAAAACAACATTAATCTCCTTGTACATCTCCATCAGAGTTCCTGGGTGAACATGTTCTTGGGTGAGCAGTGAATGGAAATCGTTTTTTTCTGAGCATTAGGTCTCAACAGTGGGCTTAAAATATTCAGTTAACCGTTCTGTAAACAGATGTGCTGTCATCCAGGATTTGTTATTCCATTTATAGAACACAAGCAGAGTAGATTTATCATAATTCTCAAGGGCCCTAGGATTTGCAGAATGATCAATGAGCATGGCTTCAACTTAAAGTCCCTAACTGCAATAGCCCCTAACGAGAGAGTGGGTCTGTCGTTTGAAGCTTTGAAACTAGGCATTGACTTCTCTCTAGCTATGAAAGTACTAGATGGCATCTTCTCCCAGCAGAAAGCTGTTTCATCTACATTAAAAATCTCTTGTTAATGTAGCTACAACTTTTATTTAAGTTCAGACGTACAAGTACAGGTTTGATACATAGGTAAACTTGTGTCAAGGAGATTTGTTGTACAGATTATTTCATCAGCCAGGTATAAGGCTATTACCATTAGTTATTTTTCCTGATTCTCTTCCTCCTCCCACCCTCCACCCTCTGATAGGCCCTAGTGTGTTTTGTTCCCCTCTATGTGTCCATGTGTTCTCATAATTCAGCTCCCACTTATAAGTGAGATGAGGTATTTGCTTTTCTGTCCCTGTGTTAGTTTGCTAAGGATAACGGCCTCCCAGCTCCATCTGTGTCCCTGCAAAGGACGTGGTCTTGTTCTTTTTGTGGCTTCAGTGTATTCCGTAGTGCATATGTAATGTAGCCACTTTCATTAATAATCTAAGCTAGAGCTTCTGGATAACTTGCTGCAGCTCCTACATCAGCATTTGATGCTTCACTTTGCATTGTATATTATGGAAATGGCTTCATTTCTTTAACCTTATGAACCAACTTCTGCTAGCTATAAAATTTTCTTCTGTAGATTCTTCACTTCTCTCAGACTTTATAGAATTGAAGAGAGTTAGTGCCTTGCTTTGGATTAGGCTTTTGTTTAAAGGAATGTTGTGATTGGTTTGATCTTCCACCTAGACCACTGAAACTTTCTCCATAGCAACAATAAGGCTGTTTTTTCTTTCTTATCATTTGTGTGTACACTAGAATAGCATTTTTAATTTTCTTCAAGAACTTTTCCTTTGCATTCACAACTTGGCTATTTGGCACAAGAGGCCTAGCTTTGGCTGGGCGTGGTGGCTCACGCCTGTAATCCCAGCACTTTGGGAGGCCGAGGCGGGCGGGTCATGAGGTCAGGAGATCGAGACCATCCTGGCTAACAAGATGAAACCCCATCTCTACTAAAAATACAAAAAATTAGCCGGGTGTGGTGGCGGGCGCCTGTAGTCCCAGCTACTTGGGAGGCTGAGGCAGGAGAATGGTGTGAACCTGGGAGGTGGAGCTTGCAGCGAGCCAAGATGGCAGCGATCTGAGATGGCACCACTGCACTCCAGCTAGCCGACAGAGTGAGACTCCGTCTCAAAAAAAAAAAAAAAAAAAAAGAGGCCTAGCTTTCAGTCAGCCTTGGCTTTTGACATATCTTTCTCGCTAAATTTAATAATTTCTAGTTTTTGACTTAAAGTGAGAGAAGTGCAACTCTTCCTTTCAGTTGAACATGTGGAGGCCATTGTAAGGTTGTTAACTGCCCTAATTTCAATATTGTTGTCTCAGGAAATAGGGAGGCCCACGGAGAGAGAGAGCTGGAGGAATGACCAGTTGGTGTAACAGTCAGAACACACATAATATTTATCAGTTAAGTTCATTGTCTAATATGGTTGCAGTTCACCATGCCCTAATACAATTATAATAGTAACATCAAAGATTGCTGATCACAGATCACCATAACAATAAAAAAAAGTTTGAAATATTATGAAGATTAACAAAATGTGACACAGAGATGTGAAGTGAGTACACACTATTAGAAAAATGCTGCTAATAGGCCAGGCACAGTGGCTGACACCTGTAATCCCAACACTTTGGGAGGCCAAGACAGGTGAATCACTTGAGGCCAGGAGTTCGACGCCAGCCTGGCCAACATGGCAAAACCCTGTCTCTACTAAAAATACAAAATTTAGCCAGGCATGGTGGCATGCACCTGTAATCCCAGCTACTCAGCAGGTTGAGGCATGAGAATCACTTGAACCTAAGATCATACCACCACACTCTAGCCTGGATGACAGAGTGAGACTCTGTCTCAAAAAAAAGAGAGAGAGAAATGATGCCAATAGGCTTGCTCTATCCAGGGTTGCCACAACCTTCAGTTTGTAAAATACATAGTATCTGCAAAGCACAATAAAGTGAATAAAACAGGGGCTGGATGCAGCGGCTCACACCTGTAATCAGAACACTTTGGGAGGCCAAGGCAGGAGGATCGCTTGGGCCCAGGAGTTTGAGACCAGCCTGGGCAACATAGTGACACTCTGTTTCTACAAAATAGACAAAAAAGAAAAGAAAGTGAATAAAACAATAAATAAAACAAAGTATGCTGTATTTCACATTTGCTTGTCTCTTTAAAAGGGCCTCTTTTCAAAAACATTGCCAGGATATAAACAAATGTTGCCACAGTTTGCTTTGGAGGGATCCTTTCTCAATTGGATCAAAGACCAATCAGTTCTCTAAGTAATCTAGCATAATTAGGCTCAACAAATAAGTAAACTGAAATGCACAAGTGCTCTAACTTGCTCTAATTTCATGTGGCAGGCTAGTGTGGTAGCTTCCACATCAAGAAACCAAGCCTTCTATTCACTGTAGCAATCACAAGAGTCAGGAGCCCTTTGTATTTTATGTGTAGAGAAATAAAGCTAGAAGTAATGGGTTGACACAAATAGGCCGCTTGTTTTCTCAGAATTAAGTGTCTTGATTATTCAAATTAAATATACATAATTTAACAAAGGGAAAAATATAGAGAATTTATATTTATTAGCGGTAGCATCAAGGACTTGGAGCTTTTCTAGCTGTTTCTTTGAAGGAAGGATCTCTGTAGAGCACTTGTATTGAAATGCATACTGATCTCATGGAAGCTTGTGGTCACATTGTCTTTTCTTACCTCGGATGACATCTGAGCCATAATTGGGGCCGTGGCTGCAGTAGGTCCTGGAAGGTTCTTTATTGTCTGTCACAGCTGAATAAAAGCAGCAGCAGCTGAGAGAACATTGGAGAAAATGCCAGCAGCTACCCTCTGGAAGTGGTCATTAAACCATGTCTCACAGCCTAGACACAGTATTTTGGTATGCTACTGGCCGACAGGCCCATAAGCATTTCTAGCTTACGTAGAGATCCGATGCATCTCTTTGAATACCAGTGGGGACAAGCAATTAATTTATTGACTCATTTATGGCCTAAGTTCAATTCTGTTATCAAAGATAATCATTTAGTCATGTTTAATAAGATGTTCTGCCTTCATTAAATAGAATCACTAATAAACAAAATGTAATAGGATTTCACACAATTTACATCTCACAATAGAGACCTAAGCTAAGTCAACATTTCCCTGAAACAGATAATTGAAAATAAATTGAGAAAAATAAAGTCGATTCAGTAAAGTATAATTTTCCTCTGAAGTCAAAAATCACCAGTTTTCAAGAAGGATACACAGTACAAGATGATCCATTGGAATATAGGAAGAAAGTATTAAAATTTCCATTTACATTTTCTTTTAATCTAAAAAAATAAGAAATTATCCCCAACACATTAATGTACTGACTGACACTGGGATTCTCATTCTGACCACATGTCCTATGATCATTTGTCACGAGATATGCTGAGGTTCCCCACGATACCACAAGTAGATGGTACCCTCCTGCATGTTATTAAACTTTACAGTCAACAAATACTCACTGAGCATCTCCTATGTGCCAGACCTCATTCTGTGTCACTGGGACACCTCCTCATTCCTGCCAACATGGAAAATAATATTCTATCAAGGGCAGTGGGCTTGTAGAATTGTTGTGCAATAATTAAGTGGATGTAGAAATTATATTTGTAATTTTAACTAATTTAATTCTCACAAACTAGGCAAGTGAATTAAAAACATTCCTGTAAAGTACATTTTGAAGATAATACTAACAAAAAAATAGCAAGTTTTTCCTTGGACAACAACGAAAAGACTTTTATGTAGAGCTTCTCCTCCTAGTGCAAAATCTTTATCAACCTGAGATGAATTATGATAAGCTGATGTTATAAGAAAACAGACCACCAAAATTCAAAATAAGCAAGAAGACAATGTATGGATTTTTATCTATTTTCATTGACAATGAACATAATATACAATGAAGTTCATTTTGTAGGGTGTAGTGATTAGTGGAAGCTGTGGCAACCTAAACTTTCACTGATGGTTGGATGAACAAATGTGGTATGAACATGGAATAAAATATTCAATTTCAAAAATGAATAAAATTCTGATACATGCTATAACATGGATGAACCTTGAAAACATTACACTAAGTGAAATAAGCCAGACAGAGAAGGACAAATACTGTGTACTTCCACTTAGATACCTAGAATAGTCAAATTCATATAGAAAGAATAGAATAATGGTTACCAGGGGCTGGAGGGAGAGGGAAATGAAGAGCTATTGTTTAATAGGTACAGAGCTTCTGTTTGACTGATGGAAAATTTCTGGAGATGGATAGTGGTGATGGTTGTGTTCCTGAAACAACAAGGCTTCAGTCTAGTGCCTGCTGCTCACTGCACAGAAGGCCAATGACTGAGATGACGAGTATTGCAAAGGAAGAGGGATTTAATCGGGTGATGCAGCCAAGGAAATGGGAGCTCAGTCTCAAATCCATCTCCCTGACTGATTAAAATTAGGGGTTTATATAGCAGGCAAGAAATGTAACAATGTGTGAGGGAACCGGAACTAGGGAAGAGTAGGAAAACAATATGAGAGGCCTGGCTCTGGATGCAGTAATCTGGTGAGTTTCAGTTCTTTGATACTTTTTGAGAGGCCTGGGGGTTATTTCCTGAGGAAAGAATTCAGATAAAACAATTGTGGGTTGGCCAGGCGCGGTGGCTCACGCCTATAATCCCAGCACTTTGGGAGGCTGAGGCGGGCGGATCACGAGGTCAGGAGATCTAGACTATCCTGGCTAACACTGTGAAACCCCGCCTCTACTAAAAATACAAAAAAGAAAATTAGCGACGCGTTGTGGCGGGCGCCTATAGTCCCAGCCACTCGGGAGGCTGAGGCAGGAGAATGCGTGAACCCAGGAGGTAGAGTTTGCAGTGAGCCGAGATTGCGCCACTGTACTCCATCCTGGGTGATAGAGCGAGACTCTGTCTCAAAAACAAAACAAAACAAAACAAAACAAACAAACAAAAAAAAACAGTTGTGAGTTTCAAGCTGTAAGACCAGAGGGGTCAATTTCTACGTTTATCCAAAAGAACCCTCTGTGGGACTATTGGGTCGGTTTCAGTTGCACAAGTGTGAATGTACTGAATTGTACACTCAAAAAACTTTAAAATAGTAAATTCAATGTTACGCATATTTTACTACAATAAAAAATGTTGAATCCATTATCTTTATTTCCACACATCCTCTTGCCCATTCTCCACAGACAGTTTTAAAATGTAAAGTAGGTTTTGTCTCTATGCTGTTGAAAGCTCTCCAGGGATTTTCAATTATATTTAAAATGAATCTCCATTCCTTTTCAGGCCCCCTGGCCCCATAGGCCTTGATTCTCTGACCCTACCCCTTCTCTATCACTCCCCCTAGCTGGCCTTGCTGCCCCCTAAATGTGCAAAGCTCAGTTGTGCTCGAGGTCTTTACATTTCCTTTTCTCTGCATGAAACACTCTTAGCCCCAGAGTTTCACAGGACTTGCCTTACCTTTCAATCAAGTCTCTACTCAAATGTCACCTTCCCTGACCACTAACCTAAGCTAGCACCTCCTTCACCCCTACCCAGTCATTTTTTATTTTCTCACCCTGCTTTAATTTCTTCAAGGCACTTGTCATTATCTGAAATTATGTTATTTATTGCCTTATCTTTTTATTTTCTAAGTCCTCCACTAGACTGAGGGTAGAGTCTTTTCAGCACCATATCATCATCACCTAAAACAGTAACTGGCACATCATAGGCATTTTATGAATATTATTTGAATGAATTAGTTCTGAGAGTAGAAATCCTGCTTTTCTGAAACAGACTCCATTTAAAACCAACCAAACTAGTGTGAATTGAAGCTTACTTAAAGTGGATCAGCTTGTGTGATGGACATGGAGAAGCACCCTTCTAAAAGGGATTGTGGCCCCGCTGCTGGAAGAATGATGTCAGCAGATAGTCTTTTGCTGTAGATTGCTTCAGGGATTGCTCCAGCTGCAGGGGGCCACCTGGTCAAAAGTCAAGTATTTCCTGGGACGCCAACACCCAGTGATTGACGGAGATAGGAAGTATAAGGACACAGCCAATTCCTCCCAATGCAGGCCAACTCTGAAGGGCCATCTTAGCTCTACTGCAAGCTGGAGGATTGGCAGAGGCTGTCCTCAGGCCTGCCTCACAGCTTAACATCTCCCTGTGCCCACACTTGTTCTACCCCTTGTTTCCACAGGTGTTAATTTCCAAAGTGTGACTCCCTAATAAACAGCCTGCACACTAACCTCCGTCTCAGCATCTGTTTTCCTGGGAACCCAACCTGGAACCACTGTATGCATAGGATGAATATGAAAGGACCACATCCCAAACTTGTCCCCTTGAGTTACAGGTAAAAAAAATATAGTGTGTATCAACTTTGGTGAAAGCCTGAAACCAATCAGACACTTCATAGTAATGCTGGTAGGGCTGGAGAAAGTTTTAGTGGTGTCAGATTTTTTCCCCACTCAGTAAGGTTTGTTCATAATCTTTCTGGGGTCTAGGGTTGTGTTCATTTCATTATTTTATTTATGTTAGCTCTATATTGTCCACCATCTGATTTGTGAGAAGGAACTAAATAAAGCAAGTGATTTACCCTTAGAGGTGGCAAGTGCCTCATGTCGCCATAAGGCGGAGAGGTGCACAAGGAAAGACACCTGATTGTCGTGGTGCAGAGTGCAGGGGACAAGATGTGGACAGTTTGCTAAGAGGGCGGGTCCAAGGCTTTAACCAGCTCACAGATGAGTTCAGGGATCCCCTGGGTACAACAAAAATGTGGTACATATACACACTTTTCCAGGGGTCCAGATTACCAAGAAAGCTGATTCTCTGAAAAAGGTTAAGAGGACTGGCATGGTAACCATGTCAACTGGACTGCTCCATGGAGTTTCCAAATTAAACGGCATTTCCAAGTGTGTCTGTGAGGTTGTTCCAAATGAAATTAGCATTTGAAACAGTGGACTCACTAAAGTAGATTGCCCTTCTCAATGAAGGTGGGCAACATTCAATGTCTTGAGGCCCTCAAAAGGAGAAAAAAAAAAGGTGGAGGAAGGAGGAATTTACCCCTTTTTATTCCTACATACTTGCTTGAGCTGGGTCATCAGTGTTCTCATTGGACTGAGATTTACACCTTTGGCCCCCTGGTTCTGAGGCCTTTGTTTAAAATAATAATAATAATAAATAATAATATTATTAATTATTATTAATTAATAATAATAATAAATAATAATATTATTAATTATTATTATTAATTAATAATAATAATAAACCAGGCGCAGTGGCTCATGCCTGTAATCCCAGCACTTTGGGAGGCCGAGGTGGGCAGATCATGAGGTCAGGAGATTGAGACCACCCTGGCTAATACAGTGAAACCCTGTCTCTACTAAGAGTACAAAAAATTAGCTGGGTGTGGTGGCACGCACCTGTAGTCCCAGCTACTTGGGAGGCTGAGGCAGGAGAATTGCCTGAGAACCCGGGAGGCAGAAGTTGCAGTGAGCTGAGATCGAGCCACTGTACTCCAGCCTGGGTGACAAAGCAAGACTCCGTCTCAAAAATAAAAAAAAAATAATAATAATACATAGCATTTCTACACGTTTGTGAGGTACGTGTGATATTTTGTTACATATGTAGAATGTGTAATGATAAAGTCAGAGTATTTAGGATATCCATCACCTCAAATATTTATGACTGTGTGTTGGGAACATTTCCAGTCCTCTCTTCTAGCTATTTTGAAATATACAATACATTTTTGTTAACTATCATCACCTTATTCTGCTATCGAACATTAAAACTTATTTCTATAGGTCATAACCAACCCCCGCCCATCCACATATACTTCCTTTCCACCCTCTGACATCTATCATTCTACTCTCTACCTTTAGTTCCCACATACAAGGAATAGCATATGGTATTTGTATGTCTGTGCCTGGCTTATTTTACTTAACATGATGACCTCCAGTCCTATCCATGTTGTTGCAAATTACAGGATTTTACTCTTTTTTTATGGCTAAATGGTATTCCATTGTGTATATATACCACATTTTCTTATTAATAGATTGATTCTATATCTTGGCTATTGTGAATAATGCTGCAATAAACATGGGGTGCAGGTATCCCTTTGATATAATGACTTTCTTTCCTTTGGATAGATACCAAGTAGTGAGCTTGCTGAATTGTACGGTAGTTCTATTTTTAGTTTTTTTTAGAAATCTCTATACTGTTTTCCATAGTAGCTGTACTAATTTATATTTGCACCAACAGTGTTTAAGAGTTCACTTTTCTCTGCATTCTCATCAGCATCTGTTTTGTTTTTTTTGTTTGTTTTTTGTTTTTTTTTTTAATTATACTTTAAGTTCTGGGATACATGTGCAGAACGTGCAGGTTTGTTACATAGGTACACATGTGCCATGGTGGTTTGCTGCACCCATTAACCCATCATCTCCATTAGGTATTTCTCCTGATGCTATCTCTAGCCCCCCAGCCCCCAACAGGCCCTGGTGTGTGATGTTCTACTCCCTGTGTCCATGTGTTCTCATTGTTCAGCTCCCACTTATGAGTGAGAACATGCAGTGTTTAGTTTTCTGTTCTTGTGTTAGTTTGCTGTGAATGATGGTTTCCAGCTTCATCTATGTCCCTGCAAAGGACATGAACTCATCCTTTTTATGGCTGCATAGTATTCCATGGCGTATATGGGCCACATTTTCTTTATTGAGTCTATCATTGATGGCCATTTGGGTTGGTTCCAAGTCTTTGCTATTGTGAACAGTGCCGCAATAACATACGTGTGCATGTGTCTTTTATAGTAGAATGATTTATAATCCTTTGGGTATAAACCCAGTAATGGGATTGCTGGGTCAAATGGTATTTCTGGTTCTAGATCCTTGAGGAATCACCACACTGTCTTTCACAATGGTTGAACTAACTTACACTCCCACCAACAGTATAAAAGCATTCCTATTTCTCCACATCCTCTCCAGCATCTATTGTTTCCTGACTTTTTAATGATCACCATTGTAACTGATGTGAGATGGTATCTCATTGTGGTTTGGATTCGCATTTCTCTAATGACCAGGGATGATGAGCTTTTTTTCACATGTTGGCCACATAAATGTCTTCTTTTGAGAAGTGTGTGTTCATATCCTTCACCTGCTTTTTGATTAGGTTGTTTTTTTCTTGTAAATTTGTTTAAGTTCCTTGTAGATTCTGGATATTAGCCCTTTGTCAGATGCATGGATTGCAAAAATGTTCTCCCATTCTGTAGGTTGCCTGTTCACTCTAATGATAGTTTCTTTTGCTGTGCAGAAGCTCTTTAGTTTAACTAGATCCCATTTGTCAATTTTGGCTTTTGTTGCCATTTCTTTTTGTGTTTTAGTCATGAAGTCTTTGCTCATGCCTATGTCCTGAATGGTATTGCATAGGTTTTCTTCCAGGGTTTTTATGGTTTTAGGTCTTATGTTTAAGTCTTTAATATATCTTGAGTTAACTTTTGTATAAGGTGTAAGGAAGGGGTCCAGTTTCAGTTTTCTACATATGGCTAGCCAGTTTTCCCAACACCATTTATTAAATAGGGAATCCTTTCCCCATTGCTTTTGTCAGGTTTGTCAGAGATCAGATGGTTGTGGATGTGTGGTGTTATTTCTGAGGCCTCTGTTCTGTTCCATTGGTCTATATATCTGTTTTGGTACCAGTACCATGCTGTTTTGGTTACTGTAGCCAAACTATACTGTAGTATAGTTTGAACGCAGGTTTTTTAGTAATAGCCATTCTAACTGGAGTAAGATGATATCTCGTTATTTTAGTTTGCATTTCCCTGATGATTAGTGATGTTTAGAATTTTTTTATATACCTGTTTGTCGTTTGTAGGTCTTCTTTAGAGAAATGTTTATTCATGGCCTTTGCCCACTTTTTAGTAGTTTTTTTATGTATTTTTATTGTTGAGTTTCTTGTATATTTTGGATATTAGTCCCTTATTGGATGAATGGTTTGCAAATATTTCTTCCATTCAACAGGCTGTCTCTTCCCTCTGTTTGTTGTTTCCTTTGCTGTGCAGAAGCTTTTGCAGAGAGGGGTCATTTGACTTTCTCTTTTTCAATTGGATTCCTTATATTTCTTTCTTTTGCCTAATTTCTCTAGCTAGGACTTCCAGTACTGTGTTGAATGGAAATAATGAAACTTGGCATCCTTGTCTTGTTCCAGTTCTTTGAGGAAAGGCTTTCAGCTTTTTCCATTCAGTAGGATGTTAATTGTGAGTTAGTCATATATGACCCTTATTATGTTGAGGTATGTTCCCTCTATGCCTAGTTTGTTGAGAGTTTTTGTCATGAAAGGATGCTGAATTTATCAAATGCTTTTTCTGAATTTATTGAGATGATTGTTTGGTTTTTGCCCATCATTCTGTTGATGTGATGTATTATGTTTATTGATTGGCTTGTGTTGAACCATCCTTGCATCCCTAGGATAAATCCCACTTGATCATGATGTATTATCTTTTTGATGTGTTGCTGGATTGTGTTTGCTGGTATTTGCTGAGGATTTTTCTTCTATGTTCATCAGGGATATTGGTCTGTCATTTTCTCTTTTAGTTGTGTCCTTGTCTGATTTTGGTGTCCCATATGTCACAAAGGCTTTGTTCATTCTTCTTTATTCTTTTTTCTTTAGTTTTGTCTGTTTTTTGTTGTTTGTTTTTGTTTTTGTTTTTTGAGATGGAGTCTCGCTCTGTCACCCAGGCTGGAGTGCAGTGGCACGATCTCAGCTCACTGCAAGCTCCACCCCCTGGGTTCACACCATTCTCCTGCCTCAGCCTCCCCAGTAGCTGGGACTATAGGCCCCCGCCACCATGCCCGGCTAATTTTTTGTATTTTTAGTAGAGACGGAGTTTCACCATTTTAGCCAGGATGGTCTCGATCTCCCAACCTCGTGATCTGCCCACCTCAGCCTCCCAAAGTGCTGGGATTACAGGAGTGAACCACCGTGCCCAGCCCTGACTATGTTATTTCAAAAATGTCAAGTCCTGAAATTCTTTCTTCTGCTTGATCTAGCCTATTGAAAATTTTGAATTGATTTTTTATTTTATTCCATGGATTTTTCAGTTTCAGAATTTGTTTGGTTCTTTTTTATGATATCTATATCTTTGGTAAATTTCTCAATCATATCCTGAATTGTTTTTCTAATTTCTCCTATTGTTTATTCACGTTCTCCTGTACCTTAATGAGCTTCTTTAATATCATTATTTTGAATTATTTTCCCAATATTTCGTAAGTTTCTTTTTCACTGGAGTCTGTTGCTGAAGAATATTGTGTTCCTTTGAACATGTCATATTTCCTTGCTTTTTCATAGTTCTTATGTCCTTACATTGATAGCTGCATGTCTGATGTACCAGTTGCTTCTTCCAATCCTTTGAATTTGCTTTCATAGGAGAGGACATTTCCTGAGGCTATATCTATGGTGTTGGTTGTGTAGGGCTCTTTGACTTTGATTCTAAAAATGTGTAATAGTGTAATCTCCGTGTGATTTCTTTGGCTGTAAACAGCACCAGTGATGTCTGTGATTTCCTTAGGGTGCAATTGTTAGTGGAGTCTGTGGTACATTTTTACTGGGGATGGGACAGGAGGTAGGCCAATCCTTAGACCCCACTGTTGGCAGTGGCAGACCAAGCATGCCTATCCTTGAGCCCCAGGGTGGCATACACTAGCACCAGTGTTAGCAGGTCCAGAAGGGCTGATTCTTGGGCCTCCAGGTGGCTTGTTCATGTGCTGGTAGTGGCAGTAGTGGACCAGGCAGATGGGCAGGTCCTTGGGCTCCCAGGCAGCAGGCATAGCATGGGTGATGGCAGTAGCAGTGGTGGGACAACCCTCTGGCTGCCAAATGGACCATACTGGTGTTGGTGATGGCTGCGACAGGCTGGGAGGGCCTGTCTTCAGTCCCTCAGGTGGTGCATTTGGGGGGGTGTCAGCCATAGTAGTAGCAGCATGTTGGGTGGGCCTGACCTCAGGGCCTCAAAAGGAGTGCTCACGTGGCAATGGTGATGGAAGGAGTTCGATGGTCCTGAGGTCCTCAAATGGCATGCTCAGGCACTGTAGGGGGAAGAAGGATCTGGGCCACATGGGCCTGTCCCCAAGCTCTCTTATGGTACATGCAGCCACTGGCTGTGGTTGCAGGGGTAGGGTGATCCCCAGGCCCTCAGCAAAATGCTTAGGTGGATGCAGTAGCAGCTGCACTGTGGTCCTGCTGCTGGGGAGGGTGGGGTTGCTTTCAGTGGCAGGTGCCTGGGGAACACACACTTGGCCACAGGTCATGGCTATGGGCAGAGTAGCCTCTGATCAGGGCAGCTGTGAATGCATGGCAGTTCCACCGCTGGTGGCAGCAGGGTCTCTGACAGTGGCTCGTACTTTAGCCCCAGTCGTGGCAGCCAGGAGTAGTGGCAGCTGCAGGCGAGAGATTATGTTCTCAGGGTGCATGAAAATGTGCAGAGCTGCTGGGGACAGCAAGGTCACTGCTAATGGCTTGCCTTGTGGCACTGGCAGCAGCAGCCAACCACAGTGGCAGATGCAGATGAGAAATGTCAATGGGGCTACAGGGATGTGGAGATGCAGGGGCTATTGGGCCCCAGGGCAGAATGCAATCTGGTGGCTGGCTCTCAAAATGGTACTGTGCTGTAGCTGCTTAGGGCTCGGGGAGTTCATGAGACCCAGCATGAGCTCCCTGTCTGGAGCAGTGCCATTATGAGGTCTCTAGGAAGCTCCTCATGTTAGTCTCAGGGCCTGTGAGGGTTGAGGAGCATTCCCATTGATAGGATTGCAGGAGTCTTCAATGGAAATATGGACCACTGGGGGTCTCTCACTCTTTCTCCACATTGAGAAACCTCTCTGCGCTCCCAGCTAATCCTGGCTGAGCAGGATGCCTGGCTTCCTGCTCCTTCCTTGCCTTGGATGTTTCCTGTCACTTCTCTGTTGAATGCTAGTGTTCTCTCTTAGATGATCTATTTGAAATGTGATTATCTACTCACTATTTTGTTTCTTCTTTGTGGAAGAGGAGAGTACCAGATGCCTTTAGTCAGCCACATGCAGTCCTTTGCTCTTGAGCTAGAATTACACCACTGGCTTTCCTGGGTCTTCAGCTTGCAGACACAGATGGTGGGACTTCTCAGCCTCCATAGTAACATGAGCCAATTCCTCATTATAAAGATAGATAGATAGATAGATAGATAGATAGACAGACAGACAGACAGACAGACAGACAGACAGATAGACAGATAGAAATGGGCCGGGGACAGTGATTCATGCCTATAATCCCAGCACTTTGAGAGGCCGAGGCGGGTGGATCATGTGATCAAGAGATCAAGACCATCCTGGCCAACATGGTGAAGCCCCATCTCTACTGAAAATACAAAAATTAGCCAGGCATAGTGGCGGGCACCTGTAGTCCCAGCTACTCAGGAGGCTGAGGCAGGAGAATCAACTGAACCCAGGAGGCGGAGGTTGCAGTGAGCCGAGATTGTGCCACTGTACTCCAGCCTTGTGACAGAGCGAGACTCCATCTCAAAAACAAAAAAGAAACAAACACACATGCACACACACACACACACACACTACTGGTTCTGTTTCTCTGGGGAACCCTAATACAGGGACCTTGATCTTTGGGGACTTTTGCCTCCAATACTGTTATGTAAGATTTTCTGTCTTGTTATTAGTTTTGTACTGGGTACTTATCAGCTATTTTTAGCCATTTACATTCAGATAAGTTTTATTTTTCTCTTGAGTCTGTAGGTTTGTTTTTGTTCTAGGTTGTTTGATTAATGGCTTTTACCATGGCAGTTTACTTTTACTGTTTTATCTATTTTCCTCTACAATTTTATCTTTATCTTTTAGATTCCTTTCCCCTTTTTGTCCTGTACATCTTATTATCTTTTATCTTATTTTATTTTATTTTTGAAGACAGAGTCTTGCTCTATCCCCCAGGCTGGAGTGCAGTGGCATGATCTCGGCTCACTGTGACATCCACCTCCCGGGTTCAAGCAATTCTTATGCCTCAGCCTCCCTAGTAGGTGGGATTACAGGTGCACACCACCACACCTAGCTAATTTTTGTATTTTTAGTGGAGACGGGGTTTCGCCATGTTGGCCAGGCTGGTCTTGAACTCCTGACCTCAGGTCATCCACCCAACTCGTCCTCCCAAAGTGCTGGGATTACAGGCGTGAGCCACCACACCCAGCCTATCTTTTATTTTTAACATAAAGAAAAAGCACACGGAAAATAGTCTCAAGCACAACCCTGCCATGAATAAGAAATGCACTTTTCGTTCCCAATTTCTTGGATCCCATTAGAGATAAAACCAAGTTTCCAGAAAAACCTCATTTTAAACTAACTTTGCACCCTGGTGGACATACCAATATGAAAATACACACAAACAAAGAAGCGTTTGTACCTTCCTGTCACACCACCATCACAAGAACACATTATAAATGGAAATATTAAACCTGCTGTCCTCCACCTTTAAAACTGGATTTGAACTACCTGTTTTTCTTGGAGGTGGTTAATATTTGTTAGCTAACTTGGGCAAATAGCCTTACTAGACTGACCCTGAGTAAATCATGAAGCATTTCTGTTTATTGGGGCACCTTGATATTTTCTTTCTTGAATATCAAACATTTGTCATTTACTGTGTACAAACAGTATGAAGCATAATCCCTGGCCTCAAGATGTTCACAGTTCATTATATCATGTCAGTCTATGCTTGGAGCCCTGTATCTGACACATGGCTGACACTGATTAAATAGGAGAGCAGTTGTGTCTAATTGTATGTCCAGAACATGTGTGTATGTAACTTTAACTCCTAGGTCTAAGGGCCTCTTGGTTGCCTCGTCACTCCTTCTTATTGGCACTCATTACTCCTAAACAGTCTCACCACTGGTATCTTCACTTCAGGATCTCCACCTCAGACATAACCCAAAGAGTAGGCTGACATTAATTTGTGTATTTCAAAGAGCTGTTCCTTAGAAATGTAAACTCTAAAGCTTTTTCTGGCATAATGTTGAGTTCTGTTTTTATACTCAGAAAACAATTTCGTGGGATTCTACCAACTTTTTCTTTTGGAAATGATACGTACATGCTATATTTGTAATTATGTTTATTTACCTGATTTTTTCCCTGTGGTATTTTTATCTAATAACTTTATAATAATTTCATGTCATATACATATAATATTGATTTAAAGGAGCAATTTTTTTGTGAATTGCATGCAGCATTCCCTTTAATATTTACACTAGCTGGGCTTTGTTGAAATGGGTTAGGTATGGTGGGTGTTACCTAACTCCTTTATTCTGAACTATATTGTCTACATATTTAACTATGGATTTCAGTGTTTCTCCAAACATAATACCTTTTATGCTTGAATAATTTATTTAATATAGATATAGTTAAAGGGAACATGAATCATGAAACAGATTTATAACAATGAAGAGATAAACTGGGGTTTAATTCTGCATTTTACATGAGAACAAATAATGGCATTCTATTAAGTAGCAGGTTCTCTTATTTGTGTATGACATTAAAGTGTACATTAAATCTTAGGCAATTACAACCACACCTTTCACCTTTTCTGAAATGGAAGAATTATTCGTGTATGTCTCTTGGCCATGGAGCTTTTGCATGGTAGACAGGTACAAGAAAAGAGATACAAAAGTAAAAAGTGGAGAGAGGACTATAGTTGTAAAAGAAAAAAATCAGAGAAGAGCAATGTGAGGGAGCTTCAAAGAGAACAGTTTTCAGAGAGACAGAAATAGAAAGTGACAGAATACATACATTTGCATAAATGCTAAAGAAATTTTGATGAGTTGAATAAGAAAGGATTGGGAACAGCTTTTTTATTGTGGTGTTCTCTTAACCCTTCCTCTACTTCCTCAATGCATTTTAATGTACATTTTTATCATATAATTATATGTAGGTTAGATCAAGAGCATAGACTGAGTAGATGTAAGTAACTCTCCCATTATATAGCCCTTAAAATATCATAAAATAGATATTTAAAAATAAAACTTCATAATAATACTGGGAGAGTCTTAATATTTACTAATATTCAAACATTAAAGTAGTAAATAATGTCGATATGGGGAATTGTGTGAGGAAGGAAGTCAGAAATTATTAGGTTCCTGATCGGTTTAGTGAAAGGATAAAAGTGAGAATTCATTTTAAACAGGAAGATAGAAACATGGTTTCAACATGTACCTCAAAATATTAATGGTAAGCATAAGGACAGAAATAGAGTGTATAACTTCAAACTAATTAGAAAGGAAATGGAACGCTACACAGTTAAAATAACATCAAGCCTTAATCCAACAGCATACAAGAAAGGAACATCAACAAAAAGAGACAGATGGTGTACAAAGGTTAAGTTTGGCTTTTATATATCAGGAAACCTGAAATAACAATGCATTAAACATTTAAGAAATGTATTAAAGAGAGCCGGGCGCGGTGGCTCACACCTGTAATCCCAGCACTTTGGGAAGCCAAGACAGGCAGATCACGAGGTTAGGAGATCCAGACCATCCTGGCTAACACGGTGAAACCCCTTCTCTACTAAAAATACAAAAAAATTAGCTGGGCGTGGTGGCAGGCACCTGTGGTCCCAGCTACTTGGGTGGCTGAGGCAGGAGAATGGCGTGAACCTGGGAGGCGGAGCTTGCAGTGAGCCAAGATCGCGCCACTGCGCTGCAGCCTGAGCGACAGAGTAAGACTCCGTTTCAAAAAAAAAAAAAAAAAAGAAATGTATTAAAGAACAATAACAACAGGCTGGGCATGGTGGCTCATGCCTGTAATCCCAGCACTTTGAAAGGCCAAGGCAGATGGATCACTTGATGTCAGGAGTTCCAGACTAGCCTGGCCAACATGGCGAAACCCCATCCCAGGAGGTGGAGGTTGCAGTGAGCCGAGATTGCACCACTGCTCTCCAGCCTAGTTGGCAGAGTGAGACCCTGTCTCAAAAAAAAAAAAAAAAAAAAGAGCGATAACAACAATAGGCAGTCCAAAACAGATATGAGTGCTCCAAAACCGTCATGAACCCAGGTTCCTTCTGTCTCTGGATAGAATGCTCCATCCACGGGGCTTCTTTCTTCTTTAAGGCCACTTTATGACAGAAGGCAGCTGCTGGAGCTCAAGACATCATATCCATGTTGTAGACCAAATGAAAAAGAAAAGACAGAAGAATGAAAAAGTATAGACCTTTCAGTCAATTAAATTTCCTAGAAGCAGCTTTCCCAATGGGAAGGAAATAAAAGAAGTCCACACACACACACACACACACACACACACACACACACCCCTAGAGTGCTCTGAATCATTACCTGTGGCACCAGAAGAGTAAACAACTTTTTCCCAATTCTGGTTTTCTAACTTCTAGATTTTTATGAAACACAGAAGTCAGGTAGATCAGCGCTTAAGATAGAGATAAACAACTACCTGATGTATGACTTACTGCCAGCTCTGCCAGTCAGGAGAGAAAGTCTGCAGTGTCCAGAAGCTCACTAGAGCAGGCCTGTGTCAACCCTGTTAGATTCATTTTATCCTTTTCCCTCCTGATATTATTTTGTGTGTATGGCACAAACCCCTACAAAACTTCTCCCCACACCATTCACACATAAGGATAGAAATAGAGTGAATAACTCTATTACCAAAGTAAACCTAACTGGAGTCTGTAGCCACCCCCAAAACTAGAATGTCATTACTGTACACTGGGGATATGGTATGTAGCTGGAGCAATGGAGAATGGGTTATGAGATTGCTGCTTTTACCAAGAGCTGTAATCTAGTTGGCCAAATCCCTTTCTTGCTTGTGTCTGTTCTAACACTTGTACTTAAAATAATTCAAACCATTCCTTGGTTGTTTTCTCCCCTTAAGTCTCTTGCAAGGTCTTGTTGATTTTACCTATACTAACTAAATTTGATGCTGCACTCCTTCCATACAAAGAAAAGCTTATTATATATTTCCCTCCTGATTTCTCCCTCTGGTATACATTTCCCACCTACCATATATCTATGTAAAGGCATAGAGAAATATCTGGAAAAAATGTGCATCCGACTCTCTTTTTTTTATTTGAGACAGAGTTTCACTCTTGTTGCCCAGGCTGGAGTGCAGTGGTGCGATCTCAGCCCACCACAACCTCCACCTCCCAGGTTCAAGCAATTCTGCCTCAGCCTCCCAAGTAACTGGGATTACTGGCATGCACCACCACGCCCAGCTAATTTTATATTTTTAGTAGAGATGGGGTTTCTCATTGTTGGTCAGGCTGGTCTCGAACTTCTAACATCAGGTGATCCGACTGCCTCGGCCTCCCAAAGTGCTGGGATTACAGGCATGAGCCACCGCACCTGGCCAAACTCTTAGTGGTGGTTACCCCTGAAGAAAAGAATAAGATTGGGAAATTGAGCGGTGATAAAGGACTTTCACTTGCTAGATTATATACTTCTGAATTTTCTTAATTTACTCTAGTGAAAATATCTTGTGTTATATTTTTATAAGAAATAAAAGATTTTTTACATTCTGCCTTACCAATTTTCTTTTATTGTCAGTTGTTAATTTCCTTTTCCTTTTTTGTGTCATCATTTTTGGGTAACTGTACAATTACCTTTAAGTCAGATAGAGAAAGAAAGAAAGAGGGAGATGGGGGAGAGAATTAAGAACTCCAATTTTATTTTAGTTGCATATTTAAAGCTAATATCTGGGATTTGGGATCAGAGATTCCCAATCGTCTCCTTCTGTCATTAAATAACTATAGAGTGAGTTAAACAAACAAAAATCACTTTCCCTATGCCTGACAATATAACCAATTTATGAAGCAAGGAAAAGAAAATGAAGCTGATGCAAGCTGTGATGGTTCCTGGAATACCATCTCAAAATCAGAAATTGTAGAAATTACTCTGACATGAGAATTCAACCTTTGAGGGAAATACACTTTTTGTGACTAGAGGTTTCAGGTAGACAGCCAGATATACCCAAGGTTATGTGAATTTAAATGGGGAAGCTCAATACAGTTTCACAATGAGTTGCAGACTAGAAATTAGTTTTCAAGCCATGCTGCATTGCCATACATTTCTTCATTAGACTCCTGAATGAGGTGATAGGCTGGTGTTCATTTGCTCTGGTTGCAAATCTTTGCTCTGCCTTTTGCATGAGAGATAACCCCCCAGATAATCAGCCTGATGAGCCCAGGGCTGGCTGCATTCCCATATGCAGGCTGAGGAGGCCCTGTGATAGTGTCACTATCTGGAGATTCTTAATAATTTTATCTTTGAATTTGTAAGTGAAGACCAATGGAACAATAGAGAACACACCAGAGGCATAGAGTCGCAGCTCACCTATGGCCATGCTTCCTGCTGTCTTCCCAGGAAGGGGTGTCAGCCACCTACTCCCCCATACCCTGGTGCCCAGGGCCCTTCCACCTTCCCCCCACTCCTTGCTGCTGCTCAGCAACTACTGCCACACTTCACCTCACAAGAGCCTGCGCTTGACTGTTGGGAGATTCAGGGTTGGGCATATATACTCTGTGGCATCTCAAGATACCTATCCCCACTTTAGGCTAGCGGCACCATAGTATGTTCAGCAGAAAATTCAGCAGGGCAAGCCTCCTAACTACCCACAAATCAGGTACTTTGCATGCCCTGTCATGGAGATAACAATAATATTGGGGGTTACCCATCTGCCATTGGTTGGTATAGTGGGTCCATGGGAAGGGTAGATACCTAGCTCAGCTTCCCCAGCCCTGGATGGAGCAAGGCATGTCAGTCTAGTGGCTGGTGGGATGGGAAACTGGGCAGCAGGTGTACATGTGCTGAGTTGCAGAGCAGCACCCCCACCTGTGAAGGTCTGCATCTGCCCCTTGAGTATCCTTGTGCCCAAGGTAGTCTGATATTAAATATCAAATAAAAAATGCCAACACAAGTGAAGAAAGAGGCCATGAAAAAAAAGCTTTACGTTTTAGTACCTTTAATGGTACTTTTTCCTGCTTTTTGAACAAGTGGCTCCCCATTTTTCACTCTGTACTAGGCCCAGCAAATTCAGTCTTATCTACAAAGCTCAGACAAGGGAACCATCTGTAGTGGACAGCTATTTCATTTGCCTCAGCACTGTTTTCCCTGTTCTGGCATTAGACTATCCCTTGTTTTCTGGGGTGAGGGAATAGGGGGACAAACGGTTGTTTCCCCACTCATACTAAATGGTTCTGGAAGGTACTGATAATCACATTACCTCCCCAAACCCAGAGAGGTAAACATGTACTCTAAGCTGGATCAACATGATCCAGGAGATAGGCAAATAGATCCAGGCTGGTTAAAAAAAAAAAAAAAAAAAAAACAGATTCTGTAATTTCCCTTTTCATCAATATTTTGGACAAGATATCTTGAAAATCTTTTCTCTACAAAATATTTAGAAATTCAAAATAAAATGTGACGTATCTCCTGAGAAAAGTTCCTATTTGTCAAATTCAAATAAAGGAAAGACCAATGTTGTTTGGCCATAATTCTAAGTTGGTCATTCAATGCAAGCTCCGTGCCTCTTGGATTTTTCACCTACATAAGAAGATAAACAATATCTGGAGGCCTGTGAAACAGGTAATTAAAACTGAGACTGCCATAAAAAGTCTCCTTAGAACCTTGAAGGAGCTACATATTCACTGAGAGTGTAGACTAGAAAAAATTTCATCAAGCAAACCAAGAAAATAACAAGAAGCTTGTCAATTTCACCCTGAGCTAAGGTTAGAGGTATCTTCTCTAAGAAACTATGATTTTGCCTTTATGAAAAGTTTGGTTTTCAAAAATATTTGAAAACCCTCAAGTCAAGAACTTAACATAAAAAGTGGTACTAGGCTGATAAAATCAATGAGGTGCATAACAAAAGCAAATGAAAAATTTAGCTGACTAAACTCCCTTTAACCAAGGTCACAAGTATTTCCACAGTCTAAAATGAAAGGAGGGAAAGAAAACTCACAAAAAAATAATTATTAGACTGAGACTACAAAATAAGTAGGCCTAAAATAATTTAAAAATATAAAATGAAATATAAAAAGACCAGAATTTTATAAAAATAACAGATTTGAAAAGTAAATCTTTCAAGAAATGAAAAATATAGCCATTCACTCATAGAGTAGGTTAGAGGGCAGACTAGACACAGCTGAAGAGAAAAATAGTGAATTGTAAGACATATCTGAAAAGCTAAAATAAAACAATATAGCAAGATAAAAAAGATGGAAAGTGTGGAAGATAAATTCAAAAGTTTGGAGGATAAAGTAAAAATGAACAACTTAAATCTGAAAGAGGGTCTATCAAGAAAGAATAAATGGAATGTGAACATAGAAGTGTTTAAAGGGACATTAGTTTAGAATTCCCATAATTATAGAAGCCACAAAGTATCCGATCAGTAACTAAGAGCC